>NC_000002.12:148701739-149004769 GCF_000001405.40 Homo sapiens
TCATAGAATGAGTTAGGAAGTGTTTTCTCTGCTTCTGTTTTCTGGGAGTGATGAGAGAGATTGATAAAATTTCTTTCCTAAATGTTTGGTAGAATTTATCAGTGAACTCATCTGGGACTGGTGTTTTTTGGGAGGTTTTTTGATTTGACTCTACTTATTATAGATCTATATAGATTTTCTGTTTCTTCTTTAGTCAGTTTTAGTAGTTTGTGTTTTTGTCCATTTTCTGTAAGTTGTCAATTTATGGCCATATAGTTGTTCTGTGCTTATCATAATATACTTTTATTATTGTTTTAATGTCTGTTGGATGAGTAGTGATGACCACTATTTCATTTTTGACATTAGTCATTTGTCTTCTTTTTTTTTTCTTAGAGATTATTCAGTGTTACTGATCTTTTCAGAAGTCAGGTGGCTTGTTTTTGTAAACTGATTTCTTATCATTTTAGAAACTTGAAAGCTGTAAAAAGGATTTTATGTTTTGGTAAGCTTTATTTGTCATTTCAGCAACAAAACAGAAAATCAAAATCTTGTGTTGTTAAATTTACCTAATGTAAAAATAGCTTTTTCTGGGGATTAGGAGATGATGAAAATTTGCCTTTTTCTCTCTCTGTTTCATTTTCCCTCACAAATATTCATAGATTAGAGGAATTTCAAAGCCAGTATAAACCTTAGAAATTGTTCAGTGTAACCCCTGCTGTGATTCTCAAACCCAGAATTAAGAGGTTCTGCAGGGCTTCCCCAGCTCTGAGGGCTAATGAAAGAGCATCTCTGGAATTGGGCACCAGGAATCTGAACTTCTAACAAATTCTTCACTATTGTTTCTTTTGGGCATATACCCAGAAGTGGATTTTTAACCAGCCTAGTCTCCTGCAGTGAGAACTGTTATATAGAAGATGACTCAATACTGTGATTTCAGAAATTGGTAACAAGAGGCAAGGACATTAAATGACTTGTATAAGGGACCACACCTGTTGAATGAAAGCAATGAGATGAAGCCCTAAGTCAGGCTTGTTTAATTTGTGGCCCAGGACAGCTTTGAATGCAGTCCAACCCAATTCGTAAACTTTCTTAAAACACTATGAGATTTTTTTTTTTTGCCATTTTTTCTTTAAGCTCATCAGGCTATCATTAGTGTATTTTATTGGTGGCCCAAGACAATTCTTCTTCTTCCAGTGTGGCACAGGGAAGCCAAAAGATTGGACACCTCTGCCCTAAGTCCTTTGACTGCTTGAAGTCTTCCCACTGTATCATACTTCCTGATATTAAGCATTTAATGGTGCAGAGCACTATGGGTGATACATGTGTTAAACACAGTCTGTTTTTAAGGAACTTAAAATACAGGATTTTATTTGTTCATCTTAAGGCAGCCATGCATTATCTCAAAATGAATAAAATGTGTTTGGTATTTTTTTTCCTTGTTGTCCATTTTAGAGTATTTTTGGTAGTCTGTTAATTGTGAACCTTCAATGCATCCTTAAGTTTTAATTATTAGCCATTAATCCTTACTCAGAGGAAAGCTTCTGTCCTATTTTTTCCTAAGCTACATGTTTTCTTCCATTTCTGTCAGTTTATTAGATTATAGTGCAGTTTTTTTTTAAAAAGTATGTTCTGGGGAGCTTTAGTCACCTTGATACTCCTTGGGATGGTGAAGTCAGTTTTTAAAGCCTGTTTTTAGTTATATTGTATCAGAATCACCTGTTTGGTTTTTTTTTGTTCTAAAGGAAACAAAAAACGTTTCAGGATCCTTTTCTTTGGGAGTGAGGCCTGAAAAATGAGGGTTTTTGTTCTTTTGTTAGTAGTAGTATTTGAGACAGGGTCTCACTGTGTTGCTCAGGCTGGAGTACAGTGGTGTGATCATGGTTCACTGCAGCTTTGACCTCCCAGGCTCTAGCACTTCTCCCACCTCAACCTCCTGAGTAGCTGGGACTACAGCTGTGCACCACTATGCCTGGCTAATTTTATTTTAATGCTTTTAGACACAGGATCTCACTTTATTGCCCATGCTGGTCTCAAACACCTTGGCTCAAGCAGTCCTCCTGCCTTGGACCCCCAAAGTGTTGGGATTACAGGTATGAGCCACTGAATCCATTAAAAAATCAGTTTTAAAAACATGCATTATACCACCTCATACCCTTTAGAATGGCTACTATCAAAAACAGAAAATAACAAGTGTTAGCAAGGATGTGGTGAATTGGAACTCTTGTGGACTGTTGGGAATGTAAAATGGTGTAGCCACTGTGGAAAACAGTATGATCGTCCCTCAGAAAATTGAAGATAGACTTACCATGTGGTCCAGCAATTCCATTTCTGTGTATATACTCAGACAAATGAAGGTCTCAAAGAGATATTTGTGTACCCATGTTCATAGCAGCATTATTCACAAAAGCTAAAACATGGAATTAATACAGGTATTCATCACTGGATGAATGGGTAAGCAAAATGTGGCGTGTACTTAGAATGAATATTATTGAGCCTTAAAAAGGAAGGCAGTGACACATGGTTACAATATGGATGAAACCTGAGACATTGGCCAAGTGAAATAAGTCATTATCTGAGGTACTTAGAGTAATCAGAATCATAGAGACAGACAGTAGAATGGTGGTTGCTAGGGACTGGGGAGAGGGAGAAATGGGGAGTTATTGTTTAATAGGTACAGAGTTTTAGTTTTACAAGATGAAAAGCATTAGGGAGACAGATAGTGGTGATTATGCAACATTATGAATGTATTTAATACCACTGAACTGCACACTTATAAACAGTTGAGGGTACTTTTATGCTATATGTATTTCAACACAATAAAAAATGAAAAAGGAAAAACATGCATTGTAGGTATATACTCAGATTTGAGAATCCCTGTTCTTGATGAGTCACAGTGAGTATCAAGTGGCATGTCCCCAAACTAATTGATAAAGAACTCAACATTTTTACTTATTTAGCCTCTGAATCCTTACCCTATATTCCCAACTTTCTTTGTAAGTGGTGTTCTTTTGTCCCTTTCAGGAACTGGAACAACAACAGGGATATAACTTAGCCCAGAGTTGGAGGCAAATTAGCTTTGCATATTGTGGCCACGGAAAGCCTTACACTTCTAACCTGGGCCATAGGCTCCCAGCTATGTCCTGGTGACATTAGGGATTTTTAATGTGTATCTTTTTTCTTTTTCTTTTTCTTTTTTTTTTTTCTAATTTTGTTTGAGTGTTTTTATTTTTAAGGCAAAGGAATGAATAGTACGGGGAACCCAATGTATCTGTCAGCAAACCATCAGCTTCATATTTTATTTATTCCTCACACTTTTTGTGTTAATATATTTTAAAACAAATCCCAGACACTATTTCACCCATAAATATTTCATTGTTTATCTTTCAAAGAAAAGGACTTGTGTCTTTTTCCCGGCATAACCACAGTACCATTATAACCAAATTAATAATAATTCCTTGATAGCACCTAATTTATATGAACTGGCCAAACAGTACATCTGGCCTTAGGGCTGTCTATAGATTCTAACTCTTAAGTAAGATGTTATGTTTTATGTATTTACTACTGCACAGTTATCATTTTAAAAAAAAAACTCTTACTTTCCCTACTAACAGTAGTTGAGTGATGATAAGTTTTAGAATATAAAATTCACGGTTCCAAGATGGCTGAATAGGAACAGCTCTGGTCTGCACCTCCCAGCGTGATTGATGCAGAAGATGGGTGATTTCTGCATTTCCAACTGAGCTCTGAAGAGAGCAGTGGCTCTCCCAGCACGGTGTTTGAGCTCTGAGAATGGACAGACCACCTCCTCAAGTGGGTCCCTGACCCCTGTGCAGCCTAACTTGGAGACACCTCCCAGTAGGGGCCGACTGACACCTCATACAACTGGGTGCCCCTGAGATGAAGCTTCCAGAGGAAGGATTAGGCAGCAATATTTGTTGTTCTGCAATATTTGCTGTTCTGCAGCCTCTGCTGGTGATACCCAAGCAAACGGTCTGGAGTGGACCTCCAGCAAACTCCAACAGACCTGCAGCTGAGGGACCTGACTGTTAGAAGGAAAACTAACAAACAAAAAGGAACAGCATCAACATCAACCAAAAGGACATCCACACCAAAACCTCATCTGTAGGTCACCATCATCAAAGACCAAAGGTAGATAAAACCACAAAGATGGGGAGAAACCAGAGCAGAAAAGCTGAAAATTCTAAAAACCAGAGCGCCCCTTCTCCTCCAAAGGATCACAGCTCCTCACCAGCAACGGAACAAAGCTGGACGGAGAATGACTTTGACAAATTGACAGAAGTAGGCTTCAGAAAGTCGGTAATAACAAACTTCCTCAAGCTAAAGGAAGATGTTTGAACCCAACGCAAGGAAGCTAAAAACCTTGAAAAATGATTAGACGAATGGCTAACTAGAATAAACAGTGTAGAGAAGACCTTAAATGACCTGATGGAGCTGAAAACCATGGCACGAGAGCTTCGTGATGCATTCATAAGCTTCAGTAGCCGATTCAATCAAGTGGAAGAAAGGGTATCAGTCATTGAAGATCAAATGAATGAAATGAAGCAAGAAGTTTAGAGAAAAAAGAGTAAAAAGAAATGAATAAAGCCTCCAAGAAATATGGGACTATGTAAAAACACCAAATCTACCTGTGATTGGTGTACCTGAAAGTGGCGGGGAGAATGGAACCAAGCTGGAAAACACTCTTCAGGATATTATCCAGGAGAACTTCCCCAACCTAGCAAGGCAGGCCAACATTCAAATTCAGGAAATACAGAGAACACCACAAAGATACTCATCGAGAAGAGCAACCCCAAGACACATAATTGTCAGATTCACCAAGGTTGAAATGAAGGAAAAAATGCTAAGGGTAGCCAGAGAGAAAGGTCGGGTTACTCACAAAGAGAAGCCTATCAGACTAACAGCGGATCTCTCGGCAGAAATCCTACAAGCCAGAAGAGAGTGGGGGCCAATATTCAACATTCTTAAAGAACAGAATTTCCAACCCAGAATTTCATATCCAGCCAAACTAAGCTTCATAAGTGAAGGAGAAATAAAATCATTTATAGACAAACAAATGCTGAGAGATTTTTGTCACCACCAGGCTTGCCGTACAAGAGCTCCTGAAGGAAGCACTAAACATGGAAAGGAACAACCGGTATCAGCCACTGCAAAAACATGCCAAATTGTAAAGACCATCGATGCTAGGAAGACACTGCATCAACTAATGGGCAAAATAACTAGCTAACATCATAATGACAGGATCAGATTCACACATATCAATATTAACCTTAAATGTAAATGGGTTAAATGCCCCAATTAAAAGACACAGACTGGAAATTGGATAAAGAGTCAAGACCCATCAGTGTGCTGTATTCAGGAGACCCATCTCACGTGCAGAGACACACATAGGCTCAAAATAAAGGGATGGAGGAAGATCTACCAAGCAAATGGAAAACAAAAAGAGGCAGGGGTTGCAATCCTAGTCTCCGATAAAACAGACTTCATACCAACAAAGATCAAAAGAGATAAAGAAGGCCATTACATAATGGTAAAGGGATCAATTCAACAAGAAGAGCTAACTATCCTAAATATAAATGCACCCAATACAGGAGCACCCAGGTTCATAAAGCAAGTCCTGAGAGACCTAAAAAGCGACTTAGACTCCCACACAATAATAATGGGAGACTTTAACACCCCACTGTCAACATTAGACAAATCAACAAGACAGAAGGTTAACAAGGATATCCAGAACTTGAACTCAGCTCTGCAACAAGCAGACCTAATAGACATCTACGGAACTCTCCACCCCAAATCAACAGAATATACATTCTTCTCAGCACCACATCACACTTATTCCAAAATTGACCATGTAGTTGGAAGTAAAGCATTCCTCAGCAAATGTAAAAGAACAGAAATCACAACAAACTGTCTCTCACACCACAGTGCAATCAAATTAGAACTCAGGATTAAGAAACTCACTCAAAACTGCTCAACTAGATGGAAACTGAACAACCTGCTCCTGAATGACTACTGGGTACATAACAAAATGAAGGCAGAAATAAAGATGTTCTTTGAAACCAATGAGAACAAAGACACAACATACCGGAATCTCTGGGACACATTTAAAGCAGTGTGTGAGGGAAATTTGTAGCGCTAAACACCCACAAGAGAAAGCAGGAAAGATCTAAAATTGACACCCTAACATCACAATTAAAAGAACTAGAGAAGCAAGAGCAAACACATTCAAAAGCTAGCAGAAGGCAAGAAATAACTTAAGATCAGAGCAGAACTGAAGGAGATAGAGACACAAAAATCCCTTCAAAAAATCAGTGAATCCAGGAGTTGGTCTTTTGAAAAGATCAACAAAATTGATAGACCGGTAGCAAGACTAATAAAGAAGAGAGAAGAATCAAATAGATGCAGTAAAAAATGATAAAAGGGATATCACCACCTGCCCTACGGAAGTACAGACTACCATCAGAGAATACTATAAACCCCTCTACACAAATAAACTAGAAAATCTAGAAGAAATTGACAAATTCCTCGACACATACACCCTCCCAAGACTAAACCAGGAAGAAGTTGAATCGCTGAATAGACCAATAACAGGCTCTGAAATTGAAGCAATAATTAATAGCCTACCAACCAAAAAAAGTCCATGACCAGACGGATTCACGGCTGAATTCTACCAGAGGTATGAAGAGGAGCTGGTACCATTCCTTCTGAAACTCTTCCAATCAATAGGAAAAGAGGGAATCCTCTCTAACTCATTTTATGAGGCCAGCATCATCCTGATACCAAAGCCTGGCAGAGACACAACAAAAAAGGAGAATTTTAGACCAATATCCCTGATGAACATTGATGTGAAAATCCTCAATAAAATACTGGCAAACTGAATTGAGAGGCACATCAAAAAGCTTATCCACCAATATCAAGTTGGCTTCATCCCTGGGATGCAAGGCTGGTTCAACATATGCAAATCAATAAACGTAATCCATCCTGTAAAGAGAACCAAACACAAAAACCACGTGATTATCTCAGTAGATGCAGAAAAGGCCTTTGACAAAATTCAGCATCCCTTCATGCTAAAAACTCTCAATAAACTAGGCATTGATGGAACATATCTCAAAATAGTAAGAGCTATTTATGACAAACCCACAGCCAGTATCATAGTGAATGGGCAAAAACTGGAAGTATTCCCTTTAAAAACTGGCACAAGACAGGGATGCCCTCTCTCACCACTCCTATTCAACATAGTGTTGGAAGTTCTGGCCAGGGCAGTCAGGCAAGAGAAAGAAAGAAAGGGTATCCAATTAGGAAAAGAGGAAGTCAAATTGTCCCTGTTTGCAGATGACATGATTATATATTTAGAAAACCCCATTGTCTCAGCCCAAAATCTCCTTAAGCTAATAAGCAACTTCAGCAAAGTCTCAGGATACAAAATCAGTATGCAAAAATCACAAGCATTCTTATACACCAATAACAGACAAACAGAGGCCAAATCATGAGGGAACTCCCATTCACAATTGCTTCAAAGAGAATAAAATACTTAGGAATCCAACTTACAAGGGATGTGAAGGACCTCTTCAAGGAGAACTACAAACCACTGCTCAACGAAATAAAAGAGGACACAAACAAATGGAAGAACATCCCATGCTCATGGATAGGAAGAATCAATATCGTAAAAATGGCCATACTGCCCAAGGTAATTTATAGATTAAATGCCATCCCCATCAAGCTACCAATGACTTTCTTCACAGAATTGGAAAAAACTACTTTAAAGTTCATATGGAACCAAAAAAAGAGTCTGCATTGCCAAGACAATCCTAAGCCAAAAGAACAAAGCTGGAGGCATCACACTACCTGACTTCAAACTATACTACAAGTCTACAGTAACCAAAACAGCATGGTGCTGGTACCAAAACAGAGATATAAACCAACAGAACAGAACAGAGCCCTCAGAAATAATGCCACATATCTACAACCATCTGATCTTTGACAAACCTGACAAAAACAAGCAATGGGGAAAAGGATTCCCTATTTAATAAATGGTGCTGGGAAAACTGGCCAGCCATGTATGGAAAGCTGAACCTGGATCCCTTCCTTACATCTTATACAAAAGTTAATTCAAGATGGATTAAAGACTTAAATGTTAGACCTAAAACCATAAAAACCCTAGAAGAAAACCTAGGCAATACCATTCAGGACATAGGCATGGACAAGGAATTCATGACTAAAACACCAAAAGCAATGGCAAAAAAAGCCAAAATTGACAAATGGGATCTAATTAAACTAAAGAGCTTCTGCACAGCAAAAGAAAGTACCATCAGATTGAACAGGCAACCTACAGAATGGGAGAAAATTTTTGCAATCTACTCATCTGACAAAGGGGTAATATCCAGAATCTACAAAGAACTTAATCAAATTTGCAAGAAAAAAATCAAACAACACCATCAAAAAGTGGGCAAAGGATATGAACAGACACTTTTCAAAAGAAGATATTTATGCAGCCAACAGACACATGAGAAAATGCTCATCATCACTGGTCATCAGAGAAATGCAAATCAAAACCAAAATGAGATGCCATCTCACACCAGTTAGAATGGCAGTCATTGAAAAGTCAGGAAACAACAGGTGCTGGAGAGGATGTGGAGAAATAGGAACACTTTTACACTGTTGGTGGGATTGTAAACTAGTTCAACCATTGTGGAAGACAGTGTGGCAATTCCTCAAGGATCTAGAACTAGAAATACCATTTGACCCAGCCATCCCATTACTGGGTATATACCCAAAGGATTATAAATCATGCTACTATAAAGACACATGCATACGTATGTTTATTGTGGCACTTTTCACAGTAGCAGACTTGGAACCAACCCAGATGTCCAACAGTGATAGACTGGATTAAGAAAATGTGGCACATATACACCATGGAATACTATGCAGCCATAAAAAATAATGAGTTATGTCCTTTGTAGGGACATGGATGAAGCTGGAAACCATCATTCTCAGCAAACCATTGCAAGGGCAAAAAACCAAACACCGCATGTTCTCACTCATAGGTGGGAATTGAACAATGGGAACACTTGGACACAGGAAGGGGAACATCACACACCGGGGCCTGTTGTGGGTTGGGGGGAGTGGGGAGGGATGGCATTAGGAGATACACTTAATGTAAAAGAGAGTTCCCATATACCTCCTGTATGCACGCATACACACACACAATCTCCCCCACGGATATCCTCCACTATATTTCATTCAGTCTCTCTTTTTGTTTTAGCCTGGGTAGAGGCTTATTGATTTTATTGATCTTTTTAAATAATCAGCTTTTGGTGTTATTGTTTTTTTCTATTGATTTCCTGTTTTCAGTTTGATTAATTTCTCCTCTTTTTTTTTCTTCACTTACTTTGGGTTTCATTTGCTCTTCTAGTTTTCTAAAATGGAAGCTTAGATGATTGATTTTAGATCTTCTTTCCTAATATATGCAGTCAGTCCTATAAATTTTTCTCTAAGCACTGCTTTTCTCTGTCCCACAAATTTTGGTGTTAAATTTTCATTTTCATTCAGTTTAGAGTATTTAAAAAATTTCTTTTGAGATTTCTTCTTTGATCCATGTATTATTTTAAATAACACATATTTAAAATACTTGGGATTCTAAGTATTTTGGGATTTTCCAGCTATATTTTTGTTATTCATTTCTGTTTTAGTTCCATTGTGATCTTAGGACACACTTTATATCATTTCTACTCTCATAAAATTTATTATTTTTTTATGGCTCAGAATGTGGTCTTTTTGATGATTGTTTCCATGTGAGTTTTAGAAAAAGTGTGTTCTGCTCTTTTTGTATGCAGCATTTTATAAATAAATGCCAATTAGATCAGTTGACTGATCATGCTGTCCATTTTAAGTATGTCCTTACTGATTTTTTGCTTGCTGTATCTGTCCATTTCTGATAGAAGGCTATTAAAATTTCCAGCTACAATAGTGGATTCATCTTTTTTTCCTAGCAGTTATATCAATTTTTGCCTCACATAGTTTGTTGCTCTGTCGTTAGGCACATGCACATTAGGGATTGTTATATCTTCTTGGAGAATTGACTCTTATTATGTAATATGCCTCTTCATCCCTAATAATTTTCCTTGCTGTGAGGTCTCTTCTGTCTCAAGTGATTATAGGTACTCTGGCTTTGTTTTGATTGGTGTAAGCATGGTGTATCTTTCTCTGTTCCTTTAATCTCTATGTGTCTTTATTTAAACTGGGTTTATTTTAGATAGCAATTTGGGTCTTGTTTTTGTTCCACTCTGATGATCTCTTTCAGTTGGTGTATTTAGACCATTGATATTTAAAGTGATTATTGATTTCCTTGGATTAATATCTACCATATCTGTTAATGTTTTGTATTTGATTCCCTTGGTCTTTGTTTCTGGTTTTATCTTCTACACTTTTTGTGCTTTTAATTAAGAATTTTATACTTCTGTTTTCTCTCCTTTCTTAGCATATCTATCATACTGTTTGTGTGTGTGGGGGTGTGTGTGTGTGTGTGTGTTTGCCCTAGAATTTACACTGTACATTTACCGTTAATCCAAGGCCACTTGCAAGTAGCACTATAATGCTTCACAGGTTGTACAAGTACTTTATAATAAAAAATTTCTAATTCCTCCTTTCTGTCCCTTGTATCATTGCTGTCATTCGACACACAGACACACACACAGACAATGTGCCACATAATGTTTTGATCAATGATGAACCACATATACAATTATAATGGAACCGAAAAATTCTTATTGCTTAGTGATGTCATAGCCATTGGAATGTTGTAGAACAGTGCATTACTGATGCTGGTGTAAACAAATCTGCATTGCCAGTTATGTAAAAGTATAGCACATACAGGCCAGGTGTGGTGGCTCACGCCTGTAATCCCAATACTTTGGGAGGCTGAGGCTGGAAGATTGCTTGGGGCCAGGAGTTGGAGACCAGCCTGGGCAGAGACTCCGTCTCTACAAAAAATGAAAACAATAGCCAGGTGTGGTAATATATTCCTATAGTCCTAACTACCCAGTAGGCCGAGGCAGGAGGATTACTTGAGATTAGGAGTTTGTGGTTACAGTGAAGCATGATCACTCCACTGCACTCCACTCTGGGCAACATTGTGAGATCCCATCTAAAAAAGGAAAAGCAAAAGTATAGCATGCTAGCCAGGTGCCATGGTGGCTCACACCGGTAATCACTTTGGGAGGCGTGAGGCAGGAAGGTCCCTTGAGCCCAGGAGTTTGAGACCAGCCTGGGCAACATAGACCCTGTCTCAATAAATAAATAAATAACAATTATTCACAGTACTAATACTTGATAATAAATATGTTACTAGCTTGTGTATTTACTATTCTATACTTTTTAATCGTTATGTTAGAATGTATTTCCTCTACTTATCAAAAATTGTAAAACAGCCTTAGGCAGGTCCTTCAGGAGATATTTCAGAAGACATTATAGGAGATAATAGCTTCATGCAAGTTATTGCCCCTAAAGAGCTTCCAGTGGGACAAGATGTAGACATGGAAGACAGTGATAATGATGATCATGACCCAGTGTAGGCCTAGGCTAATGGGTGTGTTTATGTCTTAGTTTTTGACACAAAAAAATTTATAAATAAGAAAAAGCTTATAGAATAAGAATTTACAGAAAATATTTTGTACAGCTGTATACTGTTTTAGCTGTGGTGTTACAAAAGAGACAAAAAGTTAAAAAGTAAAAGTTTATAAAGTGAAAAAGTTACAGTAAGCTGTTTATTATTAGAGAAAAAAAATTTTTTTTAAGTTTAGTGTAGCCTGAGTGTAGTCTACAACAGTGTAATGTCCTAAGCCTTTGCATTCAGTCACCCCTCAACTCACCTAGACAACTTGCCATCCTATAAGCTATATTTATGATGTGCCCTATACAGTATATACCATTTTTTATCTTTTATACCATAGTTCTACTGTACCTTATCTATGTTTAATGTTTAGATATACAGATACTTCCCATTATTTCACAGTTGCCTACACTAGCATGCTCTACAGGTTTGTAGCCTAGGAGCAATAGGCTACAGCATATAGCATAGGTTGTACCTTTAGGTTTGTGTAGGTACACTCTGTGATGTTCCCACAATGAATGAAATCATCTAACAGATGCATTTGTCAGAATGTTTCTTTTTTATTTCTTGATTGAGGGGTACATGTGCAGGATGTGCAGGTTTCTTGCCTAGTTAAACATGTGCCATGGTGATTAGCTGCACAGATCATTCCATCACCTAGGTATTAAGCCCAGAATCCATTAGCTGTTCTTCCAGATGCTCTCCCTCCTCCCACCCCCCACCCTCTGACAGGCCCCAGTGTGGGTCGTTCCCCCCATCCCCATGTGTCCATGTGTTCTCATCATTCAGCTCCCATTTCTAAGTGAGAACATGCAGTATTTGATTTTCTGTTTCTGTGTTAGTTTGCTAAGGATAATGGCTTCCAGCTCCATTCATGTCCCTGCAGAGGGCATGATCTCGTTCCTTTTTTTTTGGCCACATAACATTCTGTGGTGTGGATGTAGCACATTTGCATTAGCCAGTCTATCATCGATGGGCATTTAGGTTGATTCCATGTCTTTGGTATTGTGAATAGTGCTGCAGTGAACATGCATTCATGTATCTTTATAATAGAATGATTTATATTCCTTTGGGTATATACCAAGTAAGGGGATTGTTGAGTCAAATGGTATTTCTGCCTCTAGGTCTTTGAGGCATTGCCACACTGTCTTCCACAATGGTTGAACTAATTTACACTCCCACCAACAGTGTAAAAGCGTTCCTTTTCCTCCACAACCTTGCCAGCATCTGTTGTTTTTTGACTTTTTAATAATTGCCATTCTGACTGGTGTGAGATGGTACCTCATTGTGGTTTTGATTTGCATTTCTCTAATGATCAGTGGTGTTGAGCTTCTTTTCATGTTTGTTGGCCACATGAATGTCTTCTTTGGAGAAGTGTCTGTTCATGTCCTTTGACCACTTTTAATCAGGTTGTTTTTTTCTTGTAAATTTGTTTAAGTTCCTTGTAGATGCTGGAATATTACATCTTTGTCAGATGGGTAAGTTGCAAAAAGTTTCTCCCATTCTGTAGGTTGTCTGTTTACTCTGATGAGAGTTTCTTTTGCTGTGCATAAGCTCTTTAGTTTAATTAGATTCCATTTGTCAAGTTTTGCTTTTGTTGCAGTTGCTTTTGGCATCTTTGTCATGAAATCTTCGCCCATGCCTATATCCTGAATGGTATCGCCTAGATTTTCTTCTAGGGTTTTTTTTTTTTTTTTTTTTTTTTTGGAGACAGAGTCTTGCTCTGTTGCCTAGGCTGAAGTGCAGTGGCACGATCTCAGCTCACTGCAAGCTCCGCCTCCCAGGTTCACACCATTTTCCTGCCTCAGCCTCCTGAGTAGCTGGGACTACAGGCACGTGCCACCGCACCCGGCTACTTCTTTGTATTTTTAATAGAGACCAGGTTTCACCATGTTAGCCAGGATTATCTTGATCTCCTGACCTTGTGGTCTGCCCACCTCGGCCTCCCAAATTGCTGGGATTACAGGCGAGAGCCACTGCGCCCAGCCTCTTCTAGCGTTTTTATAGTTTTGGGTTTTCCATTTAAGTCTTTAATCATCTTGAATTGATTTTTGTTTTTGGTGTAAGGAAGGGGTCCAGTTTCAGTTTTCTGCATATGGCTAGCCAGTTTTCCGAGCACCATTTATTAAATAGGGAATTCTTTCCCCATTGCTTGTTTTTGTCAGGTTTGTTGGAGGTCAGGTGGTTGTATGTATGTGATCTTATTTCTGGGTTCTCTATTCTGTTCCATTCGTCTGTGTGTCTGTTCTTGTACTAATATCATGCTGTTTTGGTTACTATAGCCTTGTAGCATAGTTGAAGTCAGGTAGTATGATGCCTTCATGTTTGTTCTTTTTGCTTAGGATTGTCTTGGCTACTCGGGCTCTTTTTTGGTTCCATATGAATTTTAAAATAGTTTCTTCTAATTCTGTGAAGAATGTCAATGGTAGTTTAATGGGAATAGCATTGAATCTATAAATTGTTTTGGGCAGTGTGACCATTTTCACAATATTGATTCTTCCCACCCATGAACATGGAATGTTTTTCCATTTATTTGTGTCCTCTCTGATTTCTTTGAGCAGTGGTTTATAGTTCTCCTTGAAGAGGTCCCTCACTTCCCTTATTAGCTGTATTTCCAGGTATTTTATTATTTTTGTGGCAGTTGTGAATGTGAGTTCATTCGTGATTTGGCTCTCTGATTGCTTGTTATTGGTGTATAGGAAGGCCAACAATTTTTGAACATTGATTTTCTATCATGAGACTTGCTGAAGTTGCTTATAAGCTTAAGAAGCTTTTGGGCTGAGACGATGGGGTTTTCTAGAAATAGGATCATTTTATCTGCAACCAAAGATAATTTTACTTCCTCTCTTTCTATTTGAATACACTTTATTTATTTCCCTTGCCTGATTGCCCTGGCCAGAACTTCCAATTCTATGTTGAATAGGAGTGGTGAGAGAGGGCATGCATCTTTGTCTTGTGCTGGTTTTCAAGGGGAATGCTTCCAGCTTTTGCCCATTCAGTATGTTATTGGTGGGTTTGTCATATATGGCTCTTAATATTTTGAGGTATGTTCCTTGAATACCTAGTTTATTGAGAGTTTCTAACATGAAGGGATGTTGAATTGTATTGAAGGCCTTTTCTCCATCTGTTGAGATAATCATGTATTTTTTTGTCTTTAGTTCTGTTTATGTGATGAATCTGTTTATGTTATGTGATGAACATTTATTAATTTGCATATGTTTAACCAGCCTTGCATCCTGGGGATGAAGTCTGCTTGGTTGTGGTGGATAAGGTTTTTGATGTGCTGCTAGATTCAGTCTGCCAGTATTTTGTTGAGTTTTGCATCGAGGTTCACCAAAGATGTTGGCCTGAAGTTTTCTTTTTTGTTTTATCTCTGCCAGGTTTTGGTATCAGGATGATGCAGGCCTTATGGAATGAACTAGGGAGGAGTCCCTCCTTTTCAATTTTTTGAACAGTTTCAGTAGGAATGGTACCAGCTCTTCTTTTTACCTCTGGTATAATTTAGCTGTGAATCCGTCTGGTCCTGGGCTTTTTTTGGTTGATAGACTATTTATTACTGCTTCAACTTTAGAACTCATTATTGGTCTATTTAGGGATTCAGTTTCTTCCTGGTTCAGTCTTTGGAGGGTGTATGTGTCCAGGAATTTATCCATTTCTTCTAGATTTTCTAGTTTATGTGCATAAAGGTGTTTATAGTATTCTCTGATGGTTTGTATTTCTGTGGGGTCAGTGGTGATATCCCCCTTATCATTTCTGATTATATTTATTTGACTGTTCTGTCTTCTTTATTAGCCTAGCCTAGTGGTCTGTCTTATAAATTTCAAAAAAAACAACTCCTGGATTCATTGATTTTTTTTTTTTTTTTTTTTGAGGAGTTTTTCTTGTCTCTGTCTACTTCGATTCAGCTCTGATATTGACTATTTCTTGTCTACTGGTAGCTTTGGGGTCTGTTTGCCCTTGGTCCTCTAGTTCTTTTAGCTGTGTTGTTAGGTTGTTAACTTCAGATCTTTCTAGCTTCTAGATGTGGGCATTTAGTGCTATAAATTTCCCGCTTAACACTGCTTTAGCTGCATCCCAGAGATTCTGGTACATTGTATCTTTGTTCTCATTAGTTTCAGAGAAATTATTGATTTCTGCCTTTATTTCATTATTTACCCAAGAGTGATTTGGAAGCAGGTTGTTCAGTTTCCATGTAGTTAGTTGTGTGGTTTTGAGTGCATTTCTTAATCTTGAGTTCTAATTTGGTTGTGCTGTGGTCTGACAGACTTTGTTATTATTTCAGTTCTTTTGCATTTGCTGAGGAGTGTTTTACTTCCAATTATGTGATCAATTTTACTCAAGTAAGTGCCGTGCAGTAATGAGAAGAATGTATATTCTGTTGTTTTTGGGTGGAGAGTTCTATAGGTATTTGTCAGGTCTACTCTATCCAGAGCTGAGTTCAGATCCTGAATATCTTTTAATTGTCTTTCTCTATGATCTGTCTAATATTGTCAGTAGGGGTGTTAAAGTCTCCCACTATTATTGTGTGGGAGTCTAAGTCTCATTGAAGGTCTCTAAGAACTTGCTTTATGAATCTGGGTGCTCCAGTATTGGGCACATATATAGGTTAGTTAGCTGTTCTTGTAGAATTGAACCCTTTACCATTATGTCATGCCCTTCGTTGTCTTTTTTGATCTTTGTTGGTTTAAAGCCTGTTTTATCAGAAACTAGGATTGCAACCCCTGCTTCGTTCTGTTTCCCATTTGCTTAGTAAATTGTCTTCAGTCTCTTTATTTTGAGTCTTTGTGTGTCTTTGCATGTGAGATGGGTCCCTTGAAGGTAGCGTAGCAATGGGTCTTGATTCTTTATCCAGCTTGCCATTCTGTGTCTTTTAATTGGGGCAGTTAGCCCATTTACATTTAAGGATAGAATTCTTATGTGCGGATTTGATTCTCTCATCATGCTAGCTGGTTATTTTGCAGACTTGTTTATGTGCTTGCTTCATAGGGACTGATCTGTGTACTTCAGTGTGTTTTTGTAGCAACTGGTAACTGTTTTTCCTTTCCATATTTAGTGCTTCCTTCAGGAGCTCTTGCAAGGCAGGCCTGATGGTGATGAATTCCCTCAGCATTTGCTTGTCTGAAAAGGATCTTATTTTTCCTTTGCTTATGAAGCTTAGTTTGGCCCAATATGACATTCTGGGGTGGAAATTCTTTTCTTTAAGAATGTTGAATATTGACCCGCAGTCTCTTCTGGTTTGTAGGATTTCCACTGAGAGGTCTGTTGTTAGTCTGATGGGCTTCCCCTTGTAGGTGACCTGGCCCTTCTCTCTGGCTGCTCTGAGCATTTTTTCTTTCATCTTGATCTTGGAGAATCTGATGATTATGTGTTTTGGGGATGATTCTTCTCATGGAGTATCTTACTGGGGTTCTCTGTATTTCCTGAATTTGAATGTTGGCCTGTCTTGGTAAGTTGGGGAAGTTCTCCTAAATGATATCCTGAAGTATGTTTTTCAACTTGGTTCCAACTCCCCATCACTTTCAGGTACCTCAGTCAGTCGTAGATTCAGTCTGTTTACATAATCCCATATTTCTCAGAAGTTTTGTTCATTCCATTTCCTTCTTTTTTCTCTAGTATTGTCTGCTTGTCTTAATTCAGAAAGCCAGTCTTCCAGCTCTAAGATTCTTTCCTCTGCTTGGCCTGTTCTTCTATTAATATTTATGATTGCATTGTGAAGTTCTCGTGTTGTGTTTTTTTAACTCCATCAGGTCATTTATCTTCCTCTCTAAACTGGCTATTCTGGTTATCAGCTCCTGTATAGTTTTAACATGATACTTAGCTACTTTGCATTGGGTTAAAACATGCTCCTTTAGCTCAGTGAACTTCGTTGTTACCACCTTCTGAAGTCTACTTCTGTCATTTCAGCAATCTCAGTGTCAGCCCAGTTCTGAGCCCTTGCTTGAGAGATGTTGTGGTCATTTGGAGGAAAAGGACACTCTGGCTTTTTGAGTTTTCAGTGTTTTTGCATTGATTCTTTCTCATCTTTGTGGGCTTATCTACCTTTGATCTTTGAGGTTGCTGACCTTTGGGTGGTATTTTGTGGTTTTTCTTTGTTGTCGTTTTCTGTTTGTTTTTCTTTTCATAGTCTGGTCACTCTTCTGTAGGGCTGCTGCAGTTTGCTGGAGGTCCGCTCCAAACCCCAGTTGCTCTGGTTCTTCCTGTACCTGGAGGTATCACCAGTGACGCCTGCAAAACAGCAAAGATGGCAGCCTGCCCCTTCCTCTGGAAGCACCATCCCAGGAGGGTGCTGACCTATTGCCACCTGAACACGCCTGTAGGGGGTGGTTGGAGACCCCAGTTGGGAGGTTTCACCCAGTTAGGAGGAATGGGATCAGGGGCCCGCTTAAAGCAACAGTTTGGCCTCTTTTTGTTAGAGCAGCTGTGCTGTGTTGGTGATCCCTTTAGCCACCATTTGATCTGGGCTCTCCAAGCCCCACTGGCTGAACTGGCTGAGGAGCCCAAACAGCCAAGGTGGCAACCTGCCCCACTCTTCAGGCACTCCATCCCAGGGAGAAATTGGAGCTCTTTCGGCCCATAGAACATGGGTGGTGACTAGAGGCTCTGGCTGGGAGGACCCGCCCCACAAGGAGGAGTGGATTGGGGGTCCTGATTACAGAATCAGTCTGGCCATGCCTTGACAAAACAGCTGTGTCATGGTAGGGAACTGCCTCTGCCCAGGTAGCAGCCCTCCCCTCTCCTGGACACTTTGTCCCAGGGAGAGATAAGAAAGGTAAGAGCTCTGTCAGGCCATGGCTGGAGGGCCTGGCTGGGAGGTCCCACTCAGTGAAGAGGAATGGATTGGAGCTTCACTTAAAGAAGTAATCTGGTCAATATCTGGCAAAGCTGCTGAGTTGTGCCACTGGGGGGACCCTTTCTCGTCTGGACCATTTGGACTCTCCAGGGTCTGCAGGCTGGAACAGCTGTGTTGACCAAACAGCAGAGATGGTGCTGGCCTCTCCCCACAGCCTATTGCTGGTGGCTGCTTGGAATTCCAAGCCAGTGGGTCTTATCTTGTGAGGTGTCATGGAAGTGGGCCTGCAGAACAAGGCTGCTCAACTTTCTGGATTCCAACCCCTCTCGGGGGGTATATGTGGACCTCCCGCCTTGTCTGAGTTGCAGACACGTTTGTTGGAGATCCCGGTACTGGAGTATGTAAAGCTCTTGGGTCTCTGTGCATGCCTGAGCAGCTGCTCTGCTGAGACTCCACGCAGCTCCGTGTGTTGGCCCCAAGGCCCTGGTGGCGTGGACTCATAAGGGGATCTCCTGATCCCCGGGTTGCAAAGATCCATGGGAGAAGCGTGGTTTCCCTGGGTCGCATAATCACTCATCACTTCCCTTGGCTGGGGATGGGGGTTTCCTTGGCTTGTGTTGCTCCCAAGTGGGCCGCCGCGCCACCCTGCTTTTCCTCATTCCCCGTGGGTCGAGCTGTTTCCCTGATAAGTCTCAATGCGACTACCTGGATTATTTCAGTTGAAAGTGCAGTATTCACTCGCCGCTTTCGTTCCTCTCCATGAGCGCCACGGACTGCAGCTGCTTCTAATCGGCTGTCTTGGCCCTGTCCCCAGAATTGCTTCATTAAGACTATATCTGTCTGTATGCTATGTGTAAGTAAACTGCTTATGTATATAAGCATTCATAATTGAATATATTGTTCCTATTATTGTTTTGAACAAGCTGTTGTCTGTTAGATAATTAACAGTAAGAAAATAAAAGTTTTTATTTTACCCTTTCTCCCCAGTACTCTTCCTATGTTTATGTAGATCTGAGTTTCTAACCTATATCATTTTCCTCCTCTCAAAAGTACTACTTTTAAGATTTCTTATAAGGCAGGTCTACTGGCAACAAAGTCCTCAATTTTTATTTGTCTGAGAAAGTTTTTATTTCTCCTTCACTTTTGAAGGGTATTTTCACAGAGTGCAGAATTTTAGGTTTGTAGGTTGTTGGGTTTTTTTTTTTAACTCAACACATGAAATATTTCACTCCATGCTGTTCTTACTTCCATGATTTCTGAGGAATATCTGATGTGATCTTATCTTTGCTCCTTTGTAGCTAAGGTGTTTTTTCCCCTTTGGCTTCTTTCAAGGTTTTTTCTTTACCTTTGATTTTCTGATGTTTGAATATCATATGCCTAACTATAGGGTGGTTTTGTTTATTTTTGTTTTGGCTTTTATCCTGCTTGGTGGTGTTTGAGCTTCCTCAATCTGTGGTTTGATGCCTGACATTAATTTGGAGAAATTCTCAGTCATTGTTGCTTCACATGTTGCTTGTGTTCCTTTCTTGGAATTTGCATTATGCATATTTATACATTTAGTAGTATTCTGTTTTATTCTTTTTTTTTTTTTTTTTGCCTTGCTTTTCAGTCTTGGAAGTTCCTATTGTCATATCATATTACCAGGCTCCAAGATTGTTCTGTCAGCTGTGTCCAGTCTACTAGTGAGCCCTTCAGATGCATCTCTATTATATTAAATAGTAATTTGTATCTTTGTTTCTTTTTCTGTTTTGATTTCTTTTTTTTTTTTTTTTTCAGAATTCTCATCTCTCTTCTTATATTATTCATCTGTTTTTGCATGTTGTCTGTTTTTTCCATTAAAGCCTTATAGTTTTCTGAAATTCCTGGTTGGAAAAGTACAGCATTCTTTTCATATCTGACTCTGATTCTGATGTTTGCTTAGCTGCTTAGTATGTCTTATAATTTTTCTTGAAAGGTGGACATGATGTAACTGGGTAAAGGGAACTGCAGAAATACAGGACTTTAATGATGCGGTTTTATGGTGTGTTTTGTGGGGTGAGATTTGATAGTTTCATGATGAGGTCTGTCTTTTGGTGAGCCTGTGTCTCTGGACTGTGAACTTCACCAGTGCTTCTCAGTTTTTCCCCCCTTAGGGTGGGACAGGCTGTCTAAAGGGGGCTGGAGTTGGGTATTTCTCTTCTCCTGCATGGAAGACTAGAGGCAGCTGGACTCATCTTTTTCCTTCCCCCAGGTCTGATAGGCTTTGATAAAACCCAACAGAAGACATTCACACAGCTAACAAGCATATGAAAAAATGCATCACTAATCATTAGAGAAATGGAAATCAAAACCACAATGAGGTAGCATCTAACAGCAGTCAGAAAAGCTGTTATTAAAAAGTCAAAAAGTAACAGATGCTGGTGAGGTTGCAGAGAAGAGGGAATGCTCATGCACTGCGGGTAGGAATGTAAATTAGTTCAGCCATTGTGGAAGCAGCGTAGCGATTTCTCAAAGAACTCAAAGCAGAATTACCATTCAACCCAGCAATCCCATTATTGGGTATATACCCAAAGAATTATAATCATTCTGCCATAAAGACACATCCACATGTATGTTCATTGCAGCACTATTCACAGCAGCAAAGACGTGGAGTCAACCTAAATGCCTATCAACAGTAGACTGGATAAAGAAAATGTGGTACATATACACGATACATATATACATAGTCATAAAAGAACGAGATCATGTCCTTTGCAGCAACATGGATGGAGCTAAGGCCATTATCCTAAGTAAACTAAGACAGGAACAGAAAACGGAATACTGCATGTTCTCACTTATAAGTGGGACCTAAATAAACATTGAGAACACATGGATACAAAGAAGGGAACAAGAGACACTGGGACCTCCTTCAGGGTGGAGGATGGAAGGAGGAAAAGGATCGAAAAACTATCTATTGGGTTCTATGTTTATTACCTGGGGGATAAAATAGTCTGTATATCAAACCCCCATGAGATGCAATTTACCTAATAACCTACACATTGAGGCCCTGAACCTAAAATAAAAGTTTAAGAAAAAAAGCAGGTTATACTCTGATAAAATTGTTTCTCTTGATTGCAGGCATTGTTAAAAACAGAATGCTCTGGCACATTTCAAAATGCTTACCTTTCTGGAAGCACAAAGATATTTTTTCCCTAAGTATTCACTGTGAGAACATGGTTGAGTTCTTGAAAGGTGATACTCACAAAGGTGTAAGGGCTTCCCAGTGACTGAGATGCCTGGATTTTTAATCTCTCAGAATTGGCCATACTGAGTCAATTACAGTTTAGGTTTTCCAGCCCTCCCTCTCCCCCATTGGTTTTCAGGAGGGTTTCTGCTAGTGGGTTTCTGTTCCCGTAAGTTGTGATTCTGTGTATTCACCTCTGTCTCCAGTTTTGGGTGCGATGCTTTTGCCTTGTGACCTCACAGATTTAAGTGTTGTTTATTTTCAGTTTGTTCAGCCTTTTATATGTTGTTAAGATGGGGTGGCAACTTCTAAGTTTCTTCTAAGTTTCTTACGTGCCTACCTGGAAACCAGAAGTCTTACTTACAATTTTGTTTTCAGCTTTTTTTCCACTCGATGTTTAGACTTTTTTCCATATCGTCGTCTTTGTAATTTTTTATTGGTTGCATAATTTTTGAGGTTGATATACTTAAATTTCTTCTGATTGAGACAATTGGATTTATAACTTTTTAGAGGGTTTAACATTGATAACACTGCTTGCATTTGTAGCTTTGTTTTTTTAATTCTTAGAGTTCTATAAAAACTTTAAAAATCTCTTGTGGAATTTTTAGTGTTTTAAAAATGTCTTCAGTAGTAATATTTGTCTTTGACAGAATGGACTTTAATTTCAGAAAACCCATTCAGAGCCAAGTATGGTCAATAACTTAGATGTTATTTTGGTTTTAAAGAAGTTTTTGACTGTAAAATGTAGGACTCTTTTATACAATTTATAATCTTATTCTGAAGACAGTTTCAGAGAGCAGTTCCTCAAATGCTTTCTTTATTTTTATTGGAATATGTATGCTCCCTAAGGATTAAGATAACTTATTCATTTATTTTTTTAAAAATAAATTTTTCTCAATATTTTTGTTTTATAATTTTTAACTTTTACAGCTTTTAATAGATATAATGTACATATTTATGGGCTACATTGTGATGTAGTACATATAAATGTTAGTGACCAGATCAGGATAATAGCATGTCCATCATCTCAAACATTTATCATTTCTTTGTGGGGAACATTCAGTTATCCATCAATGCTGTAGAACACTAAGACTTATGCCACCTATCTAGCTGTAACTTTGTATCCAATAACAAATTAATTTTTTTTAAAGTCTCGTTTTATCTTCACCTCAATGAAAGCAAAATGAGTAGGTTTTATATTGTGTTCTGAAATATAAACAATTTAAGGCAATAGTTTAAAGAATTGGAGAATATTGTAGCTTATTCATTCACCAGTGTTAGTTGGCCCACAATGTATAAGCTCAGTTTTCATGATATAAAGTCATTTTTTATCTACAACCTCAGTAAAGAATTTTATTTTTTGTATAGTAACTGACAGTATTTGGCCACTTTTTTGGGAGATGTTTCTAGTGAATTTTTAGTCATTGATGATATTGAAGCAGGAACTGTTGATAGAGATGTCATATTGGGAGTTTAGGAATTTTAGTCCACTGACTATTGGAACCATTTCTGAAGGAGCTAGAATTATGATGTCAGATAGGCTGTTTTGAAGCGAACATGGATGGCACTGGAGGAATAAGGTTATAGTTAAGGAGTAGAGACCCTAGCTGCAAATTCACCTTTATTATTAGATGGTTATGGGCAGGAAATATTTTTCATCTCTTTGATTACTTTGGCCTTGTTCTAGTAGTATTTGGTATATAGTGTTAAGAGAAATTGAAATATCGATGAATTTTCTAATTTTTTGGAATATAGAATTCAATCTTTAAGAATCTTTATGTCTTAGAGTTGGCATAGATTTATATTAGAATACAAGAGATAGGTTCTGAGAAAGTTGTGTTTAAACATTTTGTTTTACTTTTTATTTTGAGACTATTTTAATTAAATTTTAAAATTTTGGCCTTATTTCCAGTTTATAGAGAAGTTTCAAGAATAATATAATGAATTCTATCTACTGTTCTCCATGATTCATTAAATGTTAACACTTAACAATATTTGCTTTCTGTTTTTTTAACTCTTTCTCTGTCACTTCTCTCTCTGTCAGCCTCTCTTTCTCCTCACCCTCATTATTTTCATTCAGAACCCTTTTAGAGTAAGTTGTAAATGTTATGCTTCTTTACTTCTGAGTACTTCAATGTATGGTTTTTTAAAACACAGACATTCTTTTATATAACCACAGCATTGTTATCAAAATCAGTCAGTTGTCATTGATACAATACAGTAATCTGTTGACCTCATGCATAATTTAATAATTGTCCGAAAAATGTCCTTTGCAGTGCAGAAAAATCCCAAATAATGCATTGCCTTTACTTACCATGTCTCTTCAGTCTACTGCTGAGTCTTTTTGTCCTTCATGCCACTGACATTTTTAGATTACAAGCCAATTATTTTCTCAAAAGTTCCTCAATTTGGGTATACTTGTTTCCTCATGACATGATTCAGTTTCACATGTGGTTTTTTTTATGCTTTATTGTGGTAAAATATACATAACATAAATTTACCCTCTTAACAATTTTTAAGTGTACATTACAGGTATATAGTTTAACTATGTCACATTGTTGTACAACAGGTCTCTAAAACTTTTACATTTTGTAAAACTTAAACTATGTATACCCATTGAACAACCTCCTGTTACCCTCCAGCCGCTGGCAACCACCATTCTGCTTTTTGTTTTTAAGAATTTGACTACTTTGGATACACCATATATGTGGAATCATGCAGTATTTGTCTTTTTGTGACTGGCTTATTTCATTTAGCATAACGTCCTCAAGATTCATCCATGTTGTAAACAAGATTTCCTTTAAGACTGTTAATAGTCTATTGTGTGTATGTACCATACTGTTTTTATCAATTAATTGGTCCATGGACATTTGGGTTGCTTCCACTTCTTAGCCATTGTGAATAATGCTGTAATGAACATGGATGTGGACACGTCTCTTCAAGGTCTTGTTTTCAGTTCTTTTGGATATATACACAGAAGTGAGATTGCTGGATCATATAGTAGTTCTATTTTAAATTTTTTCAGAAACTACTCCTGTTTTTCATAAGGGCTGTACCAGCGACAGTAGTACAGTAGTTACATTCTTACCAGCAGTGCACAGTTTCACTTTCTCCAAATCCTTGCCAACATGTGTAATTTTCTGTTAGTTTGATAGTGGCCATCCTAACAGGTAGGAGTTGATGTCTCATTGTGGTTTTGATTTGCATTTCCCTGATGATTACTGATGTTGAGCATCTTTTTGTATGCCGGCCATTTGTATATCATTGTGTTTTTTTGTTTGTTTTTTAATACTTAAAGAATTTTTTTTTCATACCTCAAAAGAGTTGAGTATGTATATCTTCTTTGAAGACCTGTCTCTTTAGATCCTTTGCCCATTTAAAAAATCTTTAAATTTTTGCTTTTGGGTTTTTTTTTTGTTTTGTTTTTTGTTTTTTTTTTTTTTGCGTTTTTTTGTTTTTGAGTTTTAGGAGTTCTTTATATATTTGGATATTAATTGTTTATCCACTACATGGTTTGCAGATATTTTTCCCTTTCCATAAGGTTGCCTTTGCAGTCTGTTGATTGTTTCCTTTGCCCTGAAGAGGTTTTTTAGTTTGATGTAATGCCATTTGTCTGTTTTTTCTTTGTTACTGGTGCTTTAATGTCATATCCAAGAAATCACTGTCAAATTCAATGTCATGAAGTCTTTCTTCCTGTATTTTCTTCTAGGAGTTTTATAATTTTGTGTCTTACATTTAGGTATTTAATCCATTTGGGGTTGATTTTTAAATATATGCTATAAGGTAAGGATCCAATTTCATTATTTTGCATGTGAATATTCAGTTTCACCAGCTCATTTATTGAAGAGACTGTCCTTTTCCCATTGTGTAGTCTTGGTATCCTTGTCAATCATTTGACCATATATGTCAGGGTTTATTTCTGGGGTTTCTGTTCTGTTCCATTGGTCTGTATGTCTGTCTTTATGCCAATTCCATACTGTTTAAATCACTATAGCTTTATAATTTGTTTTAAAATCCAAAGACTACTGTTTCAAATATTTCTGATGTCTTCTGTATACTGAGTTTATATCTTTGTCCATTCACTTCCTTACTAACATTAGAACAACAACTCTGTTAAAAAATAAATACTCTATTTAACTTTTCAAGTTCCTTACCATGTAGTGGCCTATGAAGATATGTTCACTTTCTATGACATATTTATTATTTTATGCCATTAGATGTTCTTAGTGGAATTTCTTTTTTTGTATATATAATGTTATTTTAATGTTAGTTTTTACTGGTTAAGCTAAGGTATTGCCTGAACACAGATGTCTGAATAAAACTTTTTGCCTTCATTCTATGCTTGTTAAGAGTGAGTGAGAAAGATACTGGGTTTGAACAGAAAATGTGGGAGAATCTCAGATGATAACAGAGGGATCACTGATCCAGAATATTTTTTAAAACACAAAATTATCTTTAGATTCACAAAATAACATGATCTTGTTTTATTTCAAAAGATAATGCATTCAAATGATTTCAAAAGAAAAGTGTATAAAAATAAACTCACTTCTGTACACTCTCCACTCCAACCACCCCTCCTTTATAAGTGACCACAAGTGACCATAAGTTCATGTATTCTTTTAGGGTTTCAAGCACATAGGAATTTGTATTCTTTTCTTTTCTCTTTTGAGACAGAGTCTCACTCACTTCATCACCTAGGCTGGAGTTCAGTGGCATGCTCATGGCTCACTGCAGCCTCAACTTTCTGCACTCAAGTGATCCTCCTGCCTGAGCCTCCCCAACAGCTAGAATCACAGGAGCTTACCATGTTGCTCAGGCTGGTTTTGAATTCCTAGGCTCAAGCAGTCTCCCACCTCGGCCTCCCAAAATACTAGGATTACAGGCATGAGCCACCACACCCTGCCAAGAAAGTGTATTTTTAAACCTTATCTTACATCTGTATGCTTTTTGTAGCACCTTGCTTTTTTTGTTTGTTTGTTTGTTTTGCTTAATAATATAGTCTCAAAATTATCCTATATTAATATGTACATATGTTCTCATTCTTTTTTTTTTTAATCACTGCATAATAGTCCATTGTTTGGGTGTGCTCGTTTATTATCCAGTTTCCTAGAAAAAACGAACTTAAGGCTGGGCACATTGCTCATATTTGAAATCCCAGCACTTTGGGAGGCCTAGACTTGAGGCCAGAAGTTCAAGACCAGACTGGTCAATATAGTGAGACCCCATCTACATAAACTAAAAAGTTAGCCAGGTGTGGTGGTGTTATGTCTGTAGTCCCAGCTATTTGGGAGGCTGAGGTGGGAGGATCACTTGAGCCTAAGAGGTCAAGGTTACAGTGAGCCATGATCGTGCTACTGCACTGCATCCTGGGTGACAAAGTGAGGCCTTTCCTCTTTTTTTTTTTTTTAAAAAAAGGCCGGGCACGGTAGCTCACGCCTGTAATCCCAGCATTTTGGGAGGCCAAGGCGGGCAGATCACGAGGTCGGGAGATCGAGACCATCCTGGCTAACACAGTGAAACCCCGTCTCTACTAAAAATACAAAAAATTAGCCGGGCATGGTGGTGGGCGCCTGTAGTCCCAGCTACTCGGGAGGCTGAGGCAGGAGAATGGTGTGAACCCGGGAGGCGGAGTTTGCAGTGAGGCAAGATCGCGCCACTGTACTCCAGCCTGGGCGACAGAGCGAAACTCCATCTCAAAAAAAAAAAAAAAAAAAAAAAAAAGCAAACTTGGATTGTTTTCTTTTTGTTACATATTATAAATAGTTCATGGTGAATAATGGATAACTGTGAACAAATAGAATTTCATAGAGATGTGATGATATCTGTTACAGAAGTTGCCAAATCACTCTGTAGGAGTTATACCATTTTGTACTAGCTTGTACAGGAGTGCTTGTTTTCCTACACCCTGTCAAAAGACTGCTTTTAGTTTTGAAATTTTGCTAATCTGACAGGTGAAAAATTACATACCTCAGAGTAGTATTTTTTTTAATAAGCCTTTTATTTCGGAAAATTTTTAGATTTACTGAAGAGTTGGCAAAGGTAGTATAGATAGTTCCTGTATCTATACCTCTCATCCAGTTTTAGTTTCCTTTAATGTAACATCTTGCATTACCTGTGTCAGAAGTACATTATTATTAACTAAACCCCAGACTTTACTTGAATTTCTCTCAGGATTGTTTTAGTTTAGATTTCATGTTAAGAATGAAGTTGGGTATCTTTTCATCTGTTTAGGAGCCATTTGCATTTTTACCTTCTAAACTATTACTGTCCTTCACCCAGTTTTCCATTTGGTTATTATAAAGCAACAAGGGATGGAAAATCTGATGAATGAGAAAAAACCTAAGAAAATGCATAGTTAGAGAGAGAATAAAAGGGTCATTATCTTTACACAACTGCCTTTTAAAATCATTAAAAAATATATATTCTTGTATCCCCTAGATGCTGTCATTAGGCTCTGTCCTCTCTGTAATTATGAAAATCCTTCCCTGAAAGATGTGCAGTATCCAGTTGCCATTCTTATGGCCTGTGGTTCTCATAGTTGTCATCATTACCACTAATTTTGGCCAGTAATATTTGTTACTTAATATAAAATGTGAATTTTGCAAAGGAGGAGAGGAGTGTAGTGTGTAGTTAGCTAGTCAGCAAAAAGACTAGGAATAATCTTGATTATGGCATGAACCTGGAGTTTTAAAAATTTTAAATTAGTCAGTAGACTTGGATTGCATTACCTTGTGGAATATGGCTTTGAACTTTTCTGCACTTCATTTTCTTGAGTTGTCAATTGGTAGAGGTGGGAGTTGTGCATATGATCTGCAGCCAAGTTTTATAATTCTAGGAAGTCTGGAAGATTCAACATGAAGAGTCCTAGGTATCAGCATTCAGGGTCTTTTAGTACATGTTTAAGCTAAAGTTGGAAGCTAGGTCAGAACTTTGGAGAGCTCCAAGCAAAGGAGATTATGGTGCTTGGGTTGCTTCTGAACTTTTAGATACATTTGCTTTTCATTAGCTGTCTTTAAGGTTATTGAAGCCTGAGAACCTTAAAGGTTTACAGATTTTTAAAGTTCAGTGTATTTCACAGTTACCACAAGTAAAGTTTATAATGTTTTAGAGCAAAGACTGTGGGTTTAGAGCAGTATTTCTCTAAACATGGTCCAACATCACTTGGGAACACGTTAGAAATGCACATTAACAAGCCCCACCCCAAATCTACTGGATCAGAAACTGATGATCAGGCCCAGTAACCTGTTTTAACAAACCCTTCAGATGATTCTGGTGAGTGCTAGAGTTTGAGAAACACTGGCTTACAGGCTTTCGTGATACTTACATCAAGGAGGGGCATCTGAGTCTGTCAGATCCCATGATCTCCTTAGGGTTGAGAAGTATACAGGCTCTGAGGAAAATATGGTTTTATTTAAATACTTCTTAGTTCATATGTCTACCTACTGAGAGGCCATTTTAGTATATACTAGGATCCATTTAACTGAAAGTTAGATATACAACAGCACTATTGCTAGACTTGTAAACTATTCAACCCTGCATTCTTTAAATCTACGTTTTATATTTGTGCATATAACTTCATTGAACATATGGTCCTGAATATTTGTTCTGCTTGAAAATGGATTTGTATCATATAGCTTTTATCCAGTCTTGTTTTTGATAATTTATATCTCTTGCAGTTAAGGATATCCTCTCTGCTTTCGTGTCTGTTCCTGCTGCTCTGTTTAGAATACCCTTGCATCTACTTTCTCTTTGCCATTTAGTATTAGTACCTAACCTAATTTAGAAGGGATACTGTTATACATGTTGTACTTGAGGTACAGTCAGTGTTGGTTGTTACTGGATTCATTGGAGTGGTAAAAATAGTTTTGAAAAGTTATATAAGAAAGGAAATACAGAGTTGCAAGAGGATAGACCAAAGAGATTTTAAGGGAATGACACTTTTGCAGAGTGCTGTTAATACTCAAAATAATCGCCTTTAGAAACAAGGTGTGCTTGTGTTTCTGTCTTATTTAGTTGCCTGCTATCAAGAGGTTTAGATATTGACAAATAATTTCCAGAAGTAAATATTTAGGATTTTTTTTTTGAGGTGGAGTTTCACTCTTGTCACCCAGGCTGGAGTGCAATGGCACAGTCTCCGCTCACTACAACCTCCGCCTCCGGGGTTCAAGCCATTCTCCGGTCTCAGCTTCCCGAATAGCTGGGATTACAGAGGCCCACCACCACACCCAGCTAATTTTTGTATTTTTAGTAGAGACAGGGTTTACCATGTTGACGAGGCTGATCTCGAACTCCTTACTTCAGGTGATCCGCCTGCCTCAGCCTCCCAAAGTGCTGGGATTACAGGCATGAGCCACTGCCCCCGGCCAGAAATTTACAGATGCATGAAAGTAGGGGCTTTGTATAAACATGGATATTGCTTCTCTTTACATTAAAAAACACCACCATTGATAATTCATAGATAAATGTTGGAAAGCTTAAATGTATAAGTCTAACAAAAATAATCTTTTGATTTATCTGTATCTTTGCTCCCCTTGACAGTCCAAAGAATTTTTCCTTACTGCTGTTATGATTAGAAAGGTTTAATTTAGCTTCTGTGTGGTATAGTGGGAAAAGTACTGAGCTCATTGTTCATTTACTAATTGGTAAGATTTATAAACAGTATCTCATTTATTTACAAAAAGCTACCACAGGGAATTTGCAGTCTTTTGTAACAATTGATAAAAAAGAGTGAATGTCAGTACTACATGGAAGTTGTCCAGGCTCTCTTATGGTTTTTCCTCACCAAGGGGAGCTAGAATCAGGAAATAAAGTAAAATCTTCTGTGGGAAGGGGCAAAGAGTTCTTTCAGTTCTATTATTCTAAGAAAATTAAAAATGACTGCCTGTACCTAAGGGGTTCCTTTCCCAGAGAGGTGCACCCGCGGTCTTGCACAGCTCTTAGCTAGTGACTGGTTGCATTTTCTCCTGATGCCGTCAAACAGTGCTTTATTGCAGTCTGTTTGTCTCAGCACCCACAAGTCAGTGATTCCATTCTGTTATTTTTGTCTTTTTTTTTTTTTTTTTGAGATGTAGTCTCATTCTGTTGCGTAGGCTAGAGTGCAGTGGCACGATCTCGGCTCACTGCAGCCTCCGCCTCACAGGTTCAAGCGATTCTCCTGCCTCAGCCTCCCAAGTAGCTGAGACTATAGGTGCGCGCTACTGTGCCCGGCTAATTTTTGTATTTTTTGTAAAGATGGGATTTCACCATGTTTGCCAGGCTGGTCTTGAACTCCTGATCTCAGGTGATCCGCCCACCTTGGCCTTCCAAAGTGCTGGGATTACAGGCATGAGCCACTGTGCCCGGCCATTTTTGTCTATTTTTAATATCCCTTGAGGTAGTAGCCAACCACTCTGAGTGGCTTATGTGGTCATCTAAAATAGCATTTATAGTTTGTTTGGACTCTGATAACAAAATGATAAGTTTTTTTATAAACCTGTATTTTTGTATGCAATTTTGCATATAAAGGATTTTTTTAGGAATATCTATCATGTTATAGCAGACATATTTGTATTTTTCATAATAATGTAAATCAAATTATAATGGTCAATTCTAAATATTAAGTGAATAGCTCTTTTTTTTTTTTTTTTTTTTCCAGTTAATAAAAAACAAGAAACTAACTTTAGGGACCCAGACACAAATTACTGGCCAAATTCAGACTTGAACTTTTTTGAACTTTTTAGAGCTAGTCAATCCTTAAGGAAGATTTTATTTTTTAAAGAATAATAGATTTCTTGCCGTTAGCTCCCATCCCTAAGAGTATTTCAAACAGTATCTCTTGATAATATCACATAAGATTGTTTTCTCTGTATATGGATGATGAAGCTGGAGAGAGGGCCTAGAGGAAACCATACCACAAAGAGTGAAATCTTGAAAATTGTACTTCCTTAGTAGCCTTTGCTGATCATTCACATTCCCAGTTTCTCAGAAATACTTTACTTTTCCTAATGAACTTAAACTAGGGATGAGCAAATCTTTTTTGTGTAAAGGGCTAGTTAGTAAATATATTGGGTTCTGGGAGGCCACTATTGATCTCTATCACATATTCTTCTCCTTTTCTCCTATTCCTTTTTATTATTACCTTTCTCTTTTCTTTCTCTCTCTGGATTTTTTTTTTTTTTTTTTTTTTTTTTTTTTTTTTTTGATACAGGGTCTCACTCTGTCACCCAGGCGGGAGTGCAGTGCCGCCATCATAGCTCACTGCATCCTTGAGCTCCTGGGCTCCAGCCATCCTCCCAGCTCAGCCTCCCGGGTAGCTGGTACTACAGGCTTAACGCCACTGCCCCCAGCTGTTTTTTTGTAGTGATGGAGTTTCACCATGTTGTCCAGGCTGGTCTTGAACTCCTGGGCTCAAGCAATCCTCCACCATAACCTCCCAAAGTCCTGGGATTACAGCCGTGAGCCACCGTGCCTGACCCTTTTTATTATTACTTTTAAAATTATCCATTAAAAATGTAAAAATCTGTTTGTTCATTTTGTTTTACCTTTTCACAGCCTTACCAAAAACAAGCTGCAGGCCAGACTTGTCTCACAGACCATAGTTTGCCATTCCTTGGGCTAGACTGTTTTAACCAAAGAAATAATTAGAATCCACTGGAAAGTAGCTTAGAATCACTTTTCTTTTCCAAGAAAATGGAAAACATATAGGAAAAGAAATGATTTGTGATATCACTTGTCTTTTACTTAGCAAGTCCCCATGCCTGGTTGTTTATTACTTCTTTTTTGCTTTAAATTAGAATTTTATATATATGGACTCACAGAATAATAGAAAAAATTATTCCTACATGTAACCATGGTTGGATACATGTTATCCCCGTCTTTTTTTTTCTATGAATTAATTTGAAATGTTTCCCCATTGAAGCCCTAGTGACTTTAAGTTTTATAAATCAAAAGCACATTGGGTACAAATTAATCTTTAAAAAAATAAGCCAGAGAAATAGATGTAGCAGCTCATACATGGGAAGTGTTAACCTTCAGAGAGGCAGAAATAAGTACTTTTTTTTTTGCAATACACTTTTATGATTTCCAGTTATTCATAGTTGAGACTTCAAATTATTTAAACTAAAAACCATGATTTCTGTATACAACGATTATTAAGAACGTTAATATTAAAAAGACCTATAAAATTCTATAGTACTTGACTTTCACTTCTGGCTAAATTAGAGGATAGTCTTGATCTACTAATAGGGTATAGTAATGGAGTTCAGTAATAATAATTGCTTGCCTTTATTGAACACATACTTTGTAGGGGGCAGTGTAATATGCACAAATTATTTCATTTAATTTCTACAAGAATCTTTGGAGATAGGTGCATTTATTGCCCTTGTTTTATAGCAACTAATCTGTTATCCATCTCTATTATTTTGTCATTTCAAGGAATGTTATGTAAGTGAAATCTACAGTATGTATATAACTTTTTGGAATTGATTTCTTTTTTTTTTTTTTAACTCAGCCTAATTCCATTGAGATTATCCAAGTTGTTGCATGTGTCAGTAGTTTGATCTTATTTATTGCTGAGTATAATTTCATGTTCTACAGTTTTTTTTTTATCATTGAAGGACATTTGAATTGTTTCTAATTTTTGGCTATTATGAATAAAGTTGCTATGAACATTTGTGTGCATGTTTTTATGTAAACATAGTTTCCGTTTCATAAATATTTTGTACAAATATATCTCAGTTTTCCTATTCTTATTGATGGACATGTTTTTGCTTATATGAATATAATGTTATGAATGGCCTTGTGTGTGTCATCTTGTCCACATTTATGAGAGCTTTTCTAGGTAGGTTGTGGGCCTATAAGTGGAATTGCTGGGTCTTATAAAAAGTACATGTTTAACTTTAGATACTGCAGAATTGTTCTTCAAACTGATATCAGTTTATATTTTCACCAGTAGTGTATGAGAGTTCTTGTTGTCTCATATTTTTATCAACACTTGTTACTGTGAAACTTTACAATTTTTGTCAGTTTGATGGGTATGAATTGGTATTTGTTGATTTAAATTTGCCTCTTATCAATCACAAAAGAGAAGTTAAACATTTTTATGTAGATTACCTTTTCCTATCTTTGGGTCCATTTTTCTCTGGGTCATTTTCTTACTGAATTTTTAAAGAGACTCTTTATATATTCTACATATTTATCTTTTTAAAAACTTTTATGGAAAAATTTTAACATTCAAAAGTAGAAATAATAATAATGAACGGTCATATACTACTGGCCAATATTGTTTCTCTATACTTATACCTTTTCTTCCACCTCCATGATTTTATAGCCATCCCAAAATTATTTGCTCTGGGGGTATTAAAGCATAGTTATAATATTATCTAAAAGTATTATAGTAATACTATTAATATGTAATAATACTGTTAGAATAATATCATATCACTCCTTAAAAGAAAAACATCGTTTTCTTAATATCATCAAATATTTAATCAGTGTGCATATTTCTTGACTGTCTTATAAGTGATCTCATTTATCTTACTTTTTTTTAACAGCTGATACTTTTGAATTGGGATCCAGAAAATTTCCATGTGTTATAGCTGGTTAATCAGTCTCTTAAGATTCTTTTAATCAGGAATCAAGCATTTATCTTTCTTTTCTATGTACTGTATTTCAGGATCTCTGAATAATTGAGAAAGAGGAAGGTTCTCTTTGTAGAAGTATTCCAGCTAATGTAAATCAAGCAGGAATGATAAAAAATTATTTTGTAACCCCTAATGAATTAGTGCATCAAGGTAATTGTCATTAATGGTTGCTGACATCACAAAAGAAGAGAAACAATGAAAAATTATATACTTCCTGATGGAGACTGATTTTTTAGTACTCTCCAGAAATGATTATGAGGATGTTTATTTTGTTTTAAAGTCATTATGGATCATGGATTTATACATTTGTATTATATTTTAATCCATTGAATTTATTATCCTTATTGCTGTTTTTGGGCAGTAGGAACCTATTCAGGTTTGCTCTTGAGGTTTTTTTTGACGTGATAATATTATACCAGAAAGCAAGAAAACTAAAATGTGGTAGGGTTACCTTACATGTTTTCCTGGCCCAGATCTGAAGTCATTCATTTCCACAGGGTGCTCTTGTTTCTTTTAGTGGGAAATTGTATTTGGAGACTGTAAGTTGGGTCCTAGGGGTGTTCATTACTACTGGGTTGGCCATGTCTCTAAGATTGATTAGTAGGCCTGACCTATGAAATATGCACTTAAAAAATTTTGAGATAAAATACATCATGAATTTATATTACGATTTCTCTAATTCAAGACTAAAGGTTTTAGCCTTCCACACTTTTTTCTACAGTTACTTTTTTTCCACACTTACTTTTTTTTAATATCAGTTCTTAAGGGCATTTGCATAATCCCCATGTTTTGTCACAGTAGTCTCAGAATAATAATACCAACTCTTTCACCAACAATATAATTTTACCAAAAAAGTTTCAGGGCCGCACACGATGGCTCATGCCTGTAGTTTCAGCAGTTTGGGAGGCTGAGGCAGGCAGATCGCTTCAGCCTAGGAGTTCAAAAGCAGCCTGGGGAACATGGTGAAACCCCATTTCTACAAAAAAAAAAAAAAAATTAGCCACGCCTGGTGGCATGCATCTGTAGTCCTAGCTACTTGGGAAGCTGAAGTGGGAGAATGACTTGAGCCCAGGAGATCAAGACTGCAGCCAAGATTGTGCCATTGCACTCCAGCCTGGGCAGCAGAGCAAGACCATGTCTCAAGAAAGAAATAAAACTAATTTCAGGTTTTTTTGTTTGTTGATCGATTGATTTTTGCTTTTATTTCTTAGGGTATTCCCACTAGAAATGTACAGTCACTTTACAGTATCTTAAAGGCACTTTCAGTAGAACCCAAGTGACAATTGGCTTTACTTGTTCCATTTACTTTGTAATTTTAGGGATTTTTTTCAACACGTTATTTCATTTTGTAATTATGTAAAATATTTACATGATACTAAAAGTCCTATCTATAAAATTAAATATATTCAAAGAGGTCTAGTTATTACCTCTATCCCTGCCTCCCCACACAGTCTTATTCCTGGGTGGCTGACAGTATTTTTGTATTTATGGCTGAGGGGGTTGCTGGAGATGGAGGAGTGGGATGGCTGTAGTGGAAGATTCCATGGTTCCATTTGTAGACTTCCACTACTCTCTTTCTCCTTTGGTATGGAGCTTTGTACTTGCCCTCAGCGTGCCTAGTGCTTCAGAGTCCACAGGCTCTCTGAAGCAACGTTTGTAGGTCAAACCTTCAGTCTGATACTATTTGGAAGGAAAAATAGTTGCATAGCTACACTGAATGAGGGAAAGAGTAACTGTTGATTTCAGCTCTCTCAGGGATGTCCAATCATTTGGCTTCCCTGGGCCACATTGGAAGAAGAAGAATTGCCTTGGGTTACACATAAAATACACTAACAGTAATGATAGCCGATGAGCTTAAAAAAAAAAAAGTGCAAAAAAATCTCATAATGTTTTAAGAAAGTTTACGAATCTGTGTTGAGCCACATTCAAAGCTGTCCTGGGCTGCATGCGGCCCGTGGGCCATGAGCTGGAGAAGCCTGCTCTGAGTCTTTAGATGGGGCCAAGGCAGGGGTTGGGAGTGGGTCCTGCTTCCTGTTGTCTGTCCCCTGCAGCCATTTTATATTTTAGCATTCTCTTTGTCTGCTAATACATGCCATTTATAACTCTGAAAATTTAATTGATGGTTCTCACTTTGTTTCTGTTACCCGTAAAGATTTATGCCATTTGAAACAACAACAACAACAACAACAAAAACTCCTTTGCTTTTGTTTTAATGGGATTTTGAGATAAGTATGTGTTCATTTTGCTTTATTTAACCAGAAGCTATCTCTGTGCTCACATTTCTGTTAGAGGAAATTTGGCCCAGGTACACTTTAAACCCTGGCTGTTTGAGAGCCAGTTGCTCATCTGTGATCCCACAGATACCCTGTGGATTGGAGTGTCACCTGTCAAACATGGCTGAGGAGAGTCTAGGGACAGACACACACAGTGATTAACATCTATAAATACAGAGATGGGTTTACATAAAGAGTTCTAAATTCACAGAATTAAGTTAGAAAAATTATAGTGTGGTTTTTGTTGTTATTATAAAGCCTTAAATTTAAAGTACTTTTGATTGGTTTACATTCAGTCTATTAGAGGGTACTTATGCTATATGTGCAGTTGCATCCTAGTTGTGTAAATAACCAGAGAAAAGAGGGTAAGTGACATGAATTCTGGGTGTTGAGTGTGTATTGTCAAAAGGACATATGATGGAGACTGAGTATAGAAAATAGAATGTTTTGGAGTCAGAGTAAGTGTAGCCATTTATAAAAATAAATTAGTGAGTTTATAATTTAGAGGCTTTAGGAAGGCAAGAAATAACATTCCTTTCTCTTCTGCTTTGAAACTAATTGATAAATACGTGGACATAAAATTTCAGCTTTATTACTAATAAAAGTGGTGTGGAAGGTGAGATATTTGGCCTTCATGGACATTCTATTATTTAACCCCTGAATTAGACAAACATACTCTAATGCTGGTTGGTCACTGAGAGAGCAGGTCTCCCCCTAATAGGAGCAGAGTCAGCCCCTGTGCTTACCATGTAGTGGAGGGCTGACTAGAATGCTGCCACTATGAAGGAAGGAAGAACCACTGGAGAACATGTACCCAGAAGCTGTTGACCGGATAGGTCCTTCTCCCAGGTTCACAGTTCGTCACTCCTTCCTTGGCTGAGGGGAGAAAGAACAAGTGAAAAGAAGCTGAAAGTGTGCTTTCTAAACTTTTCCCTCCTGGAGATTTGAATGGAAATATGGAGAATAAATGTCTCCCCTAAACAGTTCTATATAACAGGTATTATATAGCAATCATATTCATATTCATAACAGTATTATGAAGTAATGGGCAGTAACTGGCCCATCATTATGTGCCACATTGAATTGCATGCTACTCATTTTATACCATGCTTGGTAAGCCCCCTTTAACCTGAAAATATCTTGCCATTTTTTGGCCCTGGAAAATTTTCCTCATACCGTTTCTTCTCCTGGGTTCTCTGTATTTTCATTCCACTAAATAGCTGTGCTTATTAGATACTTACATATGAATATGGCCAAGTACTAAGGGACTTTGAAAGGTACTTTTAATTAGAAGTAATATTTGCTTTACCAACTAATTTTAGACTAACTATATATATTTTGTAAGCTATAACCAGTCAATGTGTGAATGCTTTATATATTCAAACAGCAGGTTATACCCACTTCCTTACCTACACAGAAGCTGTTGCTCTTTTTGCCAGAGAGCAACCAAATTTTCCTGAGCAGTGGTAGCTACCTGATGGCTACTGCAAGGAACTTCTCATCTACTTTCCTTCCTACTTGCTTTCTTCTTCTAATAGTAGTCATGCACCCTCTTAAATTCGCTTATTTTTCTTTTCTTTCTTCCTTTTCTTTTCTTCTTCTTCTTTTTTTTTTTTTTTTTTTTTTTTTGGTTTACTGCTCGGTTAACTTCACTACAGGAAGTCTTCCATGTACACACAGACACATGCCCTTATTAGCTTTGTCAATATCTTAATTCTGTTGCTGTACTACATCAAGAAGTTGTCAAGTGTCCTGTCTGCCCCCTTCTTTATGTTGAGGTGGGAGGTATTGTTTTATCTGTTTTGTTTGGTTGACTGACCTATGAAACTAACCCACTATTTGTAAGAGTGGATTTTTTAGCAGGAGAAAGCTATCTGGGTTTCAAAAAGTGAGGTATCAATCAACTTAAAATATTCTGCTTGTAGTTTAAAAGAATCTCTTCTTATATTTATATATTTTAGAAATGCTATTTTTATTCAGTAGCTTTTAGTATGTCCTCTTTTTTTTTTTTTCTCTAAGTGCCATGTAGGGAGTATACAGGTATGACTGAAGTAATCACTGCTTTTAAAGAATTTTTACCTCTGTCTGGTAGAGGAGATAATAGAACCTGAGGTAAAGAGAGGTACAGGCAGGCACCTGTACCTGGTTTAAAAGCAACAAAATCTCCAAAATCTATAATGATTCTTATATGGGTTTTGAGTGAAAGAGAAATGGTAGTATAGAATACTTAGACTGCTAGTGCAAGTCTTTGCCCTGGTTCTGATTTAACACATTGTCAGATCTCCTATCAATTCTCACTATTAATTTTTCTAAACTATTTCCCAGCTTTTCTTGTTCCTTCCCCTGCCTCACAAGCTGGGGTGCTGGCTTTTGTAAGAATAGAATAAGAAGATAGAGCAGATAGGAGGTGGAGGAACAAGAGGTGAGTAAGATTAGGTAGGTGTATAAAAGATGGTCATGCAAAATTTGTATATATAGCCTTGCCCTTGAACTTTTGAAAACTTCTGTTTAACTTATAAATTCAGTATATTGTGTTAACTCTGCTCCACACTTTCCTAAATCTTTCTCTAAAATGTCTTCTAGCTGTATCAACTACCTGATTTTATTGACTGTTTGCTGTTAGTATGTGGATTAAGGCAGATCATTGGACTGTCATTATGTGCATTTACAAATACAACATCCTTTGTGAAAGGAAGAGTAATTTTTAGTAATCTATGTAGTTTATGAGCTCTGTATCATTTTGTCATTGACTTTGATGCAGATTAGATTGACTTTTTAAAAGCATGCTTTTGAATTATTGATTATCATATAATAAAGACAAGGTTTTACATAAAAGATAAGAGAAAAATGCATTTTATTCTCAAGAATATTTTAAATGAATCATACTTACAAAATAGTTTTTATCATTAGTTCACCAATAGCTGTAACTCCTCTGATTTAACTTTAGATTATATCGCATACTTAAATACAATAACACAAATTTTAGAATGTGGGACTCATTGAGAGATGAAATACTGCCTACCACATAGGATGGTTGTGACAGTTAATTTAGTATGTTTAAAGCACTTTGAGTACTACCTTGCCCATAGTACTATATAAGTTTATAAGTGCTAGCTAACATTTATTTTTGTTTTTATTATTGTTATCTAGTGGTAAAAATTTCTTAAGCAATGAACTGAAGTCTAGATTTTTGAGATGTAGTCCTTTACTGATTATAAAGCAAATGCCTTTAGATATTTTAACTTCATCAGTACTATCTGTAGTAGGAGGCTGATTTTACTAAAATTAGATAATTATATACATCTGTTCCTATTCCTTTGTTAGTACCTTTAAGAAAGTCATGCTGAATCTGAGAATGCCAGGACATTTCACGTGGTATGAATGTAGGATATTCATTTACACATCGCTGCACAGACAGCCTCTATATAACCAACCTGTTGGTTATTGATATCTCTTTTACTGCCTTACTCTAAATCTTGTCATGTAATTTCAACACATAATTTGTGGCACTTTAGTTTTTTTACCCTTTATAGTTTAATAACTTATACATGTACATGCTTAAAATGTCAAACAATACAAATGGGAACAAAGAAAATTGCTTCACCATCTGTGAACCCCTCCTTTTGTAGTCCCCTTAACCAGAAATAGAGATTACTAGTTTTAAGTATTCTTTCAAAAATATCCTGTGCATTTACAAACACATGCATATATATCCAACCTTGTCCTTTTTAAAACACATATATTAGTGCGCTATATATACTATTCCTCCCCTTAGCTTTTTTCATTTAATATTTATGAAGATCAGTTTCATTCTATGTCAGTATACATGGGTCAATGTCTTTTTCAGACCTTCAGTCTATATATTCCATGTATGTGTAAACTATCATTTATCTAATCCTACACACATTGTTTGTTTTGTATTTTTTACTTCTTGCAGTGTCATAACTAATACCCTGTGTACATATCTTTGTTTCTGTGTATGTTTATATGTAAGATGAATCCTAGAAATAGAGTTGCCAAGTTCAAGAGGATACATTTTTAATGAAACTAAATACCAGTTTATAATTGCCTACACACATGGTTTGAAAGGGCTTTCTTCTGCTGCTCTTTCTAGAGTAGCATATTATCAAGTTTTAGATCTTTGCTGAGTGAAACCTATTGTCTTATTATTGTATATTTATCAATCTATCACTGAAGTTACACTTTTTTTATGTTTAAAAGTCATTGACATTTATTCTTGGCTGGGTGTGTGGTGGCTCATGCCTGTAATCCCAGCAGTTTGGAAGGCCGAGGCAGACAGATCGCTTGAGCCCAGGAGTTGCAGACAGATCGCTTGAGCCCAGGAGTTCCAGACAAGCCTGGGCAACATGGGGAAACCCCATCCCTACAAAAAATGCAATATTAGCTGGGTGTGGTTGTGCACACCTGTAGTCCCAACTTTACTTGGGAGACTGAGGTGGGAGAATTGCTTGAGCCCAGGAGACAGAGATTGCAGTGAGCAAGATCGTGCCATTGCACTATAGCCTGGGCAACAGACAAAATGAGACCTTGCCTCAAAAAAAAAAAAAAAAGAAAAATCATTGATATTTATTCTCTACTAAAATACCAATTCACATCATTTGCCAATATTTGTTGAGTTACTAGTTTTTTTCTAATTTGCAAGAAATCTTTAAGAAAATCAGCCTTTTATTTATATAGTACATCTTTTTCTTTTTGTTCTTTGTCTTGACTTAAAGTTTTCTAAGTAGAAATTTAAAAAGTTTATATAGTCAAATCAATCTATTTTTAATCAGTGTTATGGCTTCTGAGTTGCTGCCCGTGCAACATTCCCACCCTGTATGTTCCTCTAGTATTTTTATGTGTTTTACTTTTTACCATTAAATTTTGTTGAATATGTCACTTACTGGTGTTAGAAGTAGGGTAGGAATTCAGCTTAATTTTTTTAAGATAACTAGTCTGTTATGCCAACACTCTTTTTTTTTCATTAGATACCTGTTTTATCCTCAGTAATTTGAAACATCATTTCCATTATACTCTGTTCTTGAGCTTGTTTCTCAATTCTTAATTTTGGCAAAGTTTCTCATTATGCCACCAAACTACCATGTCAACATGTATATGTCATCTTTTTTATAGCTGCTATTTTATATTCTGTTATACATTTTCAAAATAAGATATTTCTTAACGTTTTTACTGTTTAAATCATATATAAAGCAAAATTTTATTTTTTCTTCCACTGTGCAGTAAGTCTCTGAAATTAATTGTGGATACCTTCTCCTGAGCTCCCCTTTAGTCAGTGCACTGTAATTTAGAGGTAGTCTGCAGTCAAATATGATGAACAATGTATAATTTCATAATTTCTCCTGAGTTTGAAGAATTTTTCTTTCTTTTCTAGCTTTTAATCTAGACAACGAGCAACCAGATTATGATATGGATTCAGAAGATGAGACTTTATTAAATAGACTTAACAGAAAGATGGAAATTAAGCCTTTGCAATTTGAAATTATGATTGACAGACTTGAAAAAGCCAGTTCTAATCAGGTACTGTACCATGTAAAGATGTCTCTTATCTTCTAGTTAACCCAATTTGCACCTTTATAAGACCTGAGTGTGTTGCATTTTACTGTTTCTTGGATTTCTTTTCCTGACATCCTGGAATTTCTGTTTACAATGTTCCGTGAGTGGAGAGTACTTAAGCACAATTTCTTTGAATAAGAGTATGAAGAGTACTGTTCTGACTGTTTTCCTGTTTGGATAAAAATAATACTAGTCACAATGTTATAATATTTTATTGATCCTTTCCATATGACTAGTATTGGTGCTTCCATAACTAAATTTGCTTGCTTGGATCTTTAAGGCAGTCATCTTATGTCAAATCTTGCTCAGATATTAAGGTACTCATCATTTTAAATGGATTTTAATTTTAATTACTTATACATTATTTCAGTTCAGTGAGGGAAAAATTATTTACAAAAGAATATTCTTTAGTGAGGTATTTTATATATGGCACAGGTAATTTAAAATGGCACTGTCTTTCTGGAAAGCAGTTAAGCAGTGTAAGTCAGGAGCCTAAAAATATTTATGCACTTTGATTTAATAATCTCATCTTTTGGAATTGTTCACAAGAAAAATAATTAGAAAAAATGTCAGTGATTTTTGAGCAAGAATGTTCAGAATAAATAAGATGTCTCTGAGGTAGACTATAACACAGGCATTAAAATCATGATTTTGAAGGATGTCTAGTGCCATAGGAAATTGTACATTATATAATATCAGATTTAGAAAACAGGATACAGAACTCTTTATGTGGAAAACTTTGAGGTTTGTTTAATCATTTATATTTATACATGTGCATAGAAAGCAAAAGAATAAGGAAGTTTACAACAAAATGCTAACAGTGGTTATATTTGGGTGCTGCAATTGGTGATTTTTATGTTCTTTATCCTATTTTTCTATGTTTTCCAAATTTATCATGAGCTATGTGTTGATACTATAATTAGATTTTTAAAATAAACTTTTTAAACATAAGTTTTGGTGTACCTGTGTGGTATATTAATGTGCTAATTGTTATTAACATTCTAAGAAGTTAGAGTTGCAAATAAACTTTTTACAGTAGATTGTTAAAACTTTTCATTAGTTTACCCATACAAATTTATTATTTTACCCTACAACTTAAATCTTTTAAATCTCTAAGGCATTACAAGCTCTTCAGAGCATTTTCCTTTGGCAAGTGACTTTGCTGCATATTTAGCCTATCAGTTTGCCCCCCCCCCCCGCACCATTTTGATGAAAAATAATATCCACTGTACTATTCAAAGAAATACATTTTGAAAATTGCATTTTGTAAAATTCATGTTACTGGTTTTTGAGAGATTGTCTTACTTGGTTTTTTGTTGGGAGTTCTAAAAAAGTACCAACTTGATGTTCATTATAATTGGTGACTTACAGTTTTCCTGGGATTTTAATCGCAGGCATCAGGTAAAGTTTCAGTTTTTCTTTAGATGTAAATTTTCTTAGCAATCCTAGGCTGGATCAGCCTTTTGGTATGTTTATGATTTTCTATGATTGCTCAGAAACTACTCATAGTGGCTGAGATGATACCATCAGAAGCCTTCAGCTCTCTGTTCTGTAATTTGCTTTCTTTGAGTCAGTAAGCAATATTTAGTGTCCAGGTGGACAAGGCAGGTGATAGCAGTGAGTAAGACAGATGACAAAAATTCTGCCCTTGTTCAGCGTATTATCCAATTGGAGACAGGATAAACAAAAAAACATGTAAGCAATACAGTTAACTGTGCACATATAATCAGCCCCATCCTATTTTAGTTCTCTTTGCTCAGGGACAAGCTTCTAGGCTGTGAAACAAGTAGCTAGGCACAGAGCATGATAGCATCTACTTTCAGCAATGGAAAGTAAAAGTGGAGGTTTTGTCATTGGAACAAAGTAATGGTCCTGCATTAGAATCAAGGATTAAAGATAACAAAGGGCTATCTTCATTCCATTCCCTGATCTGTTAATTTATGGATCTCTTTACTTTTCCTTTATGGGGGCTGGCATAGTACTAGGTCCTGGGACAAGGAATCAAGTTTGTAGTTAAACTACTATTTATTAGGTTAACAGAAAACGACAAAAGATAGACTTAGGCAAACCTGCCTCTGTTATTCTGGGAGACTATTTCAATGAAGTCATGATTGAAAACTCCTGTTGTCAAATGCTGTAATTATTTTCAGTCCCAATCTGTTTATTTGATTTGTGCTCTCATGTCTTGGAGCTGTCTTCACCTTTTTTTAAAAAATAAAAATACAGTTTATTCCCTCTGGTTTTATTGTTTCTCATGACCATTCCTTCTTTCTTTTGCTTGATCCCTTTCATTCAACTCCTGTAAACATCAGGGTTTCTTGAAATTCTGTTCTTGGTTTTCTTATCCTACATATTTTTGTGTAATATCAGCTCAGTGAGTATTTTTATAGATATAATAATGTATTACCTTTGGCCTTGACCTCTTTCTCAAACTCCAGGATTTTTTTCCCCCTTTTGGTTTTGCCTATTAACATCTTCACCTGGATGGTCCACAGTCCCCTCAAGTTTATCCTTTTGGGAACTGAACTTACTGTCTTACCCTATGTAATCTTGTAATCCTTATCTCTTCAGTAACTCCCAAACTCAGATCCATCCATTTTTTATCCCTTTCCTTCATTGATAACTAATTCACTTCAGGGTTTGTCAGGTTTTATCAAAGCACTGAATGAAGGAAAGGGATTTGACAAACCCATGAATTGAATGTTATCAAATTGTTTGATTTAGTATCTTCTTTCCAGTGTGACAGACAACTAATTGCAGTACCTAACCTGAGACTGAATCTTGTAGTGGATGGGAGTAGGGGGATGCTATGAAGATTATTTTTGAGTCAATTGACAATATTGGAATATAGAGAGTAGATTACATAATATTTTCAATGTTAAATTTACTAAAGTTGAAGGCTGTGATTATGAAAGAAAATATCCCTATTCTTAAGAAATATACACTTAAGTATCTAGGAGTAAAGAGCCATGATATGTGTAACTTCCCACCCTCAAAAGGATCAGAAAAAAAATTGTATACACACACACACACAATTAGAGCTTAAATGCACACAAATGTTAAAGCAAATACAAAAGCTAACAATACATGAGTCTTGGTGTAAATGGATATACAGTGTTCTTTGAAATGTTTTATTCTTGTAAGTTTTCTAAATATTTGAGATTAAAGTTAATTTTTAAAAATCACAAGCCATCTTAAATGGCATTCTCTTTCATAGGATTTTCTCTAAAATAAATAATAAAACACTTTCCAAGAAATGTGTTTTTAATTTTTCTTTTGAAAACCCTCAGTGTTTTAATGTATAACCCTTATCTCATTCCTAAACTATTGAACACCCGATTTTTAGTTACTGATTAACCTTCTATATACCCTATTGACCTTTCACTGCTCTCCACTTATCACACATTCCCATAGAAAGACCACTCCTGCCCAAAACAGAACTCTCCTTCTAACACCCTGGGTAATCATTTTCCATCATTTTCCTTCCTTTCTACCTCCATACTACCTTTTACTCCTGTAGAAGCATAATCCTAAACCCTTCCTAACTCTTCCTTGTGTACCTGTATAGTCCTCGAATATTTTATTTTCACTTATCTCCTCTCTCATTTCTTCAATCTTTCTCTTTCTGCCCCAAAAGGTGCCCAAGTCCCTATTTCCAGGAGAACCCTTTCATTTGACCCCATCCTTCTCAGCAAACTACCACCCATTGTCTCTTCTTTCTTTGTCATAGTTAAATTTTCAGAAGTTTGGCTATACTTGGTGCTTCTTATGTTTACCTTTTACCCACATCACAATCCATTTCACTTTACTGAAATTGCAGTGTTTAAGGTTACCAGTGGTCTCCTAATTGTCATCAGGACCTCTTTTCAACTTGTATCCTACTTAATGTCCCTGCAGTATTGAATGATGTTGACCAGGACATTTTCCTGATTATTGTCTTCTTTCTTCATCTCCTCTTTATCTTCAGTGTTGATATTTCCTTTGTTATCTGTCCCCTGCATTTTTTCATTTATCTTAAGCTGCTAGTAGTTTTTTGCTGGTTCCCAAATGCTCCAGAGCTGGATTTCTAGTGGAACCTTTCCACCTAAGCAAGTATTTCAAATTTAACATCTCCAGACCTCCTTTGCCTCCCCCAGTTTTGCTCTCTGATATGGTTTGGATTTGTGTCCCTGCTCAAATATCATGTGGAATTGTGATCTCCAGTGTTTGTGGAGGGCCTGGTGGAGATGATTGGATCGTGAGAGTGGATTTTCCCCTTGCTGTTGTCATGATAGTGAGTTCTCACAAGATCTCACAACATTGTTTTACAAGATCGATTCACAAGATTGTTTCACAAACTTGTTCTCACAAGAATATTTAAGTGTATAGCACCTCCCCCTTCTCTCTCTTTCTTCTGCTCCCACCACATAAGATGTGCCTGCTTCCCTTTCGCCTTCTCCCATGACTATAAATTTCTTGAGGCCTCCCCAGCCATGCTACCTGTACAGCCCGCAGCACCATGAGCCAATTAAACCTCTTTTCTTTATAAATTACCCAGTCTTAGGTAGTTCTTTATAGCAATGCAAGAACAGACTAATATACTCTCTTTCTTAATTAATGATATCATTTTCATCTTCCTTCTAGTTGGCCAGTTTGCACTTTAGTGCTGACTTCTTTAAAATCATCCCAAACATCACTAAATCAAACCAGTTTTTTGTTCCACAATGTTACACAGGTTGAGTATACCTTATCCAAAATGTTTGGGACCAGAAGTGTTTTGGGTTTTAGATTATTTCACATTTTGGAATATTTACAGATATATAATGAGATTATTTGGGGATGGAACCCAACTGTAAACATGAAATGTATTTATGTTTCATATATACTTTATACACACAGTCTGAAGGTAATTTTTTTACAATATTTTAAATAATTTTGTGAATGAAACAAAGTTTTGACTGCATTTTGATTGTGATCTGTCAAATAACGTCAGGTGTGGAATTTTACACTTGTAGCATCATGTTGGGACTCAAAAAAAAATTGATTTTGGAGCATTTCAGATTTATAGATTAGAGCTGCTCAACCTGTATTTGTTGCCTGTACCATGTTCCCTTATTTTTATTATTTTTCAGCTGGACCACTGCTATTCTGCCACTAGCTATTTTATTAAAAATTCATCTTCTTAAAAAAGAAAAACTTCATTGGCTTCCACTGTCTATAAAGTGAAATCTGAACCACCTGATTCCAGCCATGCTGAACTTCTTTCTGGTCCTCTAATGTACCATACCTTTTATAGCTTTACATTGTTACTTCTGCCTGTAATGCCAGGTCCTCTATTTATAATAGTTTTTAGTAAAATTATCACCTTGGGATACAGGCTACATGTTTACTAAGACTGTAGTGTAAGACTAAATATTTGCTGTTCCAGCTATAGTCCTCATGCCGGTGGTGTTCATAGTACCAGCAGCAGTGGTTTCCCTACTGGATCAGTTCTGTGGCCTGATTTTAGGCATTATGGATTCCAAGCCTGATTCACCAGTACTTCTGAAGGTGTAGAACTATCCAGTATCTTGTAAATAAATTCCATCTATTGCTTGCAAATAGAAACTTTGACTGATACATGTTCTCAACCTTCATTGTACTTAGAAAATTCAAATTAAAAGCGCCTAAAACTCAATATAATAATCACATCATCGGTTTTTTTTTTTTTCATCATGCAGCATTTTAATTGTTTACTTGATACTGCATTATTGATTATGCTTTGGATGGGGCAGACCACAAGCAGTGGCAGTTAGGAAAATGTGGTTCTCACGTGCACTAGGAACAAGTACATTTTTACATGGGAGAGGGTGCCTCTTGTATTTTTTAATTTAGTATGTAGCATGTTGAAATGGATATGTTCTTTACTATGATGTTAAAGTATTTGTGTATTAAAAATGAAATTTGGTCTAGATCTTTTGAAGCAGTCCCAGTGAACCCCATCACACAATAAAATTTTAAAACCACCATACCATGCTGTAATGTGTGTGTACATGTATTTTATAATTATGTTATATAAAGTTAATGAGCAGTCAGATTATAAAAGTAATTTGAGTTTATGTCTTCCATTTCATCTCATTTAAAGTGTTGTCCTATCCAGATTTGTTTTAACTTTATATTATTAAAAGATCAGGGGGTCATTCCTATGACTGCAGAGAAGGTTAGTTTCAGCATCAGTGATCTATCAATATGTAGACAGAATTGTCTCCTAAACGGCAGATTAATAGAATTCTTGACAGTTTTGAAGACCTTAGAAGATTATTCATGGAATTGAAGAGATCTTTTTTTTCTGATCATTTTATCATTCTAATTTCCTTATTCTATTTGTGGTTCAATGTGGGTTGACACTGTTGAGAATCAGAAAACTATAGTGGAAAACTTTAGAGGAAGAAATGAATTGATAAATCCTTCTAAAATAGTCATCTCAAGCATGAAGATCATATGTGTTTTAATGGATTAGTATCACCTTTCTATGGGAGAGAAAAGTATTTCATTTAGCTGTATTGCATTAGCAGTCTTCGAATTTACACAGCTATTTTCTTTTTTGATGTAGGCATATGTCCCTTAAAAAAAAAAGTAGCACATGGTTTATGTTTGGGCACTTACCCAAAGACAGGAGAACTTTATAACTCTACCAGTCTTTGTTGTTGTAGTCTGAAGACTTCTTCCATTTTCTGGGTCTTTGGAGAAGAAAATGTTTTCTCCTTAATTTAATTTATGCAGAATACTCAAAATGTGCAACCATGTATATTTTGATTTCATTGAATGCTGATGTTTTCATTTCAGATTGGCTTGCCGTAATTTTGTGGCATTGTGTAAATTAGGGGTCATTTGCTAAATAAGATGTTTCCAGTGTTATCTATTTAGAATCATAATTTCAGTGTGTTGGTTTTGAGCTGTGGTCATTCATTCTTGAAGAGTATAAGGTAAAAAGTGGTCATTTAACTCTTTTTGAATTTAATGTAAATGCTTGTTATTTGGAAGCCTGCCTTTGGTAGTATTTAGGCTGTTACACAAATAATAAGCCATAGATTTGAAAGAAGTAAAGTTAAAAAAGAAGTTGTGTAGCAAAGAGGTGTTCACTTATCAACCCTGAACACAGTATAGGCAGTCCCAGATGGAAATTTGTCCTACTCTGCCCTGTATCTTATTACAGTAATGCTCAGTTCCAAAGTTTTCACATTGTTCCCTTATTAATTAATTTGTGTTTGTCTTACCTTTGTTGCCATGTCATGAGTTTCTTTAGGTAGCAAATTCATCTTAAAGTTTTTTCCCTTATCTTCCCCACATTCTATAACCCATTAATGGGCTGATGGTAGTTAATTTTTAATAACTACCTAGTTGACTGTTTTGTAAATTAAATTACTGCTTAACTCAATGTTTTATAAATTAGAATACATTAATTTTTACATATAATATATTCGTTTATGTATTCAAAATATATTTATTGAAATTACAGATTTTGTTGATTAACAGACTAAGTGGTCCTTGTCTTCATAGAGCTAGTAGCCATCTAGAAGAAAAGCCTATATGGTAGGATAATTTTTTTTTATCTCCCCATCCCTGTAAGTAAATAATGTAAATCAACTCAGAGCTATCTTGGAAATAATAAATTTACCAGACTTTTTTGCCAGTTAAGTAACTGGTTTCTACTGCTTTTTAGTGAATGAATTACGTGCTAAATGATGGAACATTTTTATTTTTAATTTTTTTAGAGTTAGGGGGTCTCAGTATGCTGTCCAGACTGGACTTGAACTCCTGAGCTTAAGTGACTCTCCCGAGTAGCTAGGACTACAGTTGCATGCCACTGTGCCTGGCTGCTAAATGACAGAACTTTTTTTATACTGTATAAAAATAGTAAAGTTCTGATTTTGCAGATTTTTAATCATGTGACTTAATAATGTGTGACTGATTTATCTACAAGTAGTTCTTCCCCACTCAAATTGATGCTATACCCACAATAGAGATACAGTGATACTAGTTGCCTCAGAGTAGCTAAAGATAATTTTTACAGAATTATTAAAACCAAGATTACTCATAAAATAGAAAGTTGCTTTATAACAACATACAGCAGTGAACTGAAAAATTAGTTAACACTGGAAAGAAATATCAGAATGTTTAACTGTAAAGTGTGTGTTGAATTCTTATTACTTGTGATATAAAGACGGCTTTTAACAACACGGCAATACACATTGTAAGCTGGAGCAAGAAGCACCAGAGAAAGAAATCTGAGCAGGTATTTTAATCTCAACATACCATGCAGGAGCATAAGAAGCAATGTTAAACCTGAGTATTGTTATGTAAGAAACTCATTAACGTTCTGCTGATTGGTGGAAAGAGCACTTATCCTTCTCCCCATTCGGAGGTTAGATTAAGCTCTTGATTTAGTAGTGAAGGTAACAAAATTTTATCAGAAGTGAAATGATCAAGAAGCTGAAGAACATGTGACACATCACAGAATTGTTTCCCTTGGCCTCCAGAACACATGAGAACTGCCGTGTTGCTGTCAGTACAAGGTAGAATTTTATTAGATCTAGAAAGCTGTGTTCTTATTCTACCACTGTTGTTGTAGACTGGGGTTGACATCACCATTCCGGAGAACTCCAGCTAATGGTAGAAAGGTATCCACTTAAAGGTGGATGTTTGGAAATACTGGTTCTTATGGTGTGGTCTTATTTTCCAGACTCTGGCTATCCACTTTAAGGACCAAATGCAGCCTCTCAAATGTAGTTAAGCTACCTCTACTAAGAGATTGGGTAACCATAGAATGGCCACTTAGTATTTTAATGCACTAAATGTAATTGTGACATGGACTACAATACTTGAGTTGACATTGTCAGTGTGTTCTCTTCCTGTGGTCAAACTAGGCAGACAAATTACAATAAGAAACCGATGAATTAATTCTAGAAATAATCATCATAGGACTTGAAGTCCAGTGATCAGTGCATTTATTCCATGAAGTTATACCAACACAAGAAATCATGAGAAATTTATTTGGTGAATTTTGAGTTCTTCAATAGACTTCATACAACATACAGGTCAATTTTTATATTGATCTTATAATTTCAATGAGAAAAATTTTCATTTCCAAGTACTAGGGAAACATTTCTTGGGAAATATCTCAGCTTCTGAAAATGAGCCTTCATCTCTAAAATAATACAAGTAAAAAGATTGAGATAGCATCACTTCAGGGAGACTTCCCAGCCCTAAAGTGGCATGATCTTTTTCTAATGTTTGCTGTAAATGGATATGTGTAACCCCCATTCCATCCTGCTAAAGCCGATTGTCTTATCCGATCTCGAGGTGCAAGGCAACAAATATGACCAAGCAAATGTTTACAGCCTTAATTTGAGATGTGTCAGCATTATGCTGGCTGCACTGGTAAAGAGGTAGGTCCCTGAAATACCAGCATTAGAGCTCCTAAGGGAACCATCCTAGGGCCACTGTCCCAGGACATGACATTGTCATTAGCAGAATGAGTGTTAAGAATAAGTATTCTCTAGTACTTAACACTTGGATAGAGGAATTATTTTATATGTCACTGGTACAAAGAATTCAAAATTGCATAATGTTGAAACTTCTGGAAACATGCTAAGTTTGTTTTTATAATCAATTCCGAAAGAGGTATATTATAGTAAATTGCAATATATTAGAGAATATTCATCTTTTATTTTGGACGCACATAAAAAGAAACCCCCATACCTCCTACTTTGTGTAGGGGAACAAACAAGCTATTAGACTTGAAAACTGATAGATCCTCAAATGTGTATAATATCAGAGTTTTGAAAGATCTTGGATGTCTTCTAGTCCAAGACTTGCCTGAGGCATATATTTATTATAGTCTTCCCAAATATCATTGATCCAGCCTTCTTAAATATTATCAGTGGTACAACTCACTGTCTCTCAGGGAAAATTACTAATTTTTAGATAAATCTCCTAATTAATGATTCCTTCATTAGGTTGAATTGAATTGTGTCTTCACTTACTATAATATTATCTGTTAGTAGTTATTGAAACTGGTCGCATTTTTTTCTACAGCCATAAGCTAACTTTTATTTCTTTTTGCAAACATTGTAGCCAATGACATTTTGTATTTTTCATTTAGCTTGTAACACTTCAAGAAGCAAAACTGCTGCTAAACGAAGATGATTACCTTATTAAAGCTGTATATGACTACTGGGTGAGAAAACGTAAAAACTGCAGGGGGCCATCCCTCATTCCTCAGATAAAACAAGAGAAAAGAGATGGCTCTACCAACAATGACCCTTATGTTGCCTTTCGGAGAAGAACAGAGAAAATGCAAACTCGAAAGGTAATGTGCAAATTAGGTTTCATTGAAGGTAGCTTAATAGTATTCAAGATCAATCTTTTTTTTTCTAATAACTTGAATAATTTTAACATAATGGTAGCTAATGGCATTGATGACTTTCTATAAGAAATCCTACTTTTCGTCTGATCCGTGGTCAGACACATTATCCATTGCGCCACTGGCCCACCACAAGAAATCCTACTTTTCAGTAGCTTCTATTGGCCAGTTGTTTACGCTGTTTATCTGCTACCTATGCCTTTTATAAATTTACTGATCATACCATTTTATGCTTGCAGTTGAAGTGATAAGAGGAATTTAGTGTCCTTATGCACCTTGGAAGTTTTGATCTCTTCAGTAAACTAAATATTCTATCACAGATCTCCTGTGTTTGGGAAGCTGATAACTTGAAATACTACTACTATTCCTTGTTGCTCGCTTGAGACTTTACAGTTCCTTGGAAACCATATTGTAGTTCTTCCAAGTGAAAATGGACCTTGCTGCCTCTGGCTGCTACAAGGTCGTGGGAAGTAGGGAAGGGTTCATTTTCAACCCTCTTCTGCAAACAGTCAGAAGTAAGAGTGGAATCTTTCTCCTTTTCTGAGTTGTCAGTTGTGTTCGATTTCAAATTGATGAGCTTGTTCCCATCTGGCTTTCAGAAGCAGTATGAAGCAGAATTTTAAGTAAGAGAAACAGGATCTCATACTGTTAAATGATATGGTATAGAGGAAAGCACTGTTCTGGAGGAGTATTCACTGTCTTCCATTTCTCATAATTAACAGTTAACACCACACACAGTAGTACCTTCTCTAACATTGCAAAGTATCAGGAACGTATAAATGTAAAATAAGGAATTATAATTGGAGGCAAAGCATTTTCTGTGGATTCTCCTAACATTGAAAGCTTGTCCTTGTCAGCTGTTAATATAACAGCTGTGAAGCATGACAGCTGCCAAGGATAGTATATTTTAGGAAAAACTCTCTTCCTGGTTAATAACCAGAATTTCTATAATTCTTGAGGATGTGATTTTTTTAAACATTAGAGGATGGATTTCCCAAGTGTAGATGACATTCCCTAACCCAGACTTGAGTTTTTAATTTGGCATTCTGGTTCTTAGCTAAGGGAATCTACAATATTTTATGAAGATTTGGCACTTTTCTAAGACTGAAACAAGATAAGTTCATAAATATATTAAGACTTTATAAATGTGGACTATTGGACATGAGGAAAGAGAGGTTTATCTAAATCATTAAAAAAAAACCCTGAACTATCAATCGCTTTTTGAAAGCAGTATACAGGCGTGAGAAGTAGGGAAGGGTTCATTTTCAACCCTTAAATATGTCATATATATGTTGCATAACATTTCGGTCACTGACGGGCTGCATATATGATGGTGATCCCCTAAAATTATAATACTGTACTTTTACTGTACCTTTTCTATGTTTAGATATGTTAGATACACAAGTACTTACCTTATGTTAGAGTTGCCTACAGTATTCAGTACAGTAACACACTGTACAGGTTTGTAGCCTAGCAGCAATAGGCTATACCTTCTAGGTTTATGTAAGTACACTGTGACATTTGTGCAACAAAGAAATTGCCTAACAACACATTTCTCAGATCTTTATTTGTTCGATTATTTCTTTAAGAGACTGGATCTTACTGTATTGCCCAGACTGTTCTTGAACTCCTGGGCTCAAGCTGTCCTCCCGCCTTGGCCTCCCAAAGTGCTGGGATTACAGGTGTGAGCCACCACATCCAACCTCTCAGATCTTATCTGTGTCATTAAGCAATGCATGACTGTAATTAATTTCAGATATATTGCAAAACAGACCATTAGCAATGCCTTTTGAAGGAAATTATTGGACTTCCTTTAGTGAATGGGTATGGAATACTTAAGATTAGCAGTATTTATTGGCATATTGACAATATTTTCTGAGTGTTAAAATATGTTTTCTGCTTCTTTTGTTCTAACCATTAGAGAATTGCTAGTAACTGATTCTTGTGTTTAGGCATTTCTTCATTTTGTGATCACTAATACAGGTTTTCCTGACACTCTGATTCCTACCCTTTCTCTTGTTTGTTATTTTTCCATTTTCCTCTGCAAAGAGGTACACTTTCTTTTCTGATGCTCTTTACTTTTTATTCCTTTCTGTTTTCAGTTGTGGGACCAAAGACGATTCCCTATCATGCTCACCATTGCTAGTTAGAAATGTTTATGTGATTTGAAACGAGAAAAATGGGAAAGCACTCAAATAATGAATACTCCCTAGGTGTTCAGGAGGTGGCAAGCATTGGGTTATGCAAAAATGAATACAACTAACAAAGGCTCTCTGTTTTCTGTTTGTGCAAAGTCAAAAACACTTGTGTAGTTGATGCAAAGGGTAAAAGGTCTTCTGAAATATTTGTTTGGCTGTCTGGAATTTAATTTTAAGTCGCTGAACTAATATTTAATTAAGGAGCATGTGAATACTTCAGGGCATTCTTAAATGAGATAGTCTTAAGGCACCAGCATGTCTTAATGCACTGATTGGGAAATCCTAGATCAGCATATGCATTTAATATATTTAACCACATAGATTCAACTCTTAGTGTCTGTGCCTTCTCTCTTCCCTCTGTGAGGCCCAGAAGAAGTAAGATAGTTAAGAGAGGAAATTCCCAGCGTAGTGGTTGTCAGTTCTAGCTGCTCTACATAACAGTCACCTGTGAATCATCCTTGGTCATGAAAAGATGTACAGTTTATTCTATAGTGTAACCATTTGAGAACCACTTCCCTAGAGATTTGGCAGCAAGTACAGAACTGTAATATGTAACTGTATTAGGGAGAAAGGAGTTGGCCCTGAGCAGAGACGGTTGTGAGAAGGAGTAAAGGGGGCAAGTGGATTTGAATACAGGGAATAGGGCCGTCTTAGAAGAATAGAAAAAATGTCAATATGAACTTGTGGTTTTTAATATTGATATAGTTAGGGCTGGGCGTGGTGGCTCACGCCTGTAATCCCAGCACTTTCGGAGACTGAGGCGGGCGAATCACAAGGTCAGGAGTTCAAGATCAGCCTGGCCAACATGGTGAAATGCCATCTCCACTAAAAATACAAAAAATTAGCTGGGCGTGGTGGCAGGTGCCTGTACTCCCAGCTGCTCGGGAGGCTGAGGCATGAGAATCACTTGAACCCGGGAGGCGGAGGTTGCAGTGAGCCGAGATCGCGCCACTGCACTCCAGCCTGGGTGACAGTGCGAGACTCCGTCTCAAAACAAAATATATATATATTGATATAGTTAGAAATAGATATAGATCTGTGCATATATGTACATACATATATTACATACATATTTCCTAGCTCTGTTCACTGAGAGTCTCTAGAAGCAGTGACACCCAGTAGAAATGGGCATGTCTAGCATGTAGATCTTGATTTTAAATACTGTTTTTTGGCTGGGCATGGAGCCTCAGGCCTGTAATACCAGCACTTTCAGAGACTGAGGCGGGTGGATCACCTGAGGTCGGGAGTTCAAGACCAGCCTGACCAACGTGGAGAAACCTCATCTCTACTAAAAATACAAAATTAGCTGGATGTGGTGATGTGCACCTGTAATCCCAGCTACTCAGGAGGCTGAGGCAGGAGAATTGCTTGAACCCAGGAGAGAAGTTGCAGTGAGCCAAAATTGCGCCATTGCACTCCAGCCTGGGCAACAAGAGTGAAACTCTATCTCAAAAATAATAAAATAAAATATATAAAATAAAATACTGTATAAAATAAAATAAAATAAATCTGTTTTTCATTAAAGGGAACCAGGACTCCTTAGGAAAATTATTCCAGGTGTAGGGCTGGAATACAAAGATAAGCCTGGAACACACAGTTTATTATGCCAGAAAATAAGAATATGATTGAAGAATGTTGGAGCCATGTCAGAAGGACGCAGGAGCCAGCTTGAAAGGGGACTCCACTGATAAGAGCTGGGAAAGTTTGAGCATCAAAATAGATTATGAAAGTAATGGATTCTACCCCATAGAGTAACCCATGAGTCCATACTGATGTGGGTGGGTGGGTGGGTGTGGATGGATGAATAGACAGCATTTCCTTACAGTAGATTTCCAAAGCTGTAAGTGTTGGCAGAATGATGGAATTAGAATTATCACTATTTGGCAACCACCATAATAATGCAGATAATTATTTCAGGCAAAAGTTAGAACTAATGGATATTAAACTTAAGGGGGGAAGTTTGATGGTAAAATAGTGTTTCTGTAGTCCTACAACATACTTGTTAATTAATTAATTTATTTATTTTTTGAGATGGAGTCTCACTCTGTTGCCCAGGCTGAAATGTAGTGGTGCAATCTCGCCCCAGTGCAACCTCTGCCTCCTGGGTTCAAGTGATTCCCCTACCTCAGCCTCCCAAATAGCTGGGACTACAGGCGCTTGCCACCACACCCGGGTAATTTTTGTATTTTTAGTGGAGACGGGGTTTCACTATGTTGGCCAGGCTGGTATTGAACTCCTGACCTCAAGTGATCTGCCCGCCTCGGCCTTCCAAAGTGCTGGGATTGCAGGCATGAGCTACTGTGCCCGGCCTAACATATTTGTTAATTTAAAGGGGAAAAATAGTATTTGACTAGGGCAACCTGGGAGATGCCATCTTAAGCAATCAAAGTTAATATCAGCAGTAATGGGACAAATAGTATCTTCTAACTCCTAATATGACATGAGAAGGATACAATACCACTTTTGTGGTAGTTGTACCAAAAATACATAACCTGAATTTAATCGTGGAAAAACATTAATGAAACCCAAATTGAGGAATATTCTACAACATAGTCTCTAGTCTTTGAAAATGTTAAGATCATAATCACTGAAAGATACAGAAAACAATTGTAAGGAGATTAAATTACAGAAGATTAAAGAAACATGACAACCAAATGTGGTTTTTAATATGGAGTCAGATCCTAGACCAGGAAAAAATGTATTGTTATTATTATTACTATTTTTAAGATGGAATCTTGCTCTTGTCGCCCAGGCTGGAGTGCAGTGGTGCAATATCTGCTTACTGCAACCTCTACCTCCTGGGATCAAGCGATTCTCCTGCCTCAGCCTCCCAAGTAGCTGGGATTACAGGCGCCCATCACCACACCCAGCTAATTTTTGTATTTTTAGTAGAGACAGGGTTTTACCATGTTGGCCAGGCTGGTCTCGAATTCCTGACCCCAGGTGATCCGACCGCCTTGGCCTCCCAAAGTGCTGGGATTACAGGCGTGAGCCACTGCGCCCGGCCAAAAAAAGTACTATTATAATAAAAGTTATTATCTTACTGATGTCCTTATAGCAGTAACTATATTTTTTGCTGTAAAGGACATTAGTGGGACAATTGTTGAAATATGAATAAAGTTTATATGTATAAAGAAATTAAGTAATAGGATTATATTAATGTTAATTTCCAGACTTTAATAATTGTACTGTGGTTCTATGTGAATATCATTTTTTTTTGAAAATATATATTAAAGTATATAGGGATAAAGGGGCATTTTATATCTTCAACTTCTCTTGAAATTTTTCAAAAATAGTACTGCTGATAATTTATAGATGTGTGTGTTTATATTCATACATACATATATGTATACACATACAGAGAGATAAAGCAAATGTAAAACATTAACCTTTAGAGAATCTGGATGAAGATATATGAGAATTCTTTATACTGTTTTTGTAACTTTCTTGTAAGACTGAAACTATTTCAAAACAAAAAGGTTTTGTTTTTGTTTTTTATTTGTTTTTTAAAAAAAGGACAAGACTGGGGAAAGGAAAGTTAGGAACGATAATTATTTGGGCATAAAGAGAACAGAGGCTGGGGGCAGTGGCTCATGCCTGTAATCCCAGGACTTTGGGAGGCCAAGGTGGGCAGATCATTTGAGGTCAGGAGTTTGAGACCAGCCTGCTCAACATGGTGAAATCCCATCTCTTCTAAAAATACAAAAAATAGCTGGGTGTGATGGTGGATTCGTGTAATCCCAGCTACTGAGGCTGAGGGAGGAGGGAGGCTGAGGCAGGAGAATCGCTTGAACCTGGGAGGCAGAGGTTGCAGTGAGCTGAGATCACACCACTGCACTCCAGCCTGGGCAACAGAGTGAGACTCTGTCTCACATACACACAAACACACACACACAAAAGCAAAACAAGATATGAATAAGACAGGGTAGAACCTCCAAGAGGAACACTTACTGAACAGGGGAGCCATCTAAAAGGTTCTGGTGCACTTTTGAATATTATTCAGCTGCCAGCTGGCATGTAACCTCATATTATTATCTGCCTTACAATTCTGTATATCTGTTTTCTGTCTGTCATCCTTACTAGATTCTAAGCCTTTTGAGGGTAAGGGACATGTGCAATACCCTGCACAGTGTAGGCACTTTAATAGTTGCTGTCGAAAATATTAATTTTTTTAATTGAAAGGTATTATTGCTGCCTGTTTAAAAAAATGCTTAAACATATGCTTTAGATTTACCTTTTGTCATAGTAATGAAGAAGAAAAAGATGAATTTTTTAAAATTACACAAAAGGATGACTTATTTTTAATATTCGATGTGGAATACCATAATGGGACTTAGTGTAGGTTATTTTTAATATATGACTATTATTTTTCAAATGCAGGAAACTATACACAAAAGAAAAAGAGTATAACTTTGACTTTTTCTCAATTGTTATTTTTCTCTTTTATAATCCTCCAATATGAAACCTTTGGTATTCCTTAGGTTCTTTCTAATGTCATTTCAGATTATTAAATCAAGGCATGAATGATTGCTTAAGTACAGTTCACTCTGGATGCATAGATTGGAGAGGTGGTAGTGGTCTATTTTTAAACAAATAGTTCCATGCCTAATAGTAAAGTGAGGAATCTGTGGATGTTTAACAAAATAGTTTATATTAGTAATAATTTTATATGCAAATAGATGCTACTAATTACAACTGAGCCTTTTCTAGTTATGTAGCAGGGCTTTCACTTTGTATAATAATTAGTTGAAAAGCTAATAAACAGTGTTCTGAAATTCAGTATTTTTGCTAAATCTCTTTTCTACTCAGCAGTGGAGTGTTACATTTACATTGAAAATTGACAGTCCGATTTCTTGAAATGGTTGTTATCCTACTTTCAGTTTTCTGAGTTTCTGAAGTGAAGCTTTACTGGTCATTGTTCATGTTCACATAATAGTACAGTGTATCAAACCATCCAGCCCCCAGTTACAGAGCTGGAGATGGATGGATGAATGGATGAGGGGACTCATTTTGACTGTTACCTTGATCTGGACAGAACTGTTCCTCTCTGTCATTGGAAAATACTTTCCTACACGCTGAATGGACTACATTTTCTGATAACAGATTTTGTTTCAGGTGGACATTTTTTGTTTGTTTACATTGAAATTATCTCTTTATGCCATTCTACCTTTTCAACAGCTGGCAACATTTTTTTTCTGAGTGTCGAGAGATACTTGCTTGTACTTATATTTTCAGAGTTAAATAGTTATAGGTTATCTTACATAGGTTGCTGTTCAGATTTTTTTTAACATTTTACTTTTATAGGATAAATTCAGGTCTGATAAGAGTTTATTGAATAAAGCCGGAAATGTAGATAACTGTGTTGTTTATTCTTCTAAAATTATTATTTTTAATAGAATCGTAAGAATGATGAAGCCTCTTATGAAAAGATGTTGAAACTGAGACGAGAATTTAGTAGAGCCATAACAATTTTGGAAATGATTAAGAGAAGAGAGAAAACAAAACGAGAATTATTGCACTTAACCTTAGAAGTTGTGGAGAAAAGGTAACATTGCTCCTGTTACAACAGTAAAATGACAACTTTACCAAATGATGGGCAAAATGAACCAAAAGATTTTTAGGGGGGAACAGGTTAAGCTTTATGACAGTTGATATTGATTCTGTAAGAATTTATATTTTTTAAAGATTTGTGGTTACTAGTTTTTATAGATTAAGTTATCAATTTGGATTGCAGATTTTGGGAGAGTTTTGTGTATACTGTAGATCCTATACTTAATTTTGTTTTGGCAGAATCATTGAATTTTATTTAGTAAAGAACTCTAGTGATCATATTGTTTACTTCTCTGTATTAAATTTTCTATTAAATCTGAGGGAAATAAGTATTGATTTTATTTTCTGAGTAGGTAGACATTTTTCGTTTCAACTCCTTTTAGAAATGTGTGCTCTAATATAGTATATTTTCCTACAAAATTAAATAGACTAAACAAAAACAGAATTTTGTATGATTCCTGGAGTAAGCATTCTAAACATTTCCTAGTGCTTGATTATATAATATATGTAAGAAATTTGTTTGCTGTGTACCTTAGGCCTTTTTTAGTTTTTTGGTTTGTTTTGTTTTTACCAAATCCCTGTTTCTTTATTCCTGCAAATTTTATCTTTTAAAAGTAATTTGATTGTTAGCCCTTTTTGACTAGGTGACTTCCAATTAATTGAGGTATCACTTATTTTCCTTCTTTATTGTCAAACTATGCAATGTTTTCTTATATTTTTGTTACCTTTTCAAGATACCATTTGGGAGACTATGGTGGTGAAATCCTTAATGAAGTAAAAATCAGTAGATCAGAAAAAGAGTTATATGCCACTCCAGCAACTCTTCATAATGGAAATCATCACAAAGTTCAAGAATGTAAAACTAAGGTGAATATTGTCTGGGAAGAAGCATGTATGGATGGTAATGTTGATCAGAGGAGTTATTGATTTCTGCAGTTGTCTTAATATGGTTTGAGTAAAGAAAAAGTAATTAACGTGACTTTAGTTCTTACCATGAGCCAAGCACTTTGCTAGGAGTATTTATATACATACTGACCAATTAATCCTCATAACAACCCTTAGAGATAGTTGTTGCATCTGTGTGACTTCTATATAATAGCTAGTAAGTGGCAGATTCAAGGTTTCAGTTCAGGTCTAATAGTCCGTCATGTTCAATATGCTATCTGCCTCCCTAGGGAATAAAGGTAATTAAAGTCTAGTTATTATCACTAGCCTTAGCAAACCTTGCATTGTAATGGAAGGAATCAACACCTCAAAGCTTTCTTCATTGAGACTATTGAAAATTATTATTGTCATCATCATTTCCAGAGCCAGCATTTATCAATTGTTATCTACCTTGAGTGACTTTGAGAAAGTCCTGTAATTTCTGGGTCACAGTTTCTTCCTAATGAAAGAGCCAGACTCAGTGGTTATTTTAGTCACTTGGACTAGATAACTATATTTATTTGGTCCTCACTTGGTACATTAATTAAAGTATTTAATTGGGAAATATGAAAACTAATAAAGCCTTTAATTTTAAGGAGCATAGATTTAAATAGGAAACAGATATTGACTGAAGCTTCTAGACAATAGAGCTTTACTCTGTAGCAAAATTTTTTAAATGACCTAGGGTGTTTGTGGAAAATTCATCTTTTAAAAATGTACACAGTTCTCATTTTTCATGGGTTCATTCTTAAAGGTCAAGAAAGAGTGTGGAGCAGGAAGACTCCTTCATTCAGCTCATGTCAATTAAAACACTAAAGTTCTTTCTTATTAATCACAGGCGTCTAGCCCACCATCCTGATTCTCTCTAAATCTCGCTTGTCTCTATAGCCGAAAAAGTTATCAGTGCAAATGTCATTTTGTAAGTTATTTTTAAAAATCCATTTTGTGTCAATCAATGCTTTTCCTAGGTATGTGATTGTTAAGCATTGCAATATGAAAATCTTAACCCAGAATTACTGACAGAATCAGCCTTTATTATATATTGATTCTTATTTTAGACCTCCTCTATGAATAAATACTCAGCCTTCCTAAATACTAACTTTAGGGATTTGGTTGCATCCATTGTTGTCCTACTCCATTACACATGGTTAATTATATTTACTTTGTCATGTATCCCACTTTAAAATATGGGAAGTTTCTGAAAGTTGGGGCTTTGTTTTGATGTAATAGTTATACCTATTATATGAAAAATTTTATATCTCACTAAATATAATTTGCCTTTCAAGCAATATTTTTATTGTGTGTACTGTTTTTGACCTTAAAGTAGTTAATATCTGGACTAGATGTGGAAATGTATAAATTGTGTAGTTTGTACCTTGGTGCTTGGAACAGTCTTTTCCGACTTTTAAAGTGCTAGATCCCTTTTTATTAAAAGGAATGCCAGTATGTTAAAACAGTAACAGAGCTGCTCTGTTGAGGGGAGGTGGGGGCTGGAAACCTACCCCTTCAGTCAGTGTCTTTGCCAGATGGCCTCTCAGGAACCTCCACAGAAGCCTGGGGGACTTCAGAACGTTACTGTTCAGTTGCTGCAGTAATTATACATTCTAAAAAGTGAGGGTTTTTTTCCTAGTTAAGCTTATTTTTCTCAAAAGATTACCATCCATAGAACAGACATTTTTAAAAATTAGATCTAAGTGTAGAAATGACAGTAAACTCATGATCCAGTTGAAGATTTTAAAAAATAAAAATAGTGGTTAATTTTTATCAATACAGCAGATTTAAATAAATATTGAATTTAAATACCTTTTAAATACTGGATTACATAATAGAGCAATCCAAAAAATCACTCACATAGTTTAAAGTAGTGATAATAATGTAAAAAGCAAATTTAAATACCATAATTATTTTTCATCATAAGTTGCAGAAAGTAAAACATGTTTCAATTTATGAACACAGAATAATTTTTGCGTATTAAAAACAATAAAATCACCTCCTGGGTAAAAATGTATGTTTTTCAAAGAGCAGTATAGTTTTTCATGATTTCTAAAATGATTTTTATTTCTTCCTTTTGGGGGAAAAATCGTCATGTAAACAGCACCCTCATCATTTGTCTTTGAAAGAAGAGGCTTCTGATGTGGTTCGTCAAAAGAAGAAGTACCCAAAGAAGCCTAAAGCAGAGGCTTTGATAACATCTCAGCAACCCACTCCTGAGACATTGCCTGTGATCAATAAGAGTGACATTAAGCAATATGATTTTCACAGCTCAGATGAAGATGAATTTCCACAGGTGCTTGTTTTAAAATATTTTAAAGATATTTCTTCTTAGTATTTTATATTGCTATATTTTTAAAACAATTGCTATCTTAGAGTTTTTATTCTTGCTTTGTTCCCCTAATGTATATAGCATAAACATTTCCACAGTATTTATGTAGCCACTGAAATGGTATTTACTCTGTATTACTTTTCATCAGTTGTATAGAATTTACTCTTTTGTGGAGCGCATGGTTTTTAGTTTTTCCATTTATAAAAATGAACATAGATTTTTTCCCTCTATTTAAAATAGATTCTTAGAAATTGAATTACTAGTTACTAACCAAAAATTATCAATATTTTAAGACAGTTAATATATAATTGTAAATATTGAAAATATTCATCAACAATACTTTCCTTTTTACCACACTCCACCAGCATTGTGTTTTATAACTTTTAATGTAAACTTTGCTAATTTGTTAGGTAATGGCTATTTGATTCTAAAAAAGACTTAAAGGAACTGATTCAAGTTTTAACTCTTTGATAAATATTGCAACAGCTTTATAGAAAAATGTGTGCAATTAAAAAATATTTTTATAAGTGCTGTTTTTAAAATAAGACTTTTACTTTATATATTAAAAGATCCGGCCAGGCGTGGTGGCTCACTCCTATAATCCCAGCACTTTGGGAGGCCGAGGCAGGCGGATCACAAGATCAGGAGATCTAGACCATCCTGGCTAACACAGTGAAACCCTGTCTCTACTAAAACAAAAAAAATCAGCCAGGTGTGGTGGCGGGCGCCTGTAGTCCCCGCTACTCCTGAGGCTGATCCAGGAGAATGGCGTGCACCTGGGAGGTGGAGCTTGCAGTGAGCTGAGATCGCACCACTGCACTCCAGCCTGGGCGACAGAGCGAGACGACGTCTCAAAAACAAACAAGCAAACAAAAAAAAGATCCATTTTTTTTTTAAATATTGTGTATCACCTGCTCTAGCAATACCCTCTTTTTAAAAATAGTATGGGAAACTTAACAGAAAATACTGTAACAAAGACCTTGAACTACTACCAGCTTTATCATATTTTAACTTTTTGACTTGTTTGCTTTAAGGAAACTTTCTTTTAAAAACCAACATTATAGATATGTTTGAAAGCAAGACTGTTTATAAAACTCTTCATTGCTATAACCATTTAAAATCTGGAGTTTGCATAAAATGTGTCCATTTGGCTGGATTATATTATTTTTACTCTTTTTCACCAATTGGTTTTTCTACCCAGATAATATTCTGATAGTCATATGAATAGTATCAAATGTGCAAAGATATGCTTAATTTTATATTCCCTTCAGGAGCACTTAATGAACCCATATATTACTTTTGTCAGAGGATCATCTAGTTTGACTCAGGCAGAGCTTTGAATAGCCATGGGACATTTATCAGATGACCATTTTGAAGGAATGAGGGATATAGTGCCCTACAAAAGAGTAATTTTCCAGATAGAAAGTATAGGGAAGGGTTCTAGGCACAGCATATTAGAGGGAACTCCTAGCAGTTTCGCATTGCTGGAGCACAAAACATAGAAGAGGAAGAGGGGATGAAAGGCTTGATGCCTGCAGTAATACCCAGATGGCAGATAGCCTCTATCTACATCATACATACTGGGAAATTATTTAAAATGTTAAGTAAGAAAATGACATAGTTAGATAAATATTTGTATAATAGGCTTATATTGGTGGTACTAATGAGAGCCTAGAAAGTTTTGCTATATATTTCCAGCCCTTTAAGAATGATGCTGTAGACTGGACATTGTGGCTCATGCCTGTAATCCCAGCACTTTGGGAAGCCGAAGCAGGTGGATTGCTTGAGCCCAGGACTTGGAGACCAGCCTGGGCAACATGGTGAAACCCCATCTTTACCGAAAAAACAGAAACAAACGTAGAAAAATTAGCCAGGCGTGGTGACACATGCCTGTAGTCCCAGCTACTCCGGAGGCTGAGGCGGGAGGATTGCTCGAGCCAGGGAGATGAAGGTTGCTGTGAGCCAAGGTTGCACCACTGTACTCCAGCCTGGGCGACAGAGCAAGACCCTGTTTCAAAAAAAAAAAAAAAAAATGAATGATACTGTAGGGTGCTATGACCTACAGAAACTTTTATCGGTGGAATCAGTACATCCAGCCTGAAAGTAGAGCTCACTCAGCATAACTACTCATATGTTTCTCATGCATTAAGGGATCTTCATTTCTGCTCCAAATTCTTGCATTGATTTATATAGTTTCCAGTTCCCATACCCACATGAAAATTGCATTTTGAAACTTTTAGGTTCTTCTGATTGTTTGTATTAGGTCTTAGACAATCCTCATTAATTTTATGGTATCTCCATATTACTAAAGAGTAAGTATTAATGTTTACCTATATTTGGGCGTCATTCAGTGAGGCAGCTATTCAGAGTGTACATCTTATAAAATCAGGATTTTATTGCTGACAAGATCATTAAAGTAATCATATTTTTCTTTGTCTAATAAACCAAGAACAAGGAATAGGGAGCCTTAAGAGAACAAACATTTTAACCAGACTTATGCCACTGAATTGCAGCTGAACAGAGCTAAAACTCTGCCTCTTGATCGTGCTTCCGATTTTCCTAACATTAGCTTTGTCTTCCTATGCCTCAGACTTCTTTTGTCCCCTGGAATCTACCCCGGGGAATCGTAGTTAGGAGGAAGGGGTGATAGATTTTATACACAGAATTTCTGAGACTTTGTGACACTTCCTGTGTATATCTTAGAATAGGTACGTTATTTGCAAAGGAACCAAAGTGTAAAATTCACGTTTGGGATTTCCTTTCAAATTTCAGGTTTGAGGCTTGGTTCCCCATGAAGAAGATTCAGCCCCAGCTCACTGTTTCTGTGTCTCCCCCATAGGGTTGGTGGAGGTATATTGGAACCTCAAACAAATACCTTTCTCCCCTGGATGACCCTGCTCAGTGGTAATTACCACAGTTTGGAAATAATATGGAGAAAACATTTTTCCTCTCGAAATAGGAAGAGAGGGATTTGTGAGGTTCAGAAATTTGCAAGTAAATATGGTTGAGCCAGCGTTTATCAGAAAAAGAGATGTTCTACAAAGTGAGAGTGCGAGACAACTGAAACTTAAGTACCAAAACTTTTAAAAAAATTTTAATAATTATGGGTGGAAATTTATCTAAAACATATTATTTCCCTATCTTCAGTGTATTTGTATATTATTTAATCTGTTTTTGTGACATTTATAAAGCGTGCTCTAATAGGTCAATGCTACTGCCCTAGAAGTCCACTCAATTACATAGGGATATTTGGCCTGATAGGACATGGCCTGGGAAGAGTGCTTTCTAATATGTGACAGCTTTCTGAAAGTCTTTATTCTTTTGCTCTAGCGTTGCGGGCTTATCTCTTCTCTATAACCAATGTGCTTACTTTAGCAAGTCATTTCTCTTCTTCTTTTCTACTTCTGATCTGCTAAGTTTAAAAAGTGATTTTTGAAAAATGAGTTGGGAGATACAAGACTTTCCTTTGAATAAAACCTGGCCTTTATGGCCTTTGGGGTTTTTTTTGTTGTGGTGATTTTTTTTGGCTGTTTATAAGCTGTTTTTATGTCCTAGCTTTTGGCTTTATTACAGAGAGATAAAGTTATTGGATAAAAATACACTTAACCTATAGGTGAAGTAAATATTTAACTGTCATTAAATATTTATAGCCACATACATTATTTATAAAATATAATGGGATGTATAAAAACTGTATTAATTCTAAGACTTAGCACTTCATGTTTAGAAGCAATCAAGCAATACCAATGCCATCTAGACTTAACCTGAAAGAACTAATCCATTAAAAACAATGATTTTTAACTATAGAAAATTTTTGCTAGTCATTGAATGTTTTGGGGAATTCAGTACTTATGATATGTAATATAGAAGTGATTTACTGTTTGTGATCAGATTTACATTTTAGAGTATTACAAACATTGATCTATTGACTTTTGATAACTTCTAAATGGAATGCCTCTTTTGTCTAGGTATTGTCCCCAGTATCAGAACCGGAAGAAGAAAATGATCCTGATGGTCCCTGTGCTTTCAGAAGGCGGGCAGGATGCCAGTATTATGCTGTAAGAACTTTTGTGTGTGTGTGGTGTTTTTGTGAACTGGAATTAACAGGTAACCCATGTCAAGATGACTTAGTCTTGATCTAAAAATGGGAAATGCATCAGTACTTTTTATTTAACATCCTTTATGTGGATACTGGTAAAAGATGCTAAAAGGTACTGAGTCCTTTCAAAGGGCGTCGGAATCCTCTTCTTGGAAATTGATAATTCCTCACATTTTAGAAATTTAGGTTCATTTTGGGCTCTAATTATAGCTTCAGCAGCTGTGAAAATTACTCAGTGTGTCATTACTAGAATTAGGTAAACCCAGAATTTGTAAGTTGGTTCTAGAACCTTTGATGGCTGCTAGGTGTTTATTGAAATTTATTGTTATGCAAGCCCATCTTGTGCATACATACCAGTAAGTATCAAACAAAATAATAATTTTGTTTGATACTTCCATAATGGCAATGTTTTGTCTAATAATTGTATTCATAACTTTTTGACACACCTAGAAGTTGCTTTATGCTATGAAGTCGCATTATATCACTCTCCAAGGTTCTCAATGAGATATAATGTAGCATTGTGAGGATGGCTTTGACTTTCTTATATGGCTTGTAGAGATCATTTATCTTGCTATATAATGGTAAGCATACACTGACAGCTTTTTTAGAGTGTGTAAATTTAGGAGAGGTGGAGATTTGTTTACTAGTTATGTTGATGAGAGAAGGGAAAATTCTTAACGAAAGGGGACAGACAGCATGATAAAATGATGAAGGGAATGGGAAGGCAGGGAACAGCTTGTTTGTTTCTTTATATTTATTTATTTACTTATTTATTTCTTTTAGAGACAGGGTCTTGCTCTGTCACCAAGGCTGGAGTGCAATGGTGCAATCATACAGTTCACCGTAACTTCAAACTCCTGGGCTCCAGTAGTCCGCCCACCTCAGCCTCCTGGGATTACAGGCGCATACCACTACATGCTGCTAATTTTTGTAATTTTTGTAGAGATAGGGTCTTGCTACGTTGCCCAGGCTGGTCTTGAACTCCTGGTCTCTAGTGATCCTCCTGTCTTGGCCTCCTAAAGTGCTAGGATTACAGGCATGAACCACTGCATCCTGCTTGGATGTGTGTTTCTTAAAAGTAAAGAGGAAGCTTCAGTTTGACCCCATAGTGTTTGAAGTGCAATTTTTAGTCCAAAAAATATTCTTTCTGGTTTCTCAGTAGGAAGCCTACAAATTACTATGTAATTTCACCATCTCTACTTTGTACACAAATGTTAAAAGCTGCATTATTTTTAACTATATATTCCTTTTTAAGTATAATAGACCCTAAATGAATTTATATTTACAAACTAAATTCAGTTTTGGTAATCTTGGTGAGTGAACTTTTGATTCAATTTTGTAAAATTTAACCTGATTAATAGTCAATGAAGCCCCACTTTTACAGTTTTATATCTAGATTTTAATTGTTCTGCTAATGTTGCAGTTACTTCATGTTTATCATGATCTAACCTGTCTTCATTTCAGATTTACTCCATGAGTTTTTTGTTTTTTGTTTTTTCTTTCTTTGCAGCCTCGTTTGGACCAAGCTAACCATTCATGTGAAAATTCAGAATTGGCAGATTTGGATAAGTTGAGGTATAGGCATTGCCTTACAACACTTACAGTCCCAAGAAGATGTATAGGATTTGCAAGGAGGCGAATTGGCAGAGGTGGAAGGTGAAGTATTTGTTTTCACCTGGTTTTTGTTTGCTATCTGGAACAGAAGACAAAGAGAACATGTTCAGCTCTCTCAGTTAATATTTGGTTTTATTTTGCTTTTCAGGGTCATAATGGACCGAATATCCACAGAACATGACCCAGTCCTGAAACAGATAGACCCTGAAATGCTGAATAGTTTTTCAAGCTCTTCCCAAACTATAGACTTTTCTTCTAATTTCTCTCGGACCAATGCTTCCAGTAAACATTGTGAAAATAGACTGTCTCTTTCTGAAATATTAAGCAATATCAGATCATGTCGACTACAGTGTTTCCAGCCAAGGCTACTAAATTTACAGGACAGTGATAGTGAAGAATGTACCTCAAGAAAACCAGGGCAGACTGTGAACAATAAAAGAGTTTCTGCAGCATCTGTAGCTTTATTGAACACCAGCAAGAATGGCATATCAGGTAAGCTGTTGCTGTGTTAAAAGTATATCCTGCTATTCTTTTTTACTTAATTTTATTGGGAAAGGAATTTTATCTTAACCTACTTAATTTTTTTTCCAACCTAAGAAACAAAATTGTTCTGTTCTGTCTCACATTTTAACCAAATTGTCCTAACTAGTACTGTAAAACCACTGACATCTGTTTCGGGTGTGTGCCTGGTACGGTAAATGTAGGCAGAATGCATACAGAGTTCCCTGTGGCCACACTGCTTATAAGCTGCCACCAGATCATCACAGCACAGTACTATCTGCTGCTTATGTTAAAGGTAGTTTTCATTTTGGTGCGTAAACTTTCATTAAATGTAACCATTGCTCCTTGAGAGTACCTTTGAAAACTCTTGCTGAAAAATGAATTTTAGGAGACTCCCTGTGAATAATTTTTTTTTTTTTTTAGATGGAGTCTCGCTGTGTCGCCCAGGCTGGAGTGCAGTGGCTTAATCTCAGCTCACTGCAACCTCTGCCTCCCGGGTTCAAGCGATTCTCCTGTCTCAGCCTCCCAAATAGCTGGGACTACAGGCGTGCACCACCACGCCCAGCTAATTTTTGTATTTTTAGTAGAGACAGAGTTTCGCCATGTTGGCCAGGCCAGTCTCGAAATCCTGACCTCAGGTGATCCACCTGCCTCAGCCTCCCAAAGTGCTAGGATTACAGGCATGAGCCACTGTGCCCGGCCCCTATGAATAATAATTTTTGTCCAATAGCTTACCTCTAGTTAAATCAGGAAGTTTTTTCATTTTTAAGAAATGTATTCAGGTTAATTTAATATTTTTATGACATGTACATTGTAAATAATGTATAATATCTAGAGAATCTAGGGTACACTTTTGATTTGTTTTCTTCTGTGGTCTCTTTATCACATGTATGCAAGTATGTATAATTTATAGATATCTTTATACATTGTATATATGCATTGTATCCCAAGACTAAAATAGATGTGGCTTGACTTACACTGTTGATACCATTTTTTTCTGTATGTATTTCTAAATTATTTCCTGGATGATGCATTCTAGGATGTGAAATTATCATCTTAAACTTCTTTAAAGTGATCATAAATCACTTTAGCTTGAAATTTGGTCTCAATAATGTTCAGTCTCTTTTAGCTACTGAACTGCCTGTTTTCCAACTTGACTCGTACAGTGATTTGTTTAAAGGTTATAATGGAAAATTGGATTTGTTTGAATGATTAGAAATTGGCATATCATTTATCCAAATTGGTTGGTTAATTTTCTCCTAAACAAACTTAAGTAAGGAAAATGGCCTCCCATTATATAAAGTTCATGAGTCTGTGAAGTTGAAAGAGTGCTTGAAGCTGAAATGGATGAATGCGTAATATGATTTGAGGCTGCAGGATTATTAGAAATCTAAAGATAGTAGAAAGTTGACAAATATTAAATCAAATCTTTTTTCAGCCAGCTCTAAGACAAAGTTCCAATTTATTTAACTAAATGGGAATTCCTGTACTAAACATTCTCAAAATAATTTTTCCCAAAAAGAGAGTTTAAAACATATCATATAGAGGCATTTATAATTACATTTGACCATAGGCTGATTGTCTTCTCTGCTGATGTATACCACATTAAAAAATGATTTTAATATCTTCCTTCTCAACGTGAACATTGTCAGATATTTGCAGCTTTCTCCTATACATTCCAGATTAACTCTAGATTTAACTTGACTTTTTTCCAGAAAGTGTATATATGTTGTATATATTGTTATATCATCAATACAACATATGTATTGGTCCAAAATATAACTTAATATGACTTAAATAGTTCCATTATAATCACCTCTATAATCCTATGACACTACCATACAACATAAAATAAGCATTTAAACTGTTATCTTAGGCGTGCATGTACTTCTCAGGGAATTTAAGTCACAAGTAATCAGTGTTAACATCATAGACAACAAGTTTTTTTGTATTCTTACCTTTACCTTACCATTAGAAAAAAATAATCTTTTTGGTCTGTGTGATTTTTCCTATCTAAAATTTTTTAATATCCTCAATACAGTACCATTTCTTTCTTCCCTTAAAAAATTTTAAGGCTTAAGCAACAAGTAAGGTACATTAGAATTCAGTGTTTTGAAATAAGATCTATCTTATTTAATAATTTATTCTTAGAGTAAAAGATTTTGTTTGAACTCATTCTTCTTCACTGACTGTGACCCCTCTAGTCACTGGGACCACAAGATTTTTTGTTTTCAACAGATGTCTTTTGTTTTAAAATAATAGGCATGGCAATATAAATACATAATGAAAAAAGTTTTTTAACAGCATTTTTTAAAATAATTGAAACCATAATTTAATGATTTATATCAGTTACATTCATTATATAGATTTCTTAGTTCTGGTTAGATAATTTTAAGTGAATTCAGTTACAGTTCCATGAATGTGGATAGGAATTTCCTCATCTACCTAAATAGAAGGATGAGGGAGTTTTAGAAAGCTATATTTTTACTTTTGATGGATATATACAAAAGAATGGGATCCTCATGTGTTTGGTTTTTCTAATCCATGCGTCTTGAACACTTTTTCCTTCTGCTTGTTCTTAGTGGGCTTGGTCATGAGAGCACAGTTGTTTTTAAGAGTAATAAGACAAAAAATAAAGGAACAAGACTAACACAGGATTATACTTTTCCCTAGCAGAGAATAACACTGAGCTAAACAGATTATTAGTACTGAATTGTCCATTTCACAGCTGGGAAATCCCAGCAAATGAAGCGTTTAATGAGAAATAGAAACATAATGCACTTTATTTATATCACCAGTTCCTTAGTTCTTAAACAAAAATTAAAAAGAGGGCTGCATCTTATGTGGAATTGAGGGCTAGTGGCAAATAGTTTTCTCTTAAATGTTGTTAATATAAACCCTGATTAACGTTTTCCATGTCATAACCCATGTGTCCAAAATATATTCTAGGCCGGGCGTGGTGGCTCACGCCTGTAATCCCAGCATTTTGGGAGGCTGAGGCAGGTAGATCACTTGAGGCCAGGAGTTCGAGACCAGCCTGGGCAACATGGCAAAACCCGGTTTCTACTAAAAATACAAAAGTTAGCCGGGTGTGGTGGCACGTGCCTGTAGTCCCAGCTGAGGGAGGAGGATCTCTTGAGCTCAGGAAGTAGAGGCTGCAGTAAGCCAAGATCCTGCCACTGTACTCCAGCCAGGGTGAGACCCTGACTCAAAAAAAAAAATATATTTTATATATATATATATATGCATGTACTATTTGTTATCTTTTATATACTTGAAGGAAAATTGAAAAGTGTATCCTAGATGTTAGAACTAAAACTAAAGACTTTTCATTTGAAAGCAGAGATGTGTTTTGTTAACCTTTAAGTAAAATAAAGGTATATTCTCTTAATTGAAAAACACTTCTCAGGGCCAGGCGCGGTGGCTCACGCCTGTAATCCCAGCACTTTGGGAGGCCGAGGCAGGCGGATCACGAGGTCAGGAGATTGAGACCATCCTGACTAACACGATGAAACCCCGACTCTACTAAAAATACAAAAAAAATTAGCCAGGCGTGGTGGTGGGCGCCTGTAGTCCCAGCTACTGGGGAGGTTGAGGCAGGAGAATGGCGTGAACCCGGGAGGCGGAGCTTGCAGCAAGCCGAGATCCTGCCACTGCACTCCAGCCTGGGCAGCAGAGCGAGACTCCCTCTCAAAAAAAAAAAAAAAAGAAAAGAAAAAGAAAACCACTTCTCAAAGAGTAAAAGCAGGATAAAGAATAGATTGATTGTGGTGAACATGACAATTGAGTAACCAAGAGAAATTAATTTCATACATTATTTAGTATCTGTTATATGCGAAACACTGTGTTAAATGTTTAAAAGTTGCAAGGTCTTACAAGACAATCCTTACCTTCAAGGAACTTAATTAATAGCACATGCAAATATTACATTCTTCATATAAACGGGATAATCCTTTGAAATTACAGTATTATTTAACTGTTCTTTGAAATGATGTTCTTAAATCCAGAACTCAAGAAAATGCATTTCATATCTAAAAGTGCTTTGCTTTTTCAGATTTGAAAGGACAGATTAATTTACATTTAGTTTTAGTTTTCTCTAATGCATGGTTGCAAATTAACATAATACTTTTTTCTTTTCTTACCTGTCATAATATACAGAATAGATACCAGCAGCCTTTCTGACCAGCTTTAAATATCTTTAAATATTTAAATATTTAATTATTTAAATTAAATATCTTTAATTAAATAAAATCTTTAAATAAAATTAAATAAAATTAAATTTAATTTAATTAAATAAAATTAAATATCTTTATTAAATAAAAAATTAAATATCTTTAAATATCTTTAAATATTTAAAGAAATATTACCAATTTCTTTTCTTTTTTTTTTTTTTTTTTTTGAGATGGAGTCTCACTCTGTTACCCAGGCTGGAGTACAGTGGCACGATCTCGGCTCACTGCAAGCTCTGCCTCCCGGGTTCACGCCATTCTCCTGCCTCAGCCTCCCAAGTAGCTGGGACTACAGGTGCCCACCACCACACCTGCCTAATTGTTTTTGTATTTTTTTAGTAGAGACAGGGTTTCACTGTGTTAGCCAGGATGGTCTCGATCTCCTGACCTCGTGATCCGCCCGCCTTGGCCTCCCAAAGTGCTGGGATTACAGGTGTGAGCCACCGCGCCCGGCCAATATGACTAATTTCCAAAATCATTAAGTTTGTACAGTTTTCCAAGAGAAATTCCTGTTTTAATTTCTTCAGTTTCTCTTCCCATTCATTCTTAAATTGTCATAAATGTTTGCAACTATGATAGTTTTAGGATTGATATAATGTGATTTAACATCTAGCTAAGGGTTAGGGTTGCTTCCAGAAGTGAGAAACGGATTCAGACCTAAGGGATTAAAGTATTTTAGTTTGACTATAAAAGGAAATAATGAAATTTCAATTGTAAATATTTGGCTTGGGTTTCAGAAGTTTAAATGGATTTTTAGTCTTTCTTCATTATCCTCACATCTGTTTGTTCTTCATTCCCCAACCCCCCTTATCTTTCCTCTCCCCAAAGACTCAGTTGATTTGTTAGTTTGTCTTTCACTGTAAGAGTTACATTTGTAAGATGTATATAGTCCTGGAAAGGTCATGTCAACCCTCCTGGATATGTTTGTCAGCAGAGTAGCACCAGTGGTTTATATGAACTTTCATCTGACTTCCTATTCTAACCCAGAGGATTTGATGTAAGATCCCTCTCTCTACCCTTTAATCCTGCCCCAGACCTGCCCTTTAAAACAGACAAAAATTGCATATAGTCAGCATATCTTTGAGAAAGCATATACCAAAACTCTTGTAACACTGGGTATAGTGACTCACCTCTGTAATCTAGCACTTCGTGAGGACAAAGTGGGAGGATGGCTTGAGGCCAGGAGGTTGAGAACAGCCTGGGCAACATAGCAAGACCCTGTCTCTCTCTCTTTTTTTTTTTTTTTTTTTTTTGAGACAGAGTCTTGTTCTCTCGCCCACACTGGAGTGCAATGGCACGATTCCGGCTCACTGCAATCTTCACCTCCCAGGCGAAGCAATTTTCGTGCATCAGCCTCCCAAGTAGCTGGGATTATAGGCACGTGCCACCACACCCAGCTAATTTTTTTATTTTTAGGAGAGACGGGGTTTCACCATGTTGCCCAGGCTAGTCTTGAACCCCTGACCTCAGGTGATCCACCCACCTTGGCCTCCCAAAGTGCTGGGATTACAGACGTGAGCCACTGCACCCAGCCAAAGACACTGTCTCTTAAAAAAGAGAAAAAAAAAGAAAAGACACTCTTGTAACAAAGACTGACCTGGTAGATGAAGAAATACTAGATGATGTATTCTTTTTGACTTTTAAATAATCTTTACTACCAAATTAGGTATTCCTCATTAAGCTATGAAAATTTGGTCTAGGCTAGTATTTGAAAAATTCATGACTTCCCAAGAATACATCTTAGCCCAGTTTAAGAAACACTGCATTAAAAGTTAAGAGATGATGAAAAAACAAAGGCACAAGCACAAAAATCCTGTGTTCCTACTCTGTTATGGGATGATGATCCAGAAGATCCAGAGTGTATTTCTGTTTAGATTGTTCTTTTTGTTTGTCAACAAAAAATCTTTGTTAGTTAACAAAGATTTCCCATATACTCAAGAATACCTGTGGGCACAAGCTTGAGAAGCAGGACCTAAAGCTTTATAATCATTATGTTAGTGTAAAATCTGTGGAGGTACCCAGAGTATGTTTTTAGTTGATCACTAAAAAGTCACCCTAAGCAGAGCACCATACAGGAACCACACACCTAAAAGGCAAAGGATGAAATGAGGGATGGCTGGGACCTTTGAAAACAGTCTGCTTTCCAAGGATGGTGACAGATACCTAAGAAAAGGCATATGGATTTATCTGAGGAATAAAAGTAGACTGGTAATTACAAGATAGATAATGAATCAGATTTGTAGAAGATAGCCAGAAAGGTGAGGGGCTTTCGTGAAAAACAGACTGTTCTGTATACAACATATCTAGAAATGCAAGTATGTTACTAACGTCCTGAATGACATATTTGGGTATATAAAAGGGAAAATCCTGTAACAAGTATGCCAAATGTGTTATATAGAATGTGTTACCTAGGAAGTTTTGCAAAACATTTTACTTAGGGAAAGGAATGCTTCTCATCTATCTGGAGTATTGAAATACTCCTACCTTCACAAAACAATCAGATTTATGGTTACTTTTAAATTGATGAGACTTGTGGGCATGTGGTGAGATAAATTTATGACCAGCATGAATTTCACTTTTAAGCTAGCAACTTAAGATCAACTAGTGAAAAGAACTTGGCTTGGCCCTAAGCAAGAGAAGCAGAGAATCTCAGTTTCCCTTTTGTACATTCCCACTTGCCCATGGTGCCACGATCACCTCACCCAAAGCTGGGTCTCTATCTTGTATCTCATTCTGAAACAGATTTGTTCACTCTATAACTATTACCTCTTCCCGATGTACTTTGATGTGTGCCTCTTGTAATCCAAAGCAATGTAAGAAATCTCTTATGAATGTATTTCAGTAACTTATGAAAGAAAAAATAACTAGTAGAGAAAGTGCTTTCAATCAAATTTCTGCCACCTGCCCCTGCCCCCCCGCCCACCACCAGTAAGTAAACCCTGAGAACCCTGAGAATTGCAATTCAATATTTTGTCCATCCTATTAAAACTATGCATTTCATACCACTTTTCCTCCTCCCTGAAATAATAAAGGAGTTAGAAAGGATGTTTTGTATGTGTTCCAATTTTGTGTCATTGATTACTATTGGCAATTTTTGTCTAAAGTTTTGAAGTAATAATAAACAGTGCTCTAGAAAATTCTGAATGAGGAAAATCAGCTTGTTTCAAGCACAGAATACCTTACTTAATAATAAAGAGCTAGATGTCAAGAATGGATATAACATATTGAGATTGAGGTGAGGGGGAAAAGAAAAAAATGAATGTAATTTTTTAAAGCATATACATATAGAATTAAATTTGTGTCAGTGATTCTCAACCAGAAATGGGATCAGAAATGAGAATTTTAGTATCAAAATCCACCTAGGTTTAAAAAGGTTAAGAAACACTGACCATTAATCTGAATAATTTGGATTGCAACCAGATTGGGATTTTCTGAGTTTTCTATGAGGAGAAAAGAATAAGGTTCCTGAGCAAATTAATGGTCTCAAGAAGACAGGACAGTAAATGGAGACACCCCAAAAAACAGCTAGTTTTATCTGTTTCCGTTTTTAATATGTACACAAATGATCATGGTTCATAAAAAGAAGTGGAACACAGCTAGTTGGCAATATTTTGTTATCTATGGTCTACCAACCCAAAAAATATTTTTTGTTGTTTATAAAAAGTAGCAATTTGGGCTGGTCACAGTAGCTCATGCATGTAATTCCAGCACTTTGGGAGACTGAGGCAGGAAGATCATTTGCAGCCATGAACTGGAGGCCAGCCTGGGCAATGTAATGAGACCCTGGGTATACAAAAAATTTCTAAAATTAGCCAGGTGTGATGCCATGCACCTGTAGTTCCAACTACTCAGGAGGCTGAGGCGGGAGGATTGCTTGAACCCAGGAGTTCAAGGCTGCAGTGAGCTATGATTGCACCACTGCCCTCTAGCCTGGGCAATAGAGCAAGACTCTGTCTCCAAAAAACTGTTCCTTCTACTAATTTAGATATATACTTTATTCTGAATTAGTAAGATTTTATCAACTGACTTAAAAGATTTTAGAAAGAAGAAAAAATTCTCATTCTTGTTTCTCTCTCAATTTTGAAATAGTAACTGAAAGTATATATCCTTATTTGGCTTATTCCTCACTTAATGTTAATCACTGTGCCTCTCACCTTTTCACCAGAACATAAAGCTCAACTCTGGACACACTTGACACTGGACTTAAGGACTGTTGTAATAATACCAGATTCCAAGTCCATTTCTTTTGAATTGGTGCACTGTACACATGGGACTTAAACAGATTTATTTGGGTTTAATTTAAGATTTTTCTTTCTGCCTTTGTATCTAATAAACTATTTTTCATCTCTTTCCCCAAGGTTTTCAAATAGCTGGAAATTCATGAATACTTCACATTTTCATTTGAGTTTGAAGATTATAAATTTAGAATTTAAAAAAAATTTTTCATTTAAAAATAGAACACTTGCAGTGAATTTAACATGTGCAAAGAAAGACATTTGATTTTGTTGGTAATTCAGTAAGATAACTAATGTGTACTTCAAAAATACAGGTAATATAAAATTTTGGAGTGAGCACTGTAATAGCCCCCAGTTTTGAGTCTTTTAAAAATAAAGTTGCTATCTAAGAACTGTTTTCCCCTTATAGTCCAATACAAATTTTAATGGTAATATTGTGGAACAGAAATGAGAGTGTATCTAAAGCTTTGTTCATTTCTGGGGCATAACTCCTTTTTCATAGAAAATAGACTGTACTAGGCATAACTTGTTATATCTAATTTACCATAAAAAAATTTTTTTGATTATTCATGTGTGATCCTATTCAACAGAAAACTTGGGAGAGTTAAGTAAGGTAGATTGAGGCTATAGTTGCCAGTCTAAACTCCTTTAGGTCATATTGATTAGATCACTCAATTGCATGTAAATGTTGATTCATTAATTGGTATTTCTTATGTCTGTCTTTTCTTCCCAACTACATTCCAGGACTTTGTAACAGAGATCCTTTTCTTATTTTCCCCTATATTCACTGTGACTCTTAGTGCAGCATTCTGCATTATAGTAGATAGTAAATATTTGTTGATTGAAATCATTGGGAGAAAGGATAGCAAGCAATAAAGAAAACAGAGCAAAATTACTCTAAAGTACATGTATTATCATGTCATTTAATTTTTCTTGACTCTAATATTATAATGACTTCCATGGAAATGTCTTTGTGTTCTCTAAATCAACTTATCAGTGATCTACTTAAATATCAACGAATGAAATTTTGTTTACATTTCTTTGAGAAAAGTGGTTTCTGTAACTTAGCTGATTTTTTCAACAAAAGTTGTAGATGTCTTGTTTTCATTTGAAACACACTTTTAACACAGTTGGTCGCAGTAGAATTTACTACATCTGAGGATACATAGTATCTTCAGTTTTCTGAATACTTGTCTGATTTCTAGCCCATATTTTTATAGATGGATTTACTTTAGGCGTTGAATCTATTGGCTTAAACTATGGTTTGTGGTTATGTTAGATGAATGTTGTTCTCTACTTTGATTTGTAATCAGAGAATAAAGTATTTTCACTTCAGTGTTTTATGAAACCAGCAGTAAAAATCATTTATAGTCTTGCAGATGGTCCTGCTTTCTTATTAAGGCTATAACTTAGTCATCATTATTATTAACATGAATAAATCAAAGTTTTTTTCATTACATGCTCTCCATAATATAGAGAATTAAGAGTGGTCTCAAAGATACTAAGTCTGAATAAATGGTAAAATACTCATGTTAGAACTGTATTATTCAACAAAAACTACATTTAGGCACTTTTCTTAGCATGTGATGGAGATTATAAATACAAGCATACACCACACTTGCTGGAAGATTTGCCATTTTCATTAGATTATTTTCTGATATTCCATATTGTAATTTGTAATTGCTTTCATCTTAATTGTGGAATAAGTTTATATCATATTCTGCTTGTGTTATTAAAAATCTTTTAAAACGTACTCATTTCCAAAATTCATGTTCTTTACCAGTAACAGGGGGTATCACAGAAGAGCAGTTTCAGACACATCAGCAGCAGTTAGTTCAGATGCAAAGGCAGCAACTTGCCCAGCTTCAGCAGAAACAGCAATCTCAGCATTCCTCGCAACAGACACATCCAAAAGCACAGGTAAACTGCTCTTTTCGTCATAGTTACGTTTGTTTCTTTCATCATTATGTAGTTTTATTCCATTTTAGTCAAGTCACAGAAGATAATCTTGGTTTTGCCACTCTTGATTTGGGGTCTGTAACCTGAATTTCTTTTCAGTTAATGTACGTAATTTTAAGTGACTAGCTTATAAACTAATCTCTTAATATTTTGAGAAGAGTGCTGGAGCCAAATATGGTATTTTAAATTTTTTGAAGGGTTGTTGAGAATTTATAGAAGTAATTATATATGTAGTTGTAAGAATCATTCTCCACCTCCACTCCCCCAAAGATTTTTTTGAAAGATAAAACTTTCCTAACCACTTCCTAAACTATGTGTTTAAGTGCATGTGGATGTGCTCCATGAGCTGGGCAGTAATTCAGTTGAATTGTGCAATACATCAACAGCATAACCCCTTGCCATTGTGAATCACATTTCCCTGTTGAAGAAAATTGCAACCAGGCACGGTGGCTCATGCCTGTAATCCCAGCACTTTGGGCGGCCGAGGCGGGCAGATCACTTGGGGTCAGGAGTTCAAGATCAGCCTGGTCAACGTGGCAAAACCCTGTCTCTACTAAAAATACAAAAACTAACTGGGCATGGTGGTGAATACCTGTAAGCCCAGCTACTTGGGAGGCTGAGGCATGAGAATCGCTTGAACCCTGAAGGTGGAGGTTTCAGTGAGCTAAGATCGCACCACTGCACTCCAGCCTGGGTGATAGAGTCAGACTATGTCTCCAAAAAAAACAAAAAAAATTAATTAAAATTTTTTAAAATGAAGAAGAAAATTGCCACTAGGGGAAGTTGTTTGTAGACACCACTAAATAAAGATGCTAGAGATAAGAATAAAAATACTTCATAAAACCATAATTGCCAGAAGGAACCAGCCCTGCCAACACCTTGATTTTAACCCCATAAGCTTCATTGTGGACTTCTGGCCTGCAGAACTATATGATAATAAATTTTTAAGCCACTAAAAGCAAAACTAAGAAATCTATTTCAAATTTGAACCACCTGAAAAACATAAACCTTGCGTTTTAGGTCTTAAGTTTTATTGCTCTATAATTCTAAAACCACTTCTAAAGTAATAACTGAGGTTTACTCAATTTTGGTTATATTTTGTGAGCTCTCAGGCTAGAATCTGCCCATTGTAGTTCAGCCCATTCTCAAAGGGTCAGTACACTGACTTTAAAGATCCTGACTCCAGTAACATGAAAATCTCAGTGACCCTGGAATGCAACACTCCTGTGACATCCAGGTGGATCTGGGACTTGCTCAAGGACTAGGGCTGTAGGACTTAGTAACTAGGACTTAGTAACCAGTTTTATACAGAATCAAGGAGGAATGGCCATTTAACTTTACTTTGTTTGCTTTTTCTGAGTCTCCTGGTTAACCAACCAAAAGTATTTTCATCCTATTTCAGGGTTAGGCCAAGATAGGTTTTCACATTGTGACAAAAATGTCTATTAATCATCTCTATGATTTCATTTTATCCAAGTATGTAGTTTTTCAAGCATTTTTAAAACCATTCATTAATATTTTTTGGAAAAATTAATAGAACATTAAAGCCTTGGGTTATTTAATCTCTAGTTCTTTCTCAGAAATAACTTCTCAGTTTTTGTTCGTTTCCCTGCTTCATATGCCAAAAATCATCTATGGAATCGTAGATCGCTTAATCTAAACACTTGTAATTGTTCAAGGTTAGAAAGGCAACAGCCTCTTGGGTTTGCCCCATCCCTTAATATGTTCATAAAATCACATCTAAAAATTAGAGTGTTTAACTTTGTTCATTTTATAGGGCTCAAGCACCTCTGACTGTATGTCTAAAACACTTGACTCAGCCAGCGCCCACTTTGCTGCATCTGCAGTGGTCAGTGCACCTGTTCCAAGTCGCAGTGAGGTAGCCAAGGAACAGAACACTGGCCACAACAACATAAACGGTGTTGTCCAGCCTTCAGGTACAGCTGGGGTTTCACATGGTACCTACTTTCTTGAAGTTGTAACTCAGTGATTGGGAGTTTGTTTTTTGTTTTTTTATCCAAGGGGAAAATGTGTATAAGTCAATCAGGACTCTTTAGGATTTCTTTGGAAAGATAGTGGGAAATAGGTAGATGTTTTCTAGAATTCATGTAGAATCTACTCCTTGTTTTCTCCCTCATCCATTGAATACATACCTGTGTAACATTCTACCCTTCCTGGTTTCATTCACATACTGTCAGTTGCCTCACATCTTAGGAAATCTGTTGAGCTAACCATCCCCATTGAATCATGCATGCATTGATAAAAAAGTGAAAGATAATCCAGGACAGTAATAAATTGGAAATCAGATTTGCCTTCCCACTCTTACATACTGCTCATAGGCATACTAACTCTGGCTCCCGCTCTTTAGATAGAGTATTGCTGTGAAACCCTGTGTGCTTCTTAGTACCCTGAGTCCGCAAAGACTTGTTATTCCTATCATCCTTCAACTACCTCTCAGACCCTAGGATTTTCCAGTTGCTTTTATATATACCCATGAACCTGATTGTCCATTTTTACTAATATTCATGCATGTGTACATACTTAGGGAAACCCAACTGTCATTTCCATCTGTCCTGTTATACTTAACTCCACAGTTGCCAGATACAGGCAGCAGAATACTTTGCAAAGCCGTTTTATGTAGACCAGTAGAAAGAGGGTGTTTTGGGGGTTGTAGCAGATTAGTACATTCTACTTAGTGATCAGAAGCTCCCTTTGGAGAGACCAGTGTGTGAAAAGTTAACTTGGCATTCAATTCAAATACAAATGTTCGTATTTATTTTATTAAGCTTCTAAAAATAGTTGTATTGATGTCTCATGATACTAGTTGAATGACTTCTTTCTTTTTCAGGAACCTCTAAAACATTATACTCCACCAATATGGCTTTATCATCCAGCCCAGGGATTTCAGCTGTACAGCTTGTAAGGACAGTTGGCCACACCACTACAAACCACTTAATCCCAGCATTGTGCACAAGCAGTCCTCAGACACTTCCCATGAACAATTCCTGCCTGACAAATGCAGTGCACCTCAATAATGTCAGTGTTGTTTCTCCAGTCAATGTGCATATCAATACACGGACTTCAGCACCATCGCCAACAGCCTTAAAACTTGCCACAGTTGCTGCCAGTATGGACAGAGTGCCAAAGGTTACTCCCAGCAGTGCCATCAGCAGCATAGCAAGGTGTGTGTGTGTGTTTCAGTGATTTTTCTCCCTTTGTGCTGGCTGTCCTGTGGGAAGAAAAAGACTTTTTTTTACACTGCTCAAGCAATAGGTGTTTATTGACAGACTTGATTTTCAATAGATACTGAAGATCTGTATAAAGCTCTGTGACTTAGGTATTTGTTTAAGGTGCCTAGTAGGATGCTTAAATGCCAACCTAGTAGGATTGTTAGAGAAAGACAGAGTAGTAGTAGAGAGAGAGAGAGAGAAAGGAAAAGAAAGAAAAGGACATCCAACTGTCAAACACATCAGAGTCTATGTTAGAAGCTTCAGTTACTCTTCCCCCCACTGCCCGCCCCACCCCCGAGATGGAGTCTTGCTGTCTTGCCCAGGCTGGAGTGCAATGGCGCAATCTCAGCTCACTGCAGCCTCCGCCTCCCAGGTTCAAGCGATTGTCCTGCCTCAGCCTCCCAAGTAGCTGGGATTATAGGCACATGCCACCATGCCTGGCTAATTTTTGTATTTTTAGTAGAGACGGGGTTTCACCATGTTGGCCGGGATAGTCTCAATCTCCTGACCTGGTGATCCACCCGCCTCAGCCTCCCAAAGTGCTGGGATTACAAGTGTGAAGTTCCTCTTGTATTAATGTTTTATAGTTTAGGCAGTCTGGAAGATGGGAGTTGTTATGATTAACTCCATGCCAGAGTTTAGGTTTCACATCCAAATTTGTGTTTTCTTTAGCGTCATACACAAAGGGAAAGTAAATTACCTTATTTACTTTTATGGATTACTACGGACATCCATAGTATATTTTAGAATGTTTTTATATTTCTTTCTATGACACTAATACAAGGAGAACAATGAATCAGAAAAAAATTGATTTGCATAGGTTAATAAATACATGATCTTAAGCCTATAGAATTAAACTCTAATGGAAAGTAATTTCAGTAATATTGTGCTCCTAATGATTATTCTTTTTGAGTGTCATATGCTTCATCTCTCGAGAAAAAAAAAAGAAAAACTTGGTTTGTCCTGTGATACATATTTCATAAGTAATTTCTCATTGGCTTCTACTGAAATGCCATGTTAAATTATTATCTTTCCTAAGTAAATAGCCATAATAAAAAAATTAGGAATTAATGGAATTTCTGAGCTGAAGAAAAGTTTTTCTCATTCCTATCTAGAAATGGCAAAAATGGGAATTGTTCTTGTGAAGTCATGTTTAGTTGTAATTATGTAACAATGTTTTTGTAAAATACTAAATGGTAACGTCATGTTCTAGAGAGTATTGATATTTATTTTATCCTTTGCCTTATTACCATAGAGAGAACCACGAACCAGAAAGATTGGGCTTAAATGGAATAGCAGAGACAACAGTAGCTATGGAAGTGACATAACCTAAAACACGTGGCTCTGACCTGTGCTGATGGTGTGCAGTCATTCATATTCCAGCTGAATGCAAAAGGCAACACTCTGTGGATCACAGAGTGTAACAATGGACCTAAATGGACTATAGTATATTGGATGTTAAATCCATATATGATGTATATTTTGTAAAATTGGGAAAATCACTACCTTGTAAAATAGTTTATTTGTATCATCAATATTATTTCTGTTACTTGAATAGTAGATATTCATCATCATGCTTTTGCACTTGAATTTGCAACTGAATGGATTTTAAAAAATAATTCTTTAATGGGATCATGAGCATGAAATGGGATCCTGCATCACTTGTTTTAACTATTTATTTTGCCATGTTTACATTTTGTATCTTGTAAAAATAAATCCAACTTTGTGTCTAAAAAGTTAAAGATTCATAGCTAGGAAATGAAATTCTTGTAATTTTTTTCTAAAGGAACTGTAAAGTTTTCACTTGGTTCATTTTGTTTCACAATTTGACTAGATGGACTTTTTGGTAAATACTTTAGTGGCATTTCACTGTCAAATATGAAGTTCAAGGCAAAATAGTATTTTCTATTACTGTGCAGGGGAAAGGGATGGATCGATACATGCAAATTTAATGTAGTAACTCACTTTTCCATATATTTTGAATGTATATTTCTATTTATGATACCAATTTATAAAAAATAATTACACAGAAAAAATGGAATAGGAAAAATTATGCATCTAGCACATTTAAACTGTGCAAATATGAAAATTTTTCGAGGATTACATTTTATCTGAAGGCTGCATATTTTAACTGGCTTTAAAACTGTAACACATCACATAAAAGATACTTTACCAGGTATGTATTGCATTATATCATTGCAATAATTATTGGAAGTCTAGATATCGAGCCATCCCAGGTGTTGGGCGGGGGGAGGGTTGTGGCAAGATTGTCTTTTCAATTTTGGAGAGTTTTCCTGTGGCTACAAGGCAAGTAACGGGTTGGAAAAAGTCTGACTGTAAGCGTTGGACACCTTCATAGTGTAGTGTTTTAGTGACTTTTTTTATACGGTTCTTGTAAATTAGATACGTGTAGTGGTGTTTCAGAATGTTTGTTTATGCACTAGTTCAGACAACTTTCCCTGTTACTTGTTCTTGATAAGTGAAAACTGCAGGGAAATAAAAAATACATATCAAAACATGGACATGCTGCATATGTGTTTATTTCACAATGTGCACACAGTATAAGTGAAAATTTAAGGGAGATGATAGCACTTAACAGCACTTTTCATGTTCACATGCTTTCCAAGCATTAATGAAAAGAACTATAGGAAGCTCATCTGTGGGCTCTATTGGGTTTCAGATAATCCAATATAAACTACCTTTGATATGAAAGTTCGTAAGATATTTTACAGAATGTAAGTAATTTGCAGTATCGCAGTCATTGAAATGTCATAAGTGAGCCTCATTTTATAAATAAAAGTTTAGAGTAGAATTATATTGCAAGGGGGTTTTGTCAAGTAAGTACTGGGAAATGTAAATATTTTTAATGAATACAATTAAAACCATTTCAAACTTACATAATTTTATACTTTACATTTTTTATATCTGCAGTCCTGAAAGTTGTAAATTGAAATGTCAGTTGAATTAATGGGCCAAGATTTCTGGTGAAAGTGGTTTTTATTCAGGTCCTAAATGTGTAAAGCAATTTATGGTCAAAACCATAGAAAAAATACTAATTTTGTCTTGGTTGTGACCTGATAGGATCCATGCTCGTTTCTGCCATACTACCTCTGGAGTTACTCATTGCTGATTATATAAAGGAAATAATTTTGATTTGATATGTATTATGACTGTGTTCATTCTGCTTATAGTTGGATGTATCTCCTTGCTATTAAGAACTTAAAACAACTTTAGTGCCAATTGCAGAGAAAGCTTTTTTCCCCATTTTACTGAAGTAAAGCATGAAGTGAATTTGCCTTATGTGATATATATGTTATAAATAAGTAAAACAAAAGAATTATCCATTTGTACGGTTTCTGGAGGTGGTGGCAAATCCAGAACTTATAAGACTGATGACCAATTGATTTGTTCCTTTTGAAGTAAAATAGAAACGTAAGCCTTCCTTATTTTGTTGGTTGTAACTGTTTCATGGATGGCATTTCAGTTATGTACATACACATTTTCCACTGCTTCTCTAAAACTTAAGTGACAAATATTTGTTTTCACTTTATTAAATTGAAGAATAGTCTATTTCTGCACTGGACAGCACTGCTCTCTTAGTTTTCTCAGGAAATTAGTGTTGGTACTCGGAGTCCAGTAAGCTTTCAGAATCTTTGGAGAATGTGTTTCTTTGGAATGGGTGGAGGTGGTTAATTTTTTTAAAAAAATAACAAAACGGGTAACTCTCACGTGGTAGGATATTCTTAATTCAGCACAGATAAAAACATTTTTGATTGTATTTTTCTTATTTCTCTACCTTCATAAAGAGAGTACACGCCCTTCCTTTCCCAATAATTCAAGATCATTTTTATGATGTAGCTCTAAGTATATTTGAGGATTTGTTTTCTTTTGCAAAAGACCAAGGGAAAAACTAAAAAATTTATAGGGCACATTTTAAAACTATATATATAACACACACACACGTATATTCTGGCTTTTTAAAAAACAGGAATGTATTTGCAACTGTGCTAGGTGTTTTTTTTTTTATTACTAAGGTTGTTTTAGGGGGGAAGGTAGGGGGAGAACAAGGAGGACCAACATTACAGAAACTTCCCTAGTATGTACTGCTGTATTTGAGTATGATGCTACACTTTTCAACAAATTTTGTTGATCAACAATATACTTGTGACTGATGTGTTTTATTGTCTCTTAACTGACTTGGCAAACTTCCAAATTTTAAAAGGTAAGAATATCTGAAGGGATTATGAATATTACATCCTGTAAGATAAGAGATGTTTTTCATCACTGACAGCAGCATCATAATAGCTAACATCATGGAGCATGGAACATTCTCTCTTAATGACTTACTCATTTACTCCTAACAACAATTCTGTTTAGTAATATTATTTTTCCCATTTTAAAGATCAGGAAGATGAAGTTTAGAGAAGTTAGGTAACTCACTCTATGTCACATAGCTGTTAAGTTACTAAGGAATTAAACTTTGGAGTCACCACACTTCTAACCACACTGCCTTCTACCTTTAACATGAAAGAAGCCCTCCTCAAAGAAGTATTTATTCTATTTCTCAGTCCACTTGTTAGCAGCATCCGTAGCAGTTTAGAATTTCATTTAGAAGACAGCCACCCAACTATTACACCACGAGACTAAGTGAATTATATCCAACTGTGGCTTCTAGCCATCCACTGAGGAAACCCAAATATTCTTTTCTGCCTGCCGGACCTAGTGAGTAAGTGCTAAAGCTCTCAACACAAAGCAATGGGAGCGAGGTCTGGTCCAGGTCTTGGCTGATTTAGCACTTTCCAGACCTGTTTCCCCATCTATAAGATGAGCAAGTTCTTGAAACTCCATAAAAGAGGCCACACTGAGAAGCTTCGTGGAGGTGTGCATGTGGCTCGTGTGTCATTGGTTGCTTATTAAGGAAGTAAATTATGTGAGCTGTAAGGTTGAGCATACAGTTTAGAGCTTAAATATATATATACACACACACATACATACACTTCTGGGATACATATGCAGAACATGCTGGTTTGTTACATAGGTATACACATGCCATGGTGGTTTGCTGCACCCATTAACCAGTCATCTACATTAGGTATTTCTCCTAATGCTATCCCTCCCCTGCCCCCACCCTTCCCCAACAGGCCCCGGTGTGTGATGTTCCCCTCCCTGTGTCCGTGTGTTCTCATTAATCAACTCTCACTTATGAGTGAGAACATGAGGTGTTTGATTTTCTGTTCCTGTGTTAGTTTGGTGAGGATGATGGTTTCCAGCTTCATCCATGTCCCTGCGAAGGACATGAACTCATCCCTTTTTATGACTGCATAGTATTCCGTGGTGTATATGTGGCACATTTTCTTTATCCAGTCTATCATTGATGGGCATTTGGGTTGATTCCAAGTCTTTGCTATTGTGAATAGTGCTGCAATAAACATACAAGTGTTTATAGTAAATGATTTATAATCATTTGGGTATATATCCAGTAATGCGATTGCTGGGTCAAGTGGTATTTCCAGTTCTAGATCCTTGAGGTATCACCACACTGTCTTCCACAATGGTTGAACTAATTTACACTCCCACCAACAGTGTAAAAGTATTGCTATTTCTCCACATCCTCTCCAGCATCTGTTGTTTCCTAACTTTTTAATGATAGCCATTCTAACTGGCATGAGATGGTATCTCATTGTGGTTTTCATTTGCATTTCTCTAATGACTAGTGATGATGAGCTTTTTTTCATATGTTTGTTGGCCGCATAAATGTCTTTTTTGAGAGGTATCTGTTCATATCCTTTGCCCACTTTTTGATGGGGTTTTTTGTTGTTGTTGTAAATTTGTTTAGGTTCCTTGTAGATTCTGGATATTAGCCCTTTGTCAGATAGATAGATTGCAAAAGTTTTCTCCCATTCTATAGGTTGCCTGTTCACTCTGATGATGGTTTCTTTTGCTGTGCAGAAGCTCTTTAGTTTAATTAGATCCTATTTGTCAATTTTGACTTTTGTTGCCATTGCTTTTGGTGTTTTAGTCACGAAGTCTTTGCCCATGCCTGTGTCCTGAAAGGTATTGCCTAGGTTTTCTTCTAGGGTTTTTATGGTTTTAGGTTTCAGTCTTTAATCCACCTTGAGTTAATTTTTATATAAGGTGTAAGGAAGGGATCCAGTTTCAGTTTTCTGCAAATGGCTAGCCAGTTTTCCCAACACCATTTATTAAATAGGGAATCCTTTCCCCATTGCTTGTTTTTGTCAGGTTTGTCAAAGTTCAGATAGTTGTAGATGTGTGGCATTATTTCTGAGGCCTCTGTTCTGTTCTATTGGTTTATATATCTGTTTTGGTACCAATACCATGCTATTTTGGTTACTGTAGCCTTGTAGTGTAGTTCGAAGTCAGTTAGCATGATGCCTCCAGCTTTGTTCTTTTTGCTTAGGATTGTCTTGGCTGTATGGGCTCTTTTTTGGTTCCATATGAAATTTAAAGTAGTTTTTTCTAATTCTGTGAAGAAAGTCAGTGGTAGCTTGATGGGGATAGCATTGAATCTATAAATTACTTTGTGCAGTATGGCCATTTTCACAATATTGATTCTTCCTATCCATGAGTATGGAATGTTTTTCCATTTGTTTATGTCCTCTTTTATTTCCTTGAGCAACACCCCTCCATGCTAAAAACTCTCAACAAACTAGATATTGATGGAATGTATCTCAAAATAATAAGAGCTATTTATGACAAACCCACAGCCAGTATCATTCTGAATGAGCAAAAGCTGGAAGCATTCCCTTTGAAAACCAGCACAAGACGAAGATGCCCTCACACCACTCCTATTCAACATAGTATTGGAAGTTCTGGCCAGGGCAATCAGGCAACAGAAAGAAATAAAGAGTATTCAAATAGGAAGGGAGGAAGTCAAATTGTCTCTGTTTGCAGTTGACATGATTGTATATTTAGAAAACCCCATCATCTCAGCCCAAAATCTCCTTAAGCTGATAAGGAACTTCAGCAAAGTCTCAGGATACAAAATCAATGTGCAAAAATCACAAGCATTCCCATACACCAATAACAGAGAGCCAAATAATGAGTGAACTCCCATTCACAATTGCTACAAAGAGAATAAAATACCTAGGAATCCAACTTACAAGGGATGTGAAGGACCTCTTCAAGGAGAACTACAGAGCTCTTTTTTTAAGTCATTAATGTCATCAAGTCTGACTATGAATAATTAGATCATGTAATGTAGCTGATCTTGTGCAGAACTAACCAACTTCAATAACTACAAGTCTCAAAAGAATTGTGTATTTTTTAGAGGGAGGACAGTGGAGAGAACAATTAGGATAGAATGTGGATATTCTATCATGGAAATTTGTTAAGCTGGGTTTTAATCCCTGCTCTGCCATTTAATTGGCTGGTGATTTTCTGGTCTTCATATCTCTGAGCTTGTATCATGCAATGAATGAATGGAATTGGATAACCTCAAACATCTGTGCCAGCTCCGATGTTATAGGAATCTAATCTCCTCACCCCCACCTCCCTAGGTGGCTATCTTGCTTTCAGAAAAATCTGCCTTTGTCAGTATCCATGGATTTAACAGCACCATTCAAAAGTATCAGTAACAAATCAGACCCTATGCACCCTCCTACTACTACGTTTCCTCTTCCTGTTGTCCAAAGGGGAAACTGCTTATTTCAAACATAAGGGCTTTGTTGCTGTTACTTACTGAGTGCATTGTATCCAACTGTGGTTGAAATTTTAGCATAGGGAAGACGAACACTAAGCCACATACTTCTTTAGCAGTAATTTTAGGTTTGAAGTTTATGTCGTATCAAAATTAAAGTGTCCTGTGTGTACTTAAAGATGCTGTGTTTTCCTCATGAAATCTCCCTTACAGTATTATTGCATATTTGAACAAAACCGTTGTTACACTAGCTGACTCAGTAACATTGCAGAACAAGATGGTAACATATTTCTGAACAGTGATTCTCAGTGAACACCTGTTATCCTCAGGAGAGCCTAGGATTCTGCAGTTACTTTTCAGTGCTAAAACAAGAGATTGACTACAGTCACAAAAGGAAAAGTATTTCACCTTCAGTATACAAATTTGATTGGTGAACAGCATATTCAAAAGCAATGACATTTTCCTTTTACCAATGTTGAACATGGTTAACAATTATTGTTTAGAAGAACACTGTGTTCTTCCTCTGTTTTAGTTCCAGGGTGAGCAGGGGTCATGGACACACACAGCTCCTATCTTACGAATATCTATCTTGTGTGCTCTTCTCACTACCATAAGGAGATTTTGGTCAGTGATCAAGTGAACCCAGATTAGGGATCGCTAAGATGTAAGAATTCTGCTTTTGGCCTAGGACATCTATGTTAGTTATCTGCTGAGTAAAAACGATTACAAATTTAAAACAATAGCACATTATTATGTGGGTTTGGAATCTAGCACAAGGCTGAAACCAAAGTGGTGCCAGGGCTACATTCTCATCCCGTGGGCCAAGTAGAGAAGGATCCAAATCCAAGCTCCTCAGATTGTGACAGAATTCTTTCTCTGTGGCTGTAGAATTCGTAACGGTTTAAGGCCAACAATGGAGAGTTTCCACTGCTTGGAGTCTCTTACTTCAGGGAAGATCTTGGCTCTTGGAAAGGGCTCGCCTGATTAGATCAGGCCCATGCAATGGGAGCACGGTCTTTGATTAGTTCAGTCAACTTATTAGGGACTTCAGTTATATCTGGAAAGGGCTTGCCTGGTTAGATCAGGCCCACACAACACAGTGTTTGATTAGTTCAGTCAACTTATTAGGGACTTCACTTATCTCTGCAAAATCTCTTCACTTTTTCCGTATTTTATTAGTTAGAAGCAGGTCATTGGCCTTCCCCACACTCAAGGGGAGGGAATTACACAAAGGGCATAGACACTAAGAGACAGGAATTATAAGGCCACCCAAGGGTGTGTCTGCCACAACATCTACATGATTGTATTAACCATCCCACCACCGCACACTCCAGTCTTCTCCTATCTCAGGACCTGCCTCAATAAATTAACTCATACATTTATAAAGAAACAATTTAAGGTCCTCTTTAAATTGTTATTTTGTAAATCATAAATGCCACAGTCCTGGATATTGGGCAGGAGGTCAGGTCGTCAAGACCAGAGATAAGACTGGCATCAGTAACACCAAAGGCTTTGCAGAAATTGGAATGGATGAGATCAGCTAGAAAAGAACAGACTGGGGAAAAGGAAGTGTGACCAGCAGAACCTCAGCATCTATGTGGCCAGGACGGGGGTGGGGGCAGAGGAAGAGACGGAGTAGCAATAGGGAGGAGGATCTGGTCATCCAGGGCATTCTAATTTCCTTCAGAATCGCCATGCAGAGGTGGAGGACAAGTGGTGGAGGTCAGAGGTTGCTAAGGAAATAGAAGTGATGAGAGTTTAGCGGTGACAAAGTAAAAAGTAAAGTATCGAGGACAGATACTTAGGTTAGAAAGCTTGAGTACAAGTCCCGTCTGATGCTTCTGGCTGTCAGAACCACCTGGGTAAGCTTTTATTTTTTTATTTGATTTGTTCTTTATTAACAACCTCTGAAAGAAATAGGCAAACTTTGAAAAATACAGATGTGTGGATCTCACTCATCCCAGGCTGAATGAATCAGGAACTCCAAAAGTGAGTCGGGATGCTGGTATTTTGTGTTTGTTTTAGTTTGTTTGATTATGTGGTTGGTTGTTGGGTTTTGGTTCATAAACTTACCAGATGATGATTACAGCTAAGGTTGGGAATGACAAGTTGTGACTGGACAAGTAACTTCACTGTAAACCTCAGAATTTATTTCCTCAACTGTCAAATAAGGGCGATTAAGTTATTTCCCAGTTTCATTCACTCCAAAAAAAAACAAGAACAACAAAGAATGCCTCTCACTGAGCAAGCTCCACTGCCACTAGAAATTTGTGCTATGAACAATTCCCTATAACAAATGCCTTCCTTTCCTGCCCTTTTAAGATTATGAGACCATATGCTTTAAACAAGTAATTCTAGCCTGGGCAACATGGTGTGACTTCATCTTTACAAAAAATTTAAAAATTGGACAGGTATGGTGGCGCACACATCAGTAGTCCCAGCTACTTGGGAGGCCGAGATGGGAGAATTGCCTGAACCTGGGAGGTCAAGGCTGCAGTGAGCTATGATCACATCACTGTACTCCAGCCTGGGTGATGGAGCGAGATCCTGTCTCAAAAATAATAATTCTTTCTTGGCAGTTCATTATAGATTAAAGGTAGAGTTAGTTAAATTTTCTATAGGAATTCTTAAATATCCCCCACACTTTCCCATCTCAAGCCATCTAAGTTCCCAAATCACCCCCAGAACATCATGCTCAGAGAATTGTTCCTCCCTGGTGGTCTAATCACTTTTCAAGTGCTCATTCATTCCCAGTGCTAGAGGTTTCCAGGCTCTCCAGACCATGGTTGTCAGTTACCCTTTCCAATCATATGACTGTAGTATTTGACTACAGGGGCAAAGTAGCCGTCCTGAAGCTGTGTTCGGAGAATTTTGCTTGCCTAACATATACGTGGCTTGTTGGAGCTTCTCAGGGTTTTTTCCTAGGATTCTGTGCCTCTCTGTACCATCTTTATCCTGGTGACATCAAAGTGTTATTTTTAGCCCAGAATTCTGTTCTGAATTCCATTCTCCTATATCCAATGCTTTGTTGACACCCCCACTTGGAAGTTTCACAGACATACCCAAACTTACCATGTGCAAAATGGAACAGTTTTTTTCCTGCTTTCTCCCTAACCTGTTTCTACCACCTCTGCATCCTACCCCTGCTCACTCCAGTCCTTCCCATCTCAGGATATGGCACCACCACCCCAACCCGATTACAAACCATCAACACATCATTTGATATGCACTGCAAAATATATATTGAATCCGTCCATTCTTCTCCTTGTTCAGACTACCACCACCTTCTCCAGACCACTGCCCATCTCTTGCACTGCAGCAAGCTCATGACACTTCTCCCTACCCCCATTCTTATCTATTTCTAATCAAGTCATATGGTAGCCAATATGGATCCTTTAACAATCAGATTTGATCAATTCCCTCCTAAAACCTCTCCCTTCCATTGCTTCCCATTGCACTTAACATCCAAATTCCTACCCTGGCTGTAAGACCTTTCATGGTCTTGGCCTGCCTTTCCCTCCAAATTCATCCATATTACTTCATCTCATCCACCACACTCGAGTCCCACTGGTATATCTGGTCCTTGACTTTAACAAACTATTTCCTGCCTCACTGCCTTTGTATGTGGACATCCCTTTTGCCAAGAACACTTCTCTGTGTCATCTTATCTTTTAGGGCTTAACCCTGTTCAGAGAGTTGCTCTCTGGTCCTCCTGTCTAAAGTTGCTCTCCGGTCATCCTCTGAATGAATGGGACAGTGACTTTCTGTCTTAGCCCCTTACCTGTGGGTGCCATGAAGGAAATCATTGTATTGATATGATTTCTTTGTTTACTTGTCCCTTCATCTGTCTCGTGAGCCTCATCATGGCAAGGATGTGTTCTCTGTTTTATCTTCTGCCCTTGGCACAGAGTCTAGCACATGGTAGGTGTTCAAACATTGGTTGAATAAATAAGTGAAGAAATAACAATTAGTGCAATTAAGCAGAGTCGAGAGATTTCCTTTTTATTTTTTATTCTTTTTATTGTTATTTTAAACCAAAACATAATGATTGTTAAACATAGTTTAAGTTCTCTTGAACTTATTAGCCAAACAGGTTTGAAATCTAAAACAGGTTATGTTTCCAATGCTGACCTCTCCCTTCAGAAGCTGCTTTTCCTGTGAAGCTTCCTTGTGAGGTTGCTGTCATCTGCAGCTTCCATCAAGAGTCTAACAGATGGTTGTGGGTGGAGAGTGGCAGAAAATAGGCTTTGTTTTAAGAGTCCCAAGAGCTATTTTTCTGCTTATATTTATACAGAATTAGCAGTTGTACGCAAGTGTAGGAAAATCTGGGAGCAGGTTGGGTAGCCGCTGGTTTTGTCATTGTGTTTGTAAGCTAGAAAAATGTTCTCATTAATGATTTCTGTGAGATTCATATCTGGGGTCTGTGGATAACCAGTGTTTCTTCTCCTTCCCAAAGCATTGTCCTTTCAGGGTGTATTTTTGTCAAGGATCAGATTTCAACACACTTATCAGGAATTTAGGGAATTATCAAAGCTTTCCATTTAAACTATTTTGGAGAGAGGATGCTTGCTCACACCAAAAGCCACATCAGATGTTTGTCAAAAAAAAATGCAAATGCTGTGTGTACTCAGCTGTTGATGTCTGACACCAGTTCTCTTCTAGATGTGGCTTGACTTGGGGTTAATTTTTTCATCTGCAAACTCTTCTGTCTTGGCTGATTTGAAGGGTGCTATTCTCCCCAACCCCTGTCACTGGAGGTGAAATTTGTTTCCGTGTTTATGAATGAGGAACAACCCTTTTCTCAAAGGCTTTTGCCTTTCCCCATTCTTTCTTGGGGAATAGATTGCACAGAATTTTTATAACTGAAAAACAGCCCTACCGATGATCTAGTCCATCTCTCACCTAGGACCCAGAGAGAGGAAGGAGCTTGTCCAAATCACAGAGCAAGATGGTGCCAGATCTGGGATTGCTCCTAGAAGGATGCCAGTTGCCATGTGCTTTCCTCCACATAACCTTCCTCCAACAAATGGACCTTTAAGTGGTTTTAGCTCTTAGTCATGGTTCTAATTTTGAAAGTGTCAGCAATGTTACAAACATTTAGATGGTTTATTTTATACATTGTATAGGTTAGGGACCCTTCTTAAGTACTACATGCCTTGAAATTAGTATTTTAAATGTTAATTTGCATTTAGGGTAATATTTATTACATCTAAGAAGTACATAAAACTACACAACTTTTTAAAAATTGAAAGCCATCTGTTTAGAAATTTTTCATATATTCTCACTAATTCAGCCTAATTTCATTGGATTAAAGACACCTATTTGCATGTATTTAAATTAGATCTATCTTTCAAACTAGTAATTTCACTAGAAAGTGGTAAATTACTGGAATAGTGACCCTCAAGAAATCCATAAAGAAGACTGGATGAAAATCTGGACCAGTTGCTTTCTTTTGTTCGTTGTATTTATTACTTTTTCAGAATAATTTGTTTATCATTTTACTCAGTAACTATTGAGTATCCATTGTGTTTAAGACATCCTTGAGCACTGGCAAGGATGTAGAAATTTAAGATGCATGGCCCCCTGGGAAAAAAATACACAAGTACTAGTGGGGAGGACGGGAACAGAAATCAGCTGACCAAGGTGTGGGTCTCAACTCCTGCTTCTACCAGGTGTGATGTTTGCATCCTTCTAATGTGGCTCCCAAACTCCAGGCCTTCACATTACTCATCAAACAAAAGCTCAACTCCCCACTTTGGCCTACACCACCCTTCCTGACTTCTTCCCTGCCCACCTCTTAGATCTGATTGATTTCTGCTCCTCTAGTGGCCTCCTGGTCAATCTGGTACCATCAGGCTTGTTCCTACCACAGACCCTTTGCATGCTGCCCCTCTGTCTGGAATGTTCTTTGTTCACTTCTTCACATGACTGCAGCTCCTTCTTATACAGTTCCCAGCTAAAATGCCTCTTTAGAAGGCCTTCCCCAGCCAGTTAAACTCCCTATCACTTCACCCTGCCTTATCGTCTTCATCGGGTGTCTGAAATGCTCTTCTGTATTGGTCCTTTTATTTCCCTGTTGCCTGTTTCTTCTCCCTCTAGACTGCCAGTCTCATTAGAGCTGGGACCGTGCCTATCTTAATCCTGGTTCTGTCCTCATCACCTCACGCAGCAGCGTGGCATGTAGTAGGTGCTCCATAGATAGTTCCTGGATAAATAAGTGAATGAATGGTGCTAGGCTGATTACATCCAGATTTCTTGAGAAGCTAAAAAAACACCCCAAATACCCAGGCATCTGGGATATACCCTCAGAGATTCTGATTCATTATAGAATAAGTCCTAGAAATCTGGTTTTAAATCCCCCTACATGTATTCAGGTTTGGGAACTAATATATTAACACCAAGTGGCCCATCTCCCATCTCCCAAAGTAGCCCATTCCTGTTCTGACTGCTTGAGTAAAAAGATCTTCCTGATGCAGAGCTAAAACCTTCACTGAATTCTCACCATTGATCCAAGCTCTACCCTTCAGTTCCACATGGAATATGTCTTATTAATTCATTCATTCATTTAATAAATAAATGTCGATTGAATGCCTATTTCACATACCAGGCAATGTTGTTTAGGCACAAGGATTCAGCAACTAAAACACTGCATTACAGCTGGGGGTGGTGGCTCATGCCTGTAATCCCAGCACTTTGGGAGGTAGAGGTGGGCAGATCGCTTGACGTCAGGAGTTCGAGACTGGCCTGGCCAACACAGCAAAACCCCATCTCTACTAAAAATACAAAAATTAGCAGGCATGGCGGCACACACCTGTAATCCCAGCCACATGGGAGGCTGAGGCACAAGAATCACTTGAACTCAGGAGGCGGAGTTTGCAGTGAGCCGGGATAATGTCACTGCACTCCAGCCTGGGCGACAGAGTGAGACTCTGTCTTTTTTTTTTTTTTTTTTTGAGATGGAGTCTCGCTCTGTTGCCCAGGCTGGAGTGCAATGGCATGATCTCGGCTCCCTGCAACCTCTGCCTCTCAGGTTCAAGCGATTCTCCTGCCTCAGACTCCCGAGTAGCTGGGACTACAGGCGCCCATCACCACGTCCGGCTAATTTTTGTATTTTCAGTAGAGATGGGGTTTCACCATATTGGCCAGGCTGGTCTTGAACTCTTGACCTTGTGATCCACCCTTCTCGGCCTCCCAAAGTGCTGGGATTACAGGAGTGAGCCACCACACCTGGATGAGACTCTGCCTTAAAAAAACAAACCAAACCAAAACAAAACAAAACAAAACAAGCACTGCACTAAGTCTGCCACCACTGTCCCCATTCACCTTTATAGGTGTCCATATTTCCATATTTATTAGTTTCTGGTTTGTCCTTCCAGTGGTTCTCAATGCAAATACAAGCTAAAAAATGCATACATTACACATACATTCTAATTTTCCTACTTTCTTACACAAAGTGGAGCAATGACATACATTATTTTGTGCCTTTTTTCACTTAAAAATATCCTGGAAATCTTTATCAGTGAAATGAGAATTTTTCATTTTTTAAAAACAGCCACATGGAATTTTATTGTGGGGATATACTACTGATTATTTCCACATTGCTGGACATTTGGGTTGTTTCCAATACCTTGTGTCTATAAGTAGTGCTGTAATGCAGGCGATGGCAAATGTTTGCTGTAAATGGCCAGATAGATAGTAAATATTTTAGACTTCTTGAGCCAACAGGTACAATTAAGGATATTACGCTGATGCTTATGTAACAAAAAAGAAAAATATTTCACCAAATTTTTATTGGTGAAATTCTAAATTCATATATAAATGCTGAGATTTAAATTTTATATATTTTTCATGTGAGAAAGTGTTTATTTGGATTTTATCCAACTATTTATTTATTTATTTATTTATTTATTTATTTATTTATTTATTTTTGAGACAGAGTTTCGCTCTTGTTGCCCAAGCTAAATGGTGCGATCTCAGCTCACTGCAACCTCTGCCTCCTGGGTTCAAGCAATTCTCCTGCCTCAGCCTCCCGAGTAGCTGGGATTGTAGGCATGCGCCACCATGCCCAGCTAATTTTTTGTATTTTTAATAGAAACAGGGTTTCACCATGTTAGCCAGGCTGGTCTCAAACTCCTGACTTCAGGTGATCTGCCCACCTCGGCCTCCCAAAGTGCTGGGATTACAGGCGTGAGCCACCGTGTCCGGCCTATCCAACCATTTAAAATGTTAATATCATTCTTAGCTTACAGCCTGTATGAAAACAAACTGCAGGCTAGATGTAGCCAGCAGGCCATTGTTTGCCTACGCCAGCTTAATGAAGCAGATATATCTGGGAAATAGGTTCCCCAAGTGGGATTAATAAGTTAGAGGGTAAATGCATTTGCAAGTCTGCATAACAGAATGGGGGTGTATTTGTACACTTCACAAATATTTGAGTAACATTTGAGTGTGCATTCCTGCCCACCCTCCCAACAGAGTGTGGTTTTAAACTGGGATTTTTGTCAGTCTGAAAGGTAAAAAAGTGTATCGTTGTAGGTTTAATTTCTCTTAAAATGAAAGAGATTGAGCATCTTTCACATATTTAATGGCCACTTTTATGTCCTTCTATCAATTTTTCTATTAAATTATCAGTTCTTTTCTTCTCAATTTCTGGAAATGCTTTATAAAATAGAAAAATCAGCACTTTTTCTGGGACAGGGCTTACAAGTATATGTCTTTGGACTTTGCTTATTGTGTTTTTAATCATGCAAATTTTTTTTTAAATATTTATGTAGTCAAATATACCAAGTTTTCAATGGCTTTGGTTATTGAGTCATGGTTTAAAAGGCTTTTCCCACTCAAAAGTTATAAAGAATTTACCCCTTGCTATCTTCCAGGGCTTGTACCATTTCACTTTTCTATATTTAAATATCAATCTATTTGCAGTTTATCCTGGCATTGAATAAAAGGTGTAGATTCAACTTTTTCTTTACCCAAAGCTGTAGCAAACCTTTGTTAATCAGTCCATTTTTTTCTTCCTTGACTTGAGACGCTGCCTTTATCACATTTTAAATTCTTTTATATATTTGTGTCTATTTCTGGATTTTTTTTCTGTTCCATTGGTGTTATCTATTAATGTGCCAATATCGTATTATTTTAATACTTGGGCTTTATAGTATTTTAATATCTGATGGAGATAGTCTTACATCATTGTTACATTATTCTACTGTCTTCCATTTTATTTTTGTCTTTGTTCGGGCTGATATAACAAACTATCATAGGCTGAGTAGCTTATAGACAACAGAAATTTATTTTTCACACGTGTAAAGGCTGGGATTTACTTTTCATAGGTCTAGTGGCTGAAAACTCTAAGATCAAGGTGCTCACAGATATGGTGTTTGGTGAGGGCCCACCTCCTAGTTCATAGACAGCCGTCTCCTCTCTGCATCATATGGTGGAAAGGGCCATGAAGCTCCTGGGGGTCTCTCATCAGGGCACTAATCCCATTCATGAGGGCTCCACCCTCATGACCCAACCATCTCCTAAAGTCCCCCCCACCTCCTAACACCATCACATTGGGGATTAGGTTTCAACATATAGATTTTGAGAGAACACAAACATTCTGTCTGTAGCAATTTTTCGATATTAACTTTAGGTCATCTTGTTTAGATCATCTTTCTTTGTCTTGTTTAATGACTTTTGTCTAAATTCTACCCTATGTGATATTAAGGCAGGGACTCTATGTTTGAATTTTCTTGATAGACTTTTATTTTATGGAGGTAACATTAACATCACATAAAATTAACTATTTTAAACTGAACAATTCAGTGGTATTTACTACACAATTCACAGGGTTGGGCAACCACCTGCTCAATCCAGCTTTAAAACACTTTCAACACCCTACAAGGAAACACAACAATTACTCACCATTTTCCTTTCCCATCAGCCCTGGCAACAATCTATCTTGTTTCTGTCTCTGAGGATTTTCCTATTCTGGATATTTTGTGCACATGAAATCATATGTGACCTTTCCTGTTTGCCTTCTTTCACTTAGTGTAATGTCTTTAAGGTTTATCCACATTGCAGTGTGTCAGTACTTCATTCCTTTCTATGACTGTGTAATATTATATCATATGGATATATTACAATTTGTTTATCCATTCATTTGTTGGTGGATGTTTTGGGTTGTTTCTGTCTTTAAACTATTGTGAACAATGCTGCTATGAACATGTTTGTACATATATGTATTTAAGTATCTATTTTTTAATGCTTTGGGATATATAACTAGGACTGGAATTTCTAGGTCAATGTTTAACTTTCTGAGGAAGGACCAAACTGTTTAACCACAGTGGCCACGTTAGTATTAACCACAGTGGCCAGGCTGTTTGACATTCCACCATCAATATATTTGACTTCCAGTTTCTCCACATCCTCATCAATACTTATTTTCCTTTTTTAAAAAATCATAGCCACGTAGTTTGAATTTGCATTTTCCTAATGACTGAAGAAATTAATTATCTTTTAATATGCACATTTGGCTACTTGTACATCTTCTCTGGAGAAATGTCTATTCAAATCCTTTGCCCATTTTTCAATTGGGTTGTTAGCCTTTTTATGTTGAAGTTCCTTATATATTCTACATACTAGATCCTTATAAGTTTTACGATTTGCAAAGATTTTCTCCCATTTTGTAGCTTGCCTTTTCACTTTCCTGACAATGTTTTTTGATGCATAAAAGTTTTTAATTTTGGTAAACTTCAATTTAATTTTTTTGTTAATGCTTTTGGTGTCATATCTAAGAATCCATGAGTATTTAATTCTATATTTTTTACAAGAATTTTATGATTTTTTTTTTGAGCCTGTTGCCCAGGCTGGAGTGCAGTGGCATGATCTCGGCTCACTGCAACCTCCACCTCCTGGGTTCAAGCTATTCTCCCACCTCAGCCTCCTGAGTAGCTGAGATTGTAGGCACCCACCACCACGCCCGGCTAATTTTTCTATTTTTTTAGTAGAGATGGGATTTCACCATATTGGTCAGGCTGGTCTCGAACTCCCGACCTAAGGTGATCCGCCCACCTTGGCCTCCTAAAGTGCTGGGATTGCAGGTATGAGCCACCACGCCTGACCAAGAGTTTTATGATTTTTTAGCTCTAATACATAGTCATTCATCCATTTTGAATTCATTTTTATGTAAGGTGTGAGTTAGGGGAACAACTTCATTCTTTTGCATGTGCTATCTAATTTTCCCAGCCCCTATTTGTTGGAGAGATTATTCTTCCCATTTTGAGTGATCTCAGCATTCTGTACAAAATCAATTGGCTATAGATGTAGGGTTTTATTTCTGGACTCTGAATTCTATTCTATTGATCTATATGTCTATTCCTATGCCAGTAACACACAGTCTTAATTACCATTGCTTTGTAGTAAGTTTCAAAATTAGGAAGTATGGGTCCTCCAACTTTCATCTTTTTCAAGATGTTTTGGCAATTTAGGGACTTTGCATTTCATATGAATTTGGGATCAGCTTTTCCAAATCTGCAAAAAGGCAAATAGAATTTTGTAAGTATTGCATTAAAACTGTAGATTTATTTGGGTTGTATTGAAATCTTAGCAATGTTAAGTTTTCCAACTTATTAACACATGTTGTCTTTCCATTGATTTAGGTCTTCTTTAATTTCTTTTAGCAATGTTTTGTAGATTTCAATATACAAGTCTTTTGCTTCCTTGGCTAAGTTTATTCATAGGTGTTTATTCTTTTGGATGCTGTTGTAAATGGAATTGTTTTCTTAAATTTTTTAACTTTACTGACTTCTTATTTATTAGCTCTAGTAGTTATTTTTGTGGATTCTTTGAGACTTTATAGGGGATTATCTTTATGGAAATAGTTTTACTCTTTCCTTTCCAATTGAGAGAACTTTTTTTTTTATTGTCTAATTGCTCTGGCTAGAACTTCCAGTATAATGTTGAATAGCAGTGGTGAAAGCTGGCATTTCATTGTCAATCCCAGGGTTTTGTGACTGATCTTAGGGGGAAAGCTTTCAGTCTTTCACCATTGAGTCTGATGTTAGTTGTGAGTTTTTCATAGATGTCCTTATGTCGAGGAAGTCCTTTCTACTCCTCTTTTCTGAGTGCTTTTATCATGAAAGGGTGTTGGATTTTGTCAAATGTGTTTTTAGTGTCAATTGAGATAATCGTGTGGTTTTTCTTCTGTAGTTCTATTAATGTGGTGTATAACATGGATGGATTTTCTTATGTTGGACCATGCTTGCATTCTTGGAATAAATCCACTTGGTCATAGTGTATAATCCTTTTGATGTGCTGATGAACTTAGTTTGCTAGCATTATGTTGACGATTTTTATATTTATATTCATAAGTTTTCCTATGGTATCTTTGTCTACCTTTGGTATCAGGGTAATGCTGGCCTCATGGAATGAAGTGGGAAGTTTTTTCTTCTCTTCTACTTCTTGAAATATTTTGAGAAAAATTTGTGTTAATTTTTCAAGTGTTTGGTATAGTTCACAATGATACTATGGGAAGATTTATTTTATTTTTATTTTTATTTTATTATTATCATTATCTTTTGAGATGAAGTCTCACTCTGAAACCCAGGCTGGAGTGCAGTGGTATGATCTTGGCTCACTGCAGCCTCTGCCTCCTGGGTTCAAGAGATTCTCCTGCCTCAGCCTCCTGAGTGGCTGGGACTACATGTGTGTGCTACCACGCTCAGCTAATTTTTTTGCATTTTTAGTAGAGATGGGGTTTCACTGTGTTGGCCAGGTTGGTCTCAAACTCCTGACCTCAAGTGATCCACCCACCTCAGCCTCCCAAAGTGCTGGGATTACAGGTGTGAGCCACCATGCTCAGCCTATGGGAAGATTTAAGCCATTATTTCTTCAAATGTTTCTTCTTCTTCTTTTCTTCTTCTCCTCCTCCTCCTCCCCTCCACTCTCCCTCCCTCCCCCACCCCTCCTCCTCCTCCTCCCCCTCCCCCTCCCCTCCCCCACCCCTCCTCCTCCTCCTCCTCCTCCTTCTCCTCCTCCTTCTCCTTCTTCTTTTTCTTCTTCTTTCTTCCACTTCCATTTCTTCTGCTTCTTCTTCTGCTTCCTGCTCTCCTCTCCTCTCTTCTCCTTCTGGAATTCTCATTATGCATATGTTGGTGCACTTGATGTCCCACAGTCCCTTAGGCTCTGTATTAGGCTGTTCTTGTGTTGCTTTAAAGAAATATCTGAGACTGAGTAATCTATAAAGAAAAAGAAGTTTAATTGGCTCATAGTTTTGTAGGCTGTACAGGAAGCACAGCTCCAGCATCAGCTTCTGGGGAGGCCTGAGGAAGTTTACAACCATGAGGAAAGGCAAAGTGGAAGCAGACACCTCACATGGCAAAAACAGGAGCAAGAGAGAGGGAGGTGCCACATACTTTTAAACACTCAGATTTCATGAGAATTCACTCACTATCTTGAGGACAGCATCAACAGGATGATGCTAAACCATTCATGAGAAATTCACCCACGTGATCCAATCACCTCTCACCAGGCCCCAACTCCAATGCTTGGGATTATAGTTCAAAATGAGATTTGGGTTTGGAAAAATATACAAACTATTATCAAGCTCTGTCTATTTTTCTTCATTCTTTTCTCTTTCTGCTCCTTAGACTCAATTATTTCAATTGATCCATCTTTTGTTTGCTGATTCTTTCTTCTTACTCAGATCTGCTATTAAAGCCCTCTAGTGAGGGGCCAAACAAGGTGGCTCATGCTTGTAATCCCAGCACTTTGGGAGGCCGAGATGGGCAGATCTCTTGATCCCAAGAGTTTGAGGCCAGCCTGGTCAATATGGTGAAACCCTGTCTCTACAAAAAATTTTTTAAAAATTAGCTTGGCATGGTGGCCTGTACCTGTAATCCCAGCTACTTGGGAGGCTGAGGCAGGAGGGTCACCTGAGCCTAGGAGGTTGAGGCTAACAGTGAGCCATGATCATGTCACTGCATCCAGCCTGGGTGACAGAGACCCTGTCTCAGAGGAAAAAAAAAAAAAGCCCTCTAGTGAGTTTTTTCTTTCAGTTATTGTATTCTTCATCTTCAGAACTTCTATTTGGTTCCTTTTATAATTTCTATGTCTTGATATTCTCTATTTGTTCATACTTTGTTCTAGTTTCTTTTGCTCTTTGTCCATGCTTTCTTTTACTTTTTTTTTTTTTTTTTTTGAGATACAGTCTCACTCTGTTGCCCTAGCTGAAGTGCAGCGGTGTGATCTTGGCTCACTGCAACCTCAGCCTCCCAGGTTCAAGCGATTCTCCTTCCTCAGCCTCCCAAGTAGCTAGGGCTAAAGGTGCACATCATCATGCCAGGCTAATTTTTGTATTTTTGTAGAGATGTTGGCCAGACTGGTCTCGAACTCCTGACCTCAGACAATCTGCCTGCCTAGGCCTCCCAAAGTGCTGGGATTGCAGGTGTGAACCACCGTGCCCAGCCTTCTTTACTTCTTTGAATATATTTAAGACAGTTAATTTAAAGTATTTGTCCAATAAATTCAATATCTGTGCTTCTTCAGGGAGAGTTTCTGTTAATTTATTCGATGAATGGGCCATATTTTTTCCCCTTGCATGCTTCATCATTTTTTGTTAAATCATATTTTTCCCTGTCCTCGGGATTTCTTTCTTGCTATAGGTTGTAGCTATTTGTTTATTTAGTAACTTTTCTAAACTATTTTTGTAAAGTTTGTATTCTTTGTGATGTCTCTGAAGTTTATATTTATCTTGCACTCAGCTAGTGTTTTGAAAGAGATTTCCTTGGTGCCAGGATTCCCCCCACTGTTCACCCACAAATAAAATGAAACAAGGAGAAAGAGAGATACAGGGGGACAAAAAAGATGAGAAGCAAGAAATCCAACTTTTCCTCGTTCTTTGCAGATTGGCTCTGTGTTGGAGCATGTCTTCAACTTTTGGTCAGGCCATTTACAACTCTACCTTAACCTTCACTTCCTCCTTGCACTGAGCCTAGAGATCATTCAGAAGTGAAAATGTAGCATCTTCTCAGGTCTTACTATGTGTCCTGCCCTGGGGATGCCTCTGGCCTTCTAAATTCCTAAGTATGGAAGGGCCCTTTTGAGTGCCCCGATTTCCCAAAGAAACTCTCTTCCCAGCTTTTTCACTCAGGCTTGTGACACTTCCTCAATCATAATCTTTTGCCCAAAGTGGCTGCAAGTAGTTTGGCTTACAATACTTTTAGAAAATGTCAGCCACTTTTCTGCTCTGAGTTGGTTCCAAGTTAGTTAAAACAAAAACAAGTACTGTGTGTCAGTCCTTTGGTTAACTCCCAGACTAGTTAGAATAGAAAAACATAAATCTCAGTAGTGCACACCTGTAATCCCAGCACTTTGGGAGGCCAAGACAGATAGATCACTTGAGCTCAGGAGTTCAAGACCAGCCTGGGCAACATGGTGAAACCCCATCTCTACAAATACAAAAAAAAATTAGCCGGACATGGTAGCACATGCCTCCAGTTACTCAGAAGGCAGAGGTGGGAGGATCATTTGAGCCTGAGGGTGTCAAGGCTGCAGTGAGCCGTGATCAGGCTACTACACTCCAGCCTAGGTGACAGAGTGAGACCTTGTCTGAAAGAAAAAGAAAAAGAAAGAAAAAGAAAGAAAGAAAGAGAGACAGAGAGAAAGAAAGAAAAAGAAAGAGAGAGAGAAAGAAAGAAAAAGAAAGAGAGACAGAGAGAAAGAAAGAGAGACGGAGAGAAAGAAAGAAAAAGAAAGAAAGAGAGACAGAGAGAAAGAAAGAGAGATGGAGAGAAAGAAAGAAAAAGAAGAAAGAGAAAGAAAGAAAGAAAGAGAAAGAAAGAAAGAAAGAGAAAGAAAGAGAGAAAGAAAGAAAGAGAAAGAAAGAGAGAAAGAAAGAAAGAGAAAGAAAGAAAGAAAGAAAGAAAGAAAGAAAGAAAGAAAGAAAGAAAGAAAGAAAGAAAAAAGAGAAACAAATCTTTACAAACAGGGTTTGCTCTACTCCTTCTAGAACAAAAGACTAGAGTCCCACACTCGGAATGTGAATCACCACCTTCAAGACTGTTGAGGAGCTCTGGAGGGGGATGGGACAAGAGCAAATAAAAGCACCACAAAGCTTTCCTATCATTTCTGGATAGTTTTTTCTTGATACAGGATTTGTTTGTTATTGTAAGCCTTTGGCTTTTCTAGAGTTCTGACAAAGTTGATTCTGAAAGTTTGTGCTTGATTTTTAAATGTGTCTATGGAGGGATGGACCCTTGGAGCTGCCAACTCCATTTTTTTTTTTTTTGACATCCAGCAGAGATACTCTTGCCCATACTTTTGTTTTCTTTGTAATCTTTCCGAGTCACATTGTTTTGGGTATATCTCTGAATATGGCATAGAGCAGTGTACTGCTTTTAATAGGTCATTTAAACCCATTTTCATTTTTTGATATGAGAGATATGTTTTGTCTCAGTCCTTTCATATTATTTTGTTTAATGTTTATATTAGTGTTTATGTGTGTGTATACATATTTGTGCAGGTGTTTATTTTACTGTGTGATCTGTTTTCTTTGTTCATTTTTGTTGCTGTTGTAGTCATCTTTGTGTTTAGGAAGGTTTGTATTTGCTTTAGTGGTTTCTTTCACATTTCTGTCTATATATAATACCCTTACTTTCTCCTTCCTTTGAACAACATTTATTGGTTCCCTACTATGAGTAGCAATTTAATCTTTTGTCTTCTTTGCTCTAGTGCCCCTCTCTTATCATCCAGTTTTAGTCACTAATAACTTGTTTTCACATTTGTGTGCTAAAAATCCTCAAGCTGATATTACTATAAGTAGCATCTTTGGATTCCCAGCAATTTTACATGACACTATCACTAAGCTTATTTTACTTCCCATTTTCTCTCCCGTTATTGTTAGTTTTACTATTTCTACATTGTTAGAATACATAACATTAACCCTTTATTCCTGCCTTTAATTACCATAATTTTAATAGTTCTGAATATCTAGTAGATTAAAGATAACATTTTCTAAATAGTCTTGCTTGTTCTTGAAACTTCTCTTTCCATATAAATTTTAGAGATAATTTCTTAGGTGCTAAGGAAAGCTCTGTAGGCAATTTGCTTGGAATTGTATTGAATCTTGGATAAATTGGATGGGATTTACCCATAAATACCTTTGTATATTCGTTGTTAGTCTTACTGCTAGGCATGATTTTTGTCGTTATCATAAATTATTGGAAACTATGGTTTCTTCATGAATCTATTGCTTGTCTTCTCCATAACATGAACACTTTCCACCCCTTGCTCCTCTCTGCACTGACCGCCAAGCGGTTGCCCGTCTCCTGTTCCTTCAGTACACCTCAATACAGCCAAAGGGGCACAGACATCATTGTCTCATTACACTGATCATCCAGACAGTCAGTACTGGCCAGAGATCACACTAGCCAATCCCTCGTCAGGGCCCTGCTTCTACTTTTCAGTCTATTTTGATTCTTGTGTTCTTATAAGCACCACTGTGGTTTTTTGTTCATTTATTTGTTTGTTTGAGATGGAGTCTCTCACTGTCGCCCAGGCTGGAGGGCAATGGTGCAATCTCGGCTCACTGCAACTTCTGCCTGTGGTTCAAGCGATTCTGCTGTCTCAGCCTCCTGAGTAGCTGCGATTACTGGTGCATGCCACCATGCCCTGCTAATTTTTTAATGAGGGGGCTGTTTTTTTAGTCCAGGCAGGAACTGATGGGACCCTGAGCAGGCAGTGGGAGTGGAGAGAGGGTCAAGACATGAGACAATATGAGGTAAATCTTCCAATATGTGGCAAGTGGCAAAATGTGGGAAGCCCAGAAGAAAGAGGTGCCGTGATATTTCTCTTCCTTCAGGCTCCTAGGATTATGTGCCATGGACCTTCATGCTCTCAGAGAAGGCATGCCACAAACTTGCAATGAATGTTGTCTCCCTCAATTTCTTGTCTTTGTTGCACCTGTTTTGTGGTGGGCAGGCCTAGGCAAACCTACCCCAAAGTCTGAAGAAACTGATAGGCTGAAGACAGAGGCTGGCAAATGCAGTTTCTTAGAAACATTTAATAGAAGAAACCATAGTTTCTAAGTAATTTACGAACAGAAGCCATGTCAGTGTCTTGGGCTGCAATAAGATGAGACGGTGGATCCATGCATTGTCCCTCAGACCTAGGGCTTCTATGCCACAGGGGAGGGGTGCTTCAGAAGGGATGTGTAGGATAATTGACGTACTATGACATCAAGGTTGTTTGACCTAAGGGCAGGATTTACAGTAAGTTCCTGCCCTTACCAAAGGAACAATAGATACACTGGCAATCTTAGAGGCTTCCTGGAACGGGTTAGTCAGAATCCAACATAGCAGATTAGCATCCAAGATGGAGCTGCTTTGGCCCCCCAGCACCTCTCCCTCCTCTCCCCGAATTCTGCAACTCCAAGCCTGCCATCCTCTGGGTTCCCTGACTATTTGCTACCCTCTGACAATGAACTCCTGTGCCTGACACTTTTGATGCCCCAGGAATGCTATGTGAATAAATGAGGGACCGCTATTGTATATGTTATTGTGTGTATTTCTGGAGCAGGTCAGGGTGGTAAAATCATCCCAAAACACATTTGGCACTGGTGTGGCTAATAAATCCACACATTATTGCTGAATGCATTAACTCATGGTGGAACAGCCCTCTCTCGCCTCTGAGCCTTTGTGTGTGCAAATCCCTCAGCTGGAAACACTGTCCTCTGCCCTCAGCCTCCCCTGGATTGCCAAAATATACATGCATGTTCTTGTATGTAGAGGCCTTCAAGAGGCCTTCTCTGACCTTCAGATAAGAGTACCTTCTCCTTACTTCCCTTTCTCAACACTTATACTTTCTTTTTTTCTGGAGATGGAGTTTCATTCTTGTTGCCTAGGCTGGAGTGCAATGGCACGGTCTCAGCTCACTGCAACCTCCGCTTCCTGGGTTCAAGCGATTCTCCTGCCTCAGGCAACGGCCACCACGCCCAGCTAATTTTTTTGTGCGTGTTTTTAGTAGAGATGGGGGTTTTACCATGTTGGCCAGGCTGGTATCAAACTCCTGACCTCAGGTGATCCACCTGCCTCGGCCTCCCGAAGTGCTGGGATTACAGGCGTGAGCCACTACGTCCTGCCTGTACTTTATTACACAATGACCTCCTTCTCCTCGAAGCTCCTTGAGGGAAGGGAGGCACCACGAGTGCCTTGGACTCCAGTGTCTGGCTCATATTAGGCCTAAAAGAAAGCCTGTCAGACTGAGTGAACTAGACTGCCTCTACTGGTGGGAAGAACATTCTTTCCTTCTTCAAGATAGTAGCTCTTCTGGGCTACATAGATGGCTGTTTTGCAACTTAAGAGAGCCCCTCCACCAAGAAGTCTCACCCCAAGTTCACTACAGGATGTGACCTAGGATTTTGGATCCTGTTTGCACATAGATCAATGCTCCTCACACCGATGACTAAAGTGTGCAGGTGCAGGTGGCTGCCCGCTGTAGCACCCCCTCCTCTGGTGCTCTGTGAGGTGGTCACTCTTCTAGCCTTGATGCCCCCACCCCTGCCCTGCACAGCCCCAGGGTTTTCATGAGCGAGCCTGGTGACAGCTTTGTCTCTGTCCTTGGAACGGAGCCTTGGCCCCTTCTGCCCCCTTCCTCCCACCCACCAGCACCCCAATTAGCTGAGAAGCTTTCCTGCAGCTGACACAGGGCCAGGCTCCTGGATCCTGTGCCAAGAAAACTCTTGTACTAATTTATAACCACAATGCCTCCAAAAGTCTAACCTTGAGGATGTCTGTGAATCACACACACTTCCCAGGGCTGGCAGCCACACAAGAACATGCGGGGGAGAGGGCACGAGGCCGCTGCAGATGCTCGCTCCGGGCCTGCCCCTTGGCACTCTTTGCTGTTCTTTGTCTCTGCCTGGGAGCAGTCAGTCTGGGTCAGGAGTGTGGAGCAGGGGTCTGCAGAGCCAGAAATGAGACACATTGCTTCTGGGCTTCATGGCTGTGGCTGGGTTGCAGGAACTGAGGTAGATTTCTCTCTCAAGAAATTGCTTGAGCATAAAGTTTTTGCTTTCAGCCTCGTCAACCTCTCCTGCCCACCCCAGAGTCTCCCAGATCCTGATGGGCGGGTGCCAATCCCCAGCAAGAAGGATGTCATCCTCCAACAGGAGGAAGGTGTGGACTGTGCTCTGCTTTGTAAGCACACAAGTCTCACAGCAGATTTTAAAGTGCTCCTTAATTTTATTTTATTTTGAGATGGAGTTTTGCTCTTGTTGCCCAGGCTGGAGTGCAATGGTGCTATCTCAGCTCACCGCAACTCCACTTCCCGGGTTCAAGCGATTCTCCTGCCTCAGCCTCCCAAGTAGCTGGGATGACAGGCGCGCGCCACCATGCCTAGATAATTTTGTATTTTTAGTAGAAACGAGGTTTCTCCATGTTGGTCAGGATGATCTCGAACTCCTGACCTCAGGTGATCCGCCCGCCTCGGCCTCCCAAAGTGCTGGGATTACAGGCATGAGCCACTGTGCCCGGCTAGAGCTCCTTGATTTTAAAAAGCCACCTTTTTATTGTTGTTGTTTTAGGATTTTACTTCCAATCACTATTAAGTATAGGCCAGCACTGTCTGGTGAAAAATAATACAAGCACATATGTCATTTTAGGTTTTCTAGAAGCCACATTTTACAAAGTAAAGAGACACAGATGAAATTAATTTTAATAGTATATTTAATTTTTGTACAATATATTCAAAATATTATAATTTCAACATGTCTTCAATATAAAAATAAGATATTTTAGACTCTTAGGAAGGCTATTTAACAGAAGACTGGAATAAAAATGTAAAATTCAGTTCCTCAGTCATGCTGGCCCTATTTCAAGCGTCCAAGAGCCCCAAGTTACTAGGGGCTCTTGTGCTGGCCAGCACAGGTGTGTACAGGTGTTAACAAAGTGGTCAGGTCAATTGAGTAGGCGAGCTTGCAGAATCTTACTTCATTATCCCTGTAGATTAACCATGCCTTTTGTTTTCTGTAGAGAAGCAAAACCCTGGAGGGGGTGCCCCTGCCGGGATTAGTCAATTTCTAGATACAGTAAACAACTCACGAGGCAACCTGCCTTTCAAATGCAAACCGAGCAATTCAGAGCCCCAAACCCCAAACCCCAGCCACCTCCGCTATTGGGCTGTCATACTCCCCTAGCGGTACCAGACCACTAGGGGCAGCCCCCATGGCTGCGGAAATGATTCAGACTAGCCAACCTTGAGTCCGCCTACCTTGCCTCACCCGCTCATCCCCTGGAAACCACGGTAAAGACTGTTGCTCTCGTTTTCTCCTGGCCCCCTCTTCCTCCTGCCCAGCCTGGGGCTTCCTCCTGTGTCCCCTGGTGCGGTGGGCCATGTCTCCTGTTTCTAGAGAATCTGTGAGTATAATAAACTTCTTCCTTCAGCCAGGTGCAGTGGCTCACGTCTGTAATCCCAGCACTTTGGGAAGCCAAGGCAGGAGGATCACTTGAGCTCAGGAGTTCAAGACCAGTCTGGTGGTCTTGAACCTGGTTTCAACATGGTGAATCCCTTCTCTACTAAAAACACAAAAAAATTAGCCAGGCGTGGTGGCACAGGCCTGTAGTCCCAGCTACTGGGTGGGGTGGAGGTGGGAGGATCACCTGGGCCAGGAAACTGGAGGCTGCAGTGAGCTGAGATTGTGTCACTACACTCCAGCCTGGGTGACAAAGTGAGACCCTGTCTCAAAAACAAACAAACAAGCAAACAAAAACAACCAAAAAACCTTTCTTCATAATGAAATCGCCTTTGTAAAATTTGTGACAATGAGAGAAATCTGACAGAAATTATGGCAATGAGAAAAATCTGACCCAAATGACTCCGTCTTGCTTCTAATCTCACAAGCTAACTGCCTTTGCTCCTTCCTGGGTGTAGGCCAAGCTAAACAGGAGAGGAATTTAGTTTATAGTTTCACTTTAAAACAAAGATCATAACTGCCCCTTCCTGAAACTAACCCCCACCTTGCTCAGGGACCAAAATTGCCTTTGTAAAACCAATAAAAAATTAGCAACGAGGATAGAATGGGGTTTAGTAGTTGTGTGGCCAGAGGTCACAAGATTTGTAACCTCCCCCAAACGCTTCTATAGAGAACACCACTTTTGTAAAAACTAAAACTGGCATCTGAGGTACCTTTCAGACCTTGCATTCTGATAGACCAGCTGGCACCACCCGGACCAGTAACCCATACCATGGAACTGGCTCGACTGGTCTTATGACCCCCACCCCGGAATGGACTCAGCACAAGAAGATAGCTTCGACCCCCATGATTTCAGCCTCCAACCTACCAATCAGCACTCCCCATTCCTTGGCTGCCTGCCCACCAAATGATCCCTGAAAAACTCTAGCCTCCAAATTCTTGGGGAGATGGATTTAAGAGCTAACTCTCATTCTTCCACTTGGCTGGCCCTGTGATTATTAAACTGTTTATTTGCTGCAAAAAAACAAAAAAAAAAAAACCAAAAAAAAAAAACCGCTGCTATTCTCAGTGCATTGGCTTTGGCAATTACAATGAGTCATTTCGGTGTCTGTGTGTCTTACCAGACCTGATCAGAACAAATCCCTTAAAACACCTTGTTCTGGAGCTCATCTTCTCTTTCATCTACTGCCCCCCTCAACCCTGGCATTCGCCTTCATATCTCTTCTTTGCTCTGAGGATGAAGCTTCTATTTATTTCAGCTCCTGTTTCCTGAGCAGGGCTACCATGTACTGTTGTGCAGGTTGTACACAGCAGCCAGTTAGGGTTGATCTCCGGACTGATCCTGAGATCCTCCCTGTGGCCATCTCACCTAACTCTATCCCACCATGTAACCCTTCCAGACGCATTTGCAGACCCCATGCCTGTGAAACAGAGGGCAGGATCCTATTCAGGCAGCTGCTTTATCATTGCACTGGGTGGATCCTGCTTCCACAGGGAAGGCAGAAAAGATGTGCTCCTCTACCTCCTCAGCCTCTCTGCCTCCGGTGTTCTCACCTTCACCCCCTCCACCTCCACTCCCATCCCCATTTACACTAGGGAGGAAATGACTGCAATAGCTTAAAGCAGGGTCCTTCCCTGCCGCCCTCCTGCCTGTAATCCAGCAGGGCTCAAAATTTCCAAGATGATTTTCTGGAGTCCAGACTACGTCAATGGTTCTCAAACTTTAAATTGAATTAGAATCACCTGGAGGACTTGTTAAAATGCAGATTACTGCCCCCCCCACCCCCCCCACTGCACCCCACCAAGTTTCTGACTCAGAAAGTCTGAGACAAGCCCTGGGAATCTGCATTTTTACTACATCCCAGGTGATGCTGTTGTCTCAGAGACCATACTTTGAAAACCACTGCTCTAGATGCAGTGCTTCAGGCCTCAGCTGCTACTCGAGGTGCCCCTGAACCCTGTCTTCATTCCGGAAACAAGCCTCTCTGTTCTGCAACGCATGGTGCCTGAGCTTTCTGGGGAGAGATTCTGTTCTGAGGTGGATTATTTTGTTCCCCCTCAGCAGTTCTTACACATTGCTCAATGAAAGCTTGTTGGCCAGGAACAAATATCCAATATTGTTCTATATACGCTGTGGTTTTAAACATTTTTACATTTTTTTTTAGAGACAGGTTCTTGCTTTGTCGCCCACGCTGGAGCAGTGGCACAATCATAGCTCACTGCAGCTTCCACATCCTGGGCTCAAATGATCCTCCCACTTCAGCTTCCAAGTAGCTGAGACTACAGGTGTGCCATCTCACCAGGTTGATTTTTAAAAATTCTTCGTCGAGACAGGATCTTGCTTTGTTGCCCAGGCTGGTCTTGAGCTACTACTGGCTTTGAGCGTCCTCCTGCCTTAGCCTCCCAAAGTGCTGGGATTATAGGTGTGAGCCACCATACCTAGCCGTCTGTGTTGTTTTTCATTTGTTTGTTTTTTGTTTGTTTGTTTTTGAGACAAAGTCTCACTCTTGTCCCCCAGGCTGGAGTGCAATGGCACGATCTCGGCTCACTGCAACCTCCGCCTCCCAGGTTCAAGCGATTCTCCTGCCTCAGTCTCCCGAGTAGCTGGGATTACAGGTGCCTGCCACCACGCCCCGTTAATTTTTGTATTTTTAGTAGAGACAGGGTTTCACCATGTTGGCCAGGCTGGTCTCGAGCTCCTGACCTCAGGTGATCCACCCTCCTTGGTCTCCCAAAGTGCTGGGATTACAGGCATCAGCCACCGTGCCTGGCCGCTGTCTGTGTTTTTGACACTGAAGTGATGGTGGTAATTTTCAAAGCTCTACAGAAATACTCATTAAATTCCCCCTACCCTCAGCTGAGTGAGACTAGGGTTCTGATTCTAGGACAAATAAGGATCTTTGGGGCTCATTGCTATGAGCTATAAATGTCCCAGGGAGAAAAATCAAGTAGGGTCTTATTTTAGAGAAACCTATCTCTGCCTGGCTCTCTCTCCTTTCCCACTTGATAAAGATATTGGCTTTTCAGAACTCCCAGCTCAGCTTCTGAAAGCCACAGTGGTATGAGTGGAGCACTGAAAAGAAAAGCAGGAACCCCTCCCCCACTTGGTGCCAGCTTTCCTTGGAGAGCGGGGAAGCATCATTAAATGACAGCAAGTTGAAAATTGTCAGCGAGATAGGCTATTTGCATGCGACATTGAAACCTCTATGCAATCGTCATTTCCGAGTTGTGACTGCCTGTCTGCAAGGACACATTGGATGGTTCCCAGATCACTGCAGCCTCCAAAATTGGACCTGGTTTTATGAGCTGACGTCTGGATATGATGTCTCCTGGGAAAGTGGGGGTGGAGGAGAGAGAAGATTTTAAAGAGCTCCTTAAATTAAAACCCAAAGCATCTCCAGTCTGCACAGTGAGAACTGCGTCAGCCAGGCACACTTTCTCTTTGCACAGCCTGTAAATGATGCTGAGAGATGGTCTCCCGGACTGCCTGTCATTTAACTCTTTCTGCACTGGGGGACAGGGCAATCTTCTGGAGCCAAACTGTATGATGCAGCAGGGAGCTCAGAGCACATTTTGAATCAGAGTTTCTGATCCCTAGAATCACTCGATGAACTTTTAATTTTTTATCTATCTATTATCTATCTATCTATTTATTTTATACCCCAATTTTGTGATTCCAATGAGCTTTAAAAAGTTACCCATACCTGGGCCTCCTCCTCAGATCAATTAAATCAAAATTTCTGAGATTGGAGCCTGGGCATTAGTAATTTTTACCTCGCCTGCATTTTAGGTAACTCAAATGTGCAGCCATTATTGAACCCCATTGCTTAAAGTCTTTCTGTTTCTTACTGGCTGGGTGATATTGGGAGGTTGTTTAGCTGCTTTCCCTATTGATTCAATGTGGTGACTGTTATTTGCCTCCCAGAATTGTCGTGAGTAGCATAGGAGGTATAAAGAGCTTAGCACAGTAGAGGGCTCACAGTAAGTGCTCAATAAACGGTGTATTCTATTTGAGCTTAGGTTAGCAATTGAGGGAAGACCTGGAGCCTAGAAATATAGTGGAAAATAAAATTGAAAACAAAGTCTAAGGAAGTGTAATGGCAAGCTATGGATTAGGAGAAAATATTTATAATACATATATGTGATTAAAAAAAAACCTGGTACCCAGAATATAGAAAGAATCCCTATAAATCAGGGATAAAAGGATAAACAACATAGGGTCAAAAGACTTAAGATACCTCAGAAAAGACATGAGATTATCCAATAAGTGCATGCAAAGATGTTTAACATCACTAGTTGTGAGGGAAATGCAAATTAAAATCACGAGAGATCACACCCATTGTAACAGCTGAAATTCGAAAGACTGACAATATCAAGTATTGGTTACAACACGAGTGTAATTCAAGTCAGTTATTCCTATGAATGATTGGAATGCTTATTCATCATGGGTAGAAGCGTAAAATGGTACAATCACTTTGTCAAGCTGTTCAGTAGCTTCTCATAAAGCATATACAATGTCTTTGAGAAGTTCATGAAAAATGCATATTATGAAAAAACTATGCATGGATTTCAAAAAAATTTTGCCGCCAAATAAACTCATACTAATTTGTTGTAACTTGTCTGAACAGGATCTAGTTTGAGGCATTTAGAAGGATAAGACATCAGTTTGGAAATAGTCCCTATTAGAGCAACATCAATTCTGTTAAAATTGAAGCAAGAACAAACATCAAATTGATGATGAGTCTTAGGTGGCAGAATGGTGAAATCACTGATGTTTCATGAAAAATTTATGGGGGCAGTATCCTCAAATAAATCAGTTTACAAATATATAACTAATATAAGAAGGGACAAGATGATGTTGAATATAAAGCCTGGAACAGCAGACAATCCACATAAATTTGTGAGGGAAAAATTCATCTTGTTTGTGTCCTGATTGCAGAGGATTGATGATTAATAGTACAAACAATAGCCAAGACCATTGACATCTCAATTGGCCCAATGTGCACAATTCTGACTGAAATTAAAGTTGAGCAAACTTTCCACTAGATGAGTGCCAAAACCGTTGTTCCCAGATCAGCTGCAGACAAGAGCAAAATGTTCAATGGGAATATAAAACAAGCGGGATCAAGGCCGTGAAGCATTTTTTTCAAAGAATTGTAACAGGAGATGAAACGTGGCTCTACCAGTACAATCCTGAAAACAAAGCACAATCAAAGCAATGGCTGCTAAGGATGGAAGTGGTCTAGTCAAAGCAAAAGCAGACAGGTCAAGAGCAAAGGATATGGCAAGAGTTTTTTGGGCAGCTCAAAGACTTTACTTAGTGACTTCCTGGAGAGCCAAAGAATGACAACATCTGCTTATTGTAATAGTATTTTGAGAAAGCCAAAGCTTTAGCAGAAAAACACCTGGAAAATCTCCACTACAGAGTCCTTCTCCACTACACCAATGCTCCTGCTCCTTCCTCTTATAAAACTAGGGCAATTTTGTGACAGTTTCAATGGGATATCATTAGGCATCCACTTTAGAGTCCTGATTTGGTTCTTCTGAACTTTTTCTTTCCTAATCGAAAAATCTTTAAAGGGCATCCATTTTTCCTCAGTTAATAATGTCAAAAAGACTGCATTGACATGGTTAAATTCCCAAGACCTTCAGTTCTTTAGGAATGGACTAAATTGCTGGTATCATCACTCTCAAAATTGTCTTGAATTTGATGGAGTTTATGTTGAGAGATAAAGTTTGTTATTTTAAAAATCTTTTAATTACCATTTTTCTGTGGACTTTTTGAAGTCCTTTTGTATTTAAAATGTAACTCAATCCCAACCCAAGAAAAATGAAAACATATGTCTATAAAATAACTTGTACTTGAATGTTTATAGCTGCTTTATTTATTACAGGCAAAAACTGGAAACAACTCAGATGTTTATCAGTTGATGAAAGAATTAACAATTTGTGGTGTGCTGCTACTCAGCATTAAAAATGAATGAACTACTTATACAACAACGTGAATAAATATCAAACACATTATGCTATGAAAAAAAAAAGCCAGATACTGAAGAGTTTATTCTGTATGGTTTTTATTTATGTGACATCCAAAGTAAACAAATCTTATCTATGTGATAGAAAACAAATCAATGGTTGTCTGAGGGGATGGGTGGGATTAACCAGAAAGAGGCATATAAAATGTTCCTATGGATTGTGATGTTCTGTTTCTTGTTGTTGGTGATATATACATGGGTTGTGAATTTGTCAAAATCCTTCAGCCTATACAATTAAATCTGTGCATTTATAAATTATACATCAATAAGAAAGAGTGTTTAGGGAAAATAAATAAAATCTCATACCAGAGATTTTCAGTGGTTGGGTACAAAGAATGGATATAAGAAGGTACTTGGCTGTCAAGTTCACTGCCAGCTGCTTCTGCCTGAATAATTGGAAGTGTCTGTGCCTGAAAGAAGGCGTGAAGTATATTTATATACTTCATATAAATATAAAATATAATTATATAACTTTATATATAGTGTAATGTTAATCAAGGATGCCCTCCTCAGAGGAGTATGATCTACTTTTTACTCATGTAGTCTTCTTGCCAGGTTAAGAAGCTTTCCATTCTCCAAGGTTTGTGCAAATAAAGTCTTTCGACAGGGTAAAACCATTCCATGTGGATTTTCAAGTTGTATTTTTATCAGTCTAACCTCAGAACATGACATTGTGTTGTCTTGTCTTAACCTAGCCAGTACTCAGGAGCAAACCAAAAGGTTCCAGCTTGCTAAAGACTGGACAGTTTGAGCATTGCTGAGGATGATGACTATAGTAGACTGAAGCTGTCAATAATGTTTAAATGCGTGAGTGTATAATATTAAAATAGCAAGGACAACAAAAATAATTAAATTAGTCACCACTGGAGGATGCTGGGGGAACTAAGCCATTCTTTTGAAAACTGGTAAATAACAGGAAAGAATTAAGTATTTATTCTGGCTTGTCTTTTTTTGTTGTTGTTGTTTTTTTTTTTGAGACGGAGTCTCACTCTGTCGCCAGGGCTGGAGTACAATGATGCCATCTTGGCTCACTGCAACCTCCGCCTCCCAGGTTCAAGCGATTCTCCTGCCTCAGTATCCCAAGTAGCTGGGATTACAGGTGCCCACCACTATGCCCCGCTAATTTTTTTTTTTTTTGTATTTTTAGTAGAGACGGGGTTTCACCATATTGGCCAGGTTGGTTTCGAACTCCTGACCTCAGATATCCGCCCGTCTCGGCCTCCCAAAGTGCTGGGATTACAGGCATGAGCCACCATGCCCTGCCTAAAACTATTTTCTTTTCTTTTTTTCTTTTTTTTTTTTTGAGATGGAGTTTCGCTCTTGTTGCCCAAGCTGGAGTGCAATGATGCGATCTCGGCTCACTGCAACCTCCGCCTCCCGGTTTGAAGGGATTCTTCTGCCTCAGCCTCCCCAGTAGCTGGGATTACAGACGCCAGCCACCACGCCTGGCTAATTTTTGTATTTTTAGTGGAGATGGGGTTTCACCATGTTGGCCAGGCTGGTCTCGAATGCCTGACCTCAGGTGATCCGCCTGCCTCGGCCTCCCAAGGTGCTGGGATTACAGGCATGAGCCACCGTGCCCGGCCCTTCTTCTTTTTTTTTTTTTTTTTTTTTTTCTGAGACAGAGTCTTGCTCCGTTGCCTAGGCTGGAGTGCAGTGGCGTGATCTCGGCTCACTGCAACCTCCGCCTACCGGGTCCAAGTGATTCTCCCACCTCAGCCTTCCCAGTAGCTGGGACTACAAGCACGCGCCACCACACCCAGCTAATTTTTGTATTTTTAGTAGAGATGAGGTTTCGTCATGTTGGCCAGGCTGGTTTTGAACTCCTGACCTCAGGTGATCCACCCACCTTGGCATCCCAAAGTGCTGGGATTACAGGCCTGAGCCACCGTGCCCAGCCCTGTCTTGTCTTTAACTGTATCACTAGGTAAAACAGTAGAAGATGAGGAGCTTACATTTATTGAAGGATTCCAGCCATTACATGAAGAAACAGTGGATTTTGAATATCACAATTTTAGATCTAGGCATTGAGCATGATAAGCCAATAGTATCACAGAAGGAAAGACAGCCAAACATTATGTGCATCTTGATGGAGGCACACGCTATCATCTATCAAGTATTCTTGGCAAAAATATCTAGCCTGAATCTGATCAAGCGTATAGATCTAACTACCAATACAGATGACAGAGGCACTTATCAAATGACACCCATGGGATGCAATCAGCAAAATCTAGATTTTATAAATATAAGCAAGTATATGAAGTTTATGATGACTACCCATTAAGCTAAGCTGTACAAGCTCTAATCTTTAGCATATGGACATCATCTAGTACAATAGCACCATACAATCACTGATCATACATAGCACATGTAGGTCAAATAATTTCTCATCAACATTCTTTATTTTTTTTATTTTTATTTTTTGAGATGGAGTTTCACTCTTGCTGCCCAGGCTGGAGTGCAATGGCGCGATCTTGACTCACTGCAACCTCCGCCTCCTGGGTTCAAGCAATTCTCCTGCCTCAGCCTCCCAAGTAGCTGGGATTACAGGCATGTGCGACCATGCCCAGCTAATTTTGTATTTTTAGTAGAGATGGGGTTTCATCATGTTAGTCAGGCTGGTCTTGAACTCCTGACCTCAGGTGATCCACCTGCCTTGGCCTCCCAAAGTGCTGGGATTACAAGCATGAGCCACCATGCTCGGCTTCTCATCAACATTCTTATCACCCCCAAATAAATTCCTTGACTACCAAGGTTGTTGTTCGAGAAACCAACAACCCACATGGGAAGTATGCCCCTCCTAACTCTGGGCCATAAAACTTTGGGGTTTCTAGACTGAAACTATACCTAGTGTCTGGCTCTTACTTCAAGGCTATATTAATAACACTATGATCACCAACTCGTTCCCCTTAAATAAGACATCTTGATGGACTAGTGACTATCTGCTTCATGATCACTCACGGATGATCTATATAACTATAAAACAAACAATTTGTTTTTTTAACAAATGAATTGTAAGAAAAAAAGACATAATTGGAAATCTATGCATTAAGAGATGTTAAAGACATATGAACCAATTGCAATATATAGACTATTTGAATCCCAATTCAAACAAGCTATAGGAAAAAAGTTACAATAACATGTATGACATAATTGGAATTCTGGGTATTTACTAGTTATTTTTAATTGATTCTTAGGTGTGATACTGTATTTATATATGTGAAAGGAGCCCTTATATCTTCTTGAGATAGGTACTGAAAGATTTACAGATGAAATATGATATCTGGGCTATGCTTCAAAATAGTGTGGGAGGAGCAAATGGATGGGGATGTAAACTTGGCCATGAGTTGAGACACATTCCTCCTGTTTAAGCTGGTGAGTAGTACAGAGGGATTCATTAAAGTCATTGATCTACTCTTGCCTATATTGGAAGCTTCCGTAATTAAAAATTTTAAAAAAAGGAAAGGGACAAATTGTAATAACAATATTACCCTGTTGGAGTATGAATGTTATGAATGCTTGTTAGTTTTCAACATTGATAGAAAAAAAAGCATCAATATCATTGTAAAAATGTAAGTGTAACATCAGATAAATAAAAATAAGATATATAATTTTCTAATAATTAGGAGAGGAAAAGATTTAAGATCTTTGAAATTCATTAAAAGGAAGAAGGGAAATACAGAAACAACACAATGGGAAAGTTTTCTTGTGCTTAGTTAATCCAAGTGATTCCCTTTGTTTAAAGGAAACCCTATGTGTTTATAAATGCATAGAAGAAAAAAATAGAAGCTCAGATGCTTAACTCCGAGGAGGTTATTGGGATTTCTGTGGGAATAAAGGCAGACTCTCATCTTATTTTACCTACTTGTATGATGGATAACTTTAGGTGTCAACTTGATTGAATTAAGGAATATCTAGATAGCTGGTAAAGCATTATTTTGGGGTGTGTATGTGACGGTGTTTCCGGAGGAGATTGGTGCATTAGTTGGTGGACTGTGTGGGGAAGATCCCTCTTAATGTGGGTTGCACAATCCAATTGACTAGGGTCATGGATACACCAAAAAGCCAAAAGAAAGGCAAATTTACTCTCTTCCTCCTGGAACTGGGGCACCCTCTTCTCTTGGTCTCAGACATCAGAACTCCAGGTACTCCAGACTTTGGACTTTGGAACTTGAATCAGCAGTCCTCCCCCTTCAGGTCATTAAACCTTTGGCCTCAGACTAAGAGTTACACCCCCAGCTTCCCTGGTTCTGAGTCCTTTGGACTTGGACTGAGCCACGCTACTGGCATCCCTGGGTTTCCAGCTTGCAGACAGCCTGTTGCAGGATTTCTCAGCCACCATAATCATATAAGCCAATTACCCTAATAAATGCCTCTTCATCTAAGTATGTATGTATGTATGTATGTATGTATGTATCTATCTATCTATCTATCTATCTATCTATTTATCAATCCTTTCAATCCTCTATTCATCCATCCATCCATTCTATTGTTTCTGTCTCTCTGGAGAACTCTGACTAATACAACTTGATATCACTTAAATTTTTAATATAAAGCTTTGAAACTTTATTAAAATACCACAAAAAGAGATTATAAATTTTAGTCATACATAGGGACTGGTTGGCCCTGAATTTCAAACTCAATTTTCTGGAGTAGGGCCCATGTACCACTTTTTACCTCTACTCCGGTGATTCTGTGGAAGTAAACCAGCAATCACACTACAAGAAACCAAGTTGAGGGGTCACAGAACTTGGCAAGGCTGAGAAGAAGGGTTAGTGGAAATGAGGGAGCAGCAAAAGTGACTGGGTGGCTATTGTGATAGGTAGAGAGAATAATCCTTTTTATTAGACGGAGTTTGACTCTTGTTGCCCAGGCTGGAGGGCAATGGCCGATCTTGGCTCACTGCAACCTCTGCCTTCCAGGTTCAAATGACTCTCCTGCCTCAGCCTCCCAAGTAGCTGGGATTACAGGCACCCACCACCATGCCCAGCTAATATTTGCATTTTTAGTAGAGACGGGGTTTCACCATGTTGGCCAGGCTGGTCTCGAACTCCTGACTTCAGGTAATCTGCCCGTCTTGGCCTCCCAAAGTTCTGGGATCACCAGGCATGAGCCACCGCACCTGGCCTGAGATTAACATTTAAATGGGTAGACTGAGTAAAACAGATTGCCCTCCTTAATGTGGATGGGCCTCATCCAATCAGTTAGTGGCCTGAATAGAACAAAAAGACTGACCCTTCCCTTTGTGAGAGGGAATTTTTCCTCTTCAGATTCAAACTGAAACATTGGCTCTTCTTGAATTTTGAGCCTTGCTGGCCTTCAGGAACTACACCATCAGCTCTCCTCGTTCTCAGGTCTTTGAACTCAGGCTGGACCTACATCATCAGCCCTTCTGGGTCTCTAGCTTGTTGACTCACCCTGCAGATCTTGGGACTTTCTAGCCTCTATAGTTATGTGAGCTAATTCTTTTTTTTAATCCTGCGGGAGAGGAGGAAGTTGCACCATTCCTGGAGGTACTGCAATACCAGGTTACTGCATGGAGTAGATGGAACAAGCTCCTATTGTATCTCCCTTCTCCAAAAATTTATTTTATATATTATGCCCAAATAGAGGACACATCAGATATTAAACTGATAAGAATAGTGATATGATTTGGCTGTGTCTGCACCCAAATCTCATCTTGAATTGTAGCTCCCATAATTCCCATGTGTTGTGAGAGGGACCCAGTGGGAGGTAACTGAATCATGGGGGTGGGTCTTTCCCATGCTGTTCTTGTGATAGTGAGTAAGTCTCATGAGATTTTATGGTTTTATAAAAGGGAGTTCCTACACAAGCTCCCTTGCCTGCCACCATGTAAAACGTGACTTTGCTCCTCCTTTGTCTTCCATCATGATTGTGAGGCCTCCCCAGCCATGTGGAACTGTGAGTCAATTAAACTTCTTTCCTTTATAAATTACCCACTTCTCAAGTATGTCTTTATTAGCAGCATAAGAACAGATCAATACAATAGATACTACACTTAATCCTAGGCAAAAGGCCAAGTGAGGCTAAGACTTTATAATAAATCACCCCCTACCCTGATTCTGATGGGTTCTATTTTTCTGGAGAACCCTGACTAACAGATTTTGGTACCAAGGAATGAGACGCTGCTGTAACAAGTACCTAAACATGTGGATTGGCTTTGGAACTGGGTGATGGGTGATGAGCAGATGTTGGAAGAGATTTGAGGTGCCTGCTAGAAAAAGCCTAGATTGCCTTGAAAGAACTATTGGTAGAGATATGAATGGTAATGGTGATTCTAGTGCGTTCTCAGAGGCAAAGAAGGAACACACTATTGGAAACTGGATGAAAGGCCATCTTTGTTATAAAGTGGCAAAGTATCTTGGCTGAATTGTGTTGTAGTTTTTGTGGAAGGTACCACTTGTGAGTGACAACATTGAATATTTAGCTGAGGAGGTTTATAAATAAAGGGTTGAAGGTGCATTCTGGATTCTCCTTACTATTTATAATAACAGATAAGAGGAGAGAAATTAATTAAATAAATTGTTAAGTAAAAAGCAACTAGAACTTGAAGATTTGGAAAATTCTCAGCCTATCCATACTGCAAAAAAAATGAGAAAGCATGTTCTGGAGCAAACACCAAGGGTGTGGCTTGACAATCACTCCATCAGGAGATTACCCATGGAGTCAATCAGCCATCTCAGCAGAAACCAGGAATAGAGATGGGCATATACAAGAAGAGACACTGCCAGTTTGGACCAAGGAGAATGGAGCTGGGACAAAAACAAAGGAAGGCTTTCAGACTTCTGGGATTCTACAATATGGCAGAATAGAACTATTTGTCTTTATCCTTCAAGAAAAGAGCAGAATGACCCTGAAGTTGATTCAGAGATCATCAGGTCTGCCACTCCCACCACAGGCTGAGGAGGCAAGGCTGTTTCCTCCTTGGTTTCACAGAGTGGGGCCCCTTCTTGGTTTTTGTAGGCCAGGCTGCATGCACCCAGGGCCTCAAGGGCAGGACCTTTGTAAAGAGTTGAGGGGGCAACATGGCAGTGATGCTGCTGCCTCAGTGGGTCAGAAGGCAGAGTTTCCAATCAAAGGGGATTATTCTTGAGCTTTATAATCATGGAATTTGACTTGCTAGGCTTTGGACTTTCTTGGGAACCTGTCACTCCTTTCTCCTTTCCACCTTCTCCCTTTTGGAAGGGGGTGTCTATTCTGTGCTTGTCCCGCCACTGTATTTTGGAAACACATAACTTGTCTAGTTTCTCAGGTTCAAAACTGGAGAGGAACTTTGCCTCAGGATGAATCATACCTCAAGTCTCACCCATACCGGATTTAGGTAATATTTAGATGAGATATTGGACTTTAGAACTGATGCTGGAATGGGTTAAGACTTCTGGGGCTGTTGAGGTGGGGGTGAACGTATTTTGCATGTGAGGAGGACATGGATTGGGGGCGCCAGAGAGTGGATGTTATGGACTGAATTGGGTCTTCCTCAAAGTCCTATGTTGAAGCCCTAATCGCCAATGTGACTATTTTTGGAGCTAGGATATTTAAGGAAGCAATTAAGGCTAAATGAGGTCATGAGCATGGAGCCCTACTCCGGTAGGTCTGGTCTCCTTATTGGAAGAAGAGAAGTCAGGGATCTCTCTTTCCTCCATGTGCACATAGATGAAAGGCCACATGAGGACACAGAGAGAAGGTGGCTGACTACAAGCCAGGAAGGGCAGGTTCACCAGGAAACAAATTTGCGGGCACCTTGATGATAGACTTCCAGCCTCCAGAACTATAAGAAAATTAATTTCTGTTGTTAAATTCACTCATTCTGTGGTATTTTGTTATAGCAGCCCTAGCTGACTAATACAGTTTTTAAGGTTTTTGTTTTGTTTTCCTTTAAATAAAAAGTCTGAGGTCAAAATATTTTCATAAGTAATTGAGTTTGGGCCCTCCTCTGTACTTGCTCTGGCATCAAAATTTGGAGTGTTTCTTTTTTTTTTTTTTTTTAGCTTTACTGAGATGTAATAAACAATAAACTACATAAATTTAAGGTATATAATTTGATACATTTTGATATACGTATATACTCATGAAACCATCACTATAGCTTGGCTGACTTATAAACAAATCAAAGTACAGTACCTGGCCCTTTAAACACACATACGCACACACACATTCACCTGTAGTGCACACACACTCCAATGCTATATGGCTATACACATAGTAGGAAGGACTAAGCTGGTCAGAATTTACATTCAGAGAAATAGCATGTAGGACACACAGTACTCAAAGGTTTGCTAGCTTGTCTGTTTTATTATAATAAACTTTTTTCTTTTTGAGACTGGATCTCACTCTGTTGCCCACGCTGGAGTGCAGTGGTGTGATCTCAGCTCACTATAACCTCTGCCTCCCGGGCTCAAGTGATCCTCCTGCCTCAGCCTCCCAGGTAGCTGGGACTACAGGCATGCACCACCACACCTGGCTAATTTTTGTATTTTTTGTAGAGATGGGGTTTCATCATGTTGCCCAGGCTATTCTCAAACTCCTGGCCTCAAGTGATCCACCTGCCTCGGCCTCCCAAAGTGCTTGGATTACAGGTGTGAGCCAAATAGACTTTTAATTTTATTATAGTTTTAGATTTACCGAAAAGTTGCAAAGATAGTATAGAGAGTTCCTGTTTTCTGTATACGCAACACCAAGTTTCCCCTATTGTTAGCATTTTACATTACTTTGGTAGATTTGTCATAATTAATGATCCAATACTGATACATTATTATTAAATAAAGCTCTCATTTAATTCCAGTTTCCTTACTTTGAACTTAATGTGCTTTTTCTGTCCCAGGATCCCATTTGGGATACTGCATAACAATTAGTCATCATGTCTCCTTAGACTCTTCTTGGCTGTGGCATTTCCCCGACTTCCTTTCTTTTTCATGACCTTGACATTTTTTAGGAGTATTGACAAAGTATTTTCTAAAATGTGCTTCAATTTGGGCTTGTTTATAGTTTGTGCTTCCTTTATAGTTTGACTTGCATTATGGGTTTTTGAGAGGAAGACCACAGAAGTGAAATGCCATTCTTGACACATTGCATCAAGGTATAAACTATCGACATGACATCACTGATGATCTTAAACTTGATTATCAGAGGTGTTTTATACCACATAAAATTACCCAGAATATATTTCCAGAAGAGATTCTTACACATATTTATTAGCAGTGTGTAGTGCCTTTTTTTTTAATAAGACAAAAGTAAATTTAAATATTTCATTAAGTTTGACGGAGGTGCAAACACTCTGTGGCTTCACAGAGCTGAGGGAAAAGACAGAACAGCAGCAGCCCAGGGCTCAGGGCAGGAGCTCAAACTGATCTGAGCTGTTTCCCGTAAGTGTATGTTCTCTTCCCTGATAAGATCATAAAACCCTGCAAGGTGGGGATCGTGCCTTCGGATTGGTTTGTCTGCACCTCAGCATTAATCCTAAGCTGCTCAGCATCCTACATATAGTAGGTGACGGAAGTATGCCTGCTAAGTAGCTGAGCAGGTGCTTAACTACTGGTCTGGGATGAGAGAGCCCTGTCTCCTATCCTGGCTTCCTCCTGGAGATTCCTCTCTGTGCTGTCCAGCACATCTCCACCAGCAGGGGCTCTCAGGGGGAGGGTGAGAAAGAACCCACAACAGGATGGAGGTTTTGACTGGGTAATTCAAGGGAGGGTCAAGGATATGGGGCTTTGCTGTGGCTTGAATGTTACCAGGAAGTGGAGGAATTATATGATGGGGAATCTCAATAAATCTTATCTATAGAAAGGACAGACTGAAGTGAAGCTAAAGATGTAATTGGTAAAGAAACAGAAGTCACTCATAGCTGAGAGAAAGAGAGGATTTTTGGGTTGCACAGTGATATTGTTTGGGTGTTTGTCCCCTCCAGATCTCCAAATCTCATGTTGAAATGTTGGAGGTGGGGCTGGTGGGAGGTGTTTGGGTCATGGGAGTGGATCCCTCATGAATGTCTTGGTGCTGGCTTCCCAGTAATGAGTGGTTCTCACTCTCAGTACATGTGAGATCTGGTTGTTTAAAAATGTGTGGCATCTCCTTTTGCTCGCACTCTCCTAGCGATGCACTGGCACCCTCTTCACCTTTTACCATGATTGTAAGCTCCCTGAGGCCCTCGCCAGAAGCGGATGCCAGCAGCACACTTCCTGTACAGCCTGTGGAACTGTGAGCCAAAATAAAGCCTCTTTTCTTGATAAATTACCCAGTCTCAGGTATTCCTTTATAGCAATGCAAGAACGGCCTAACACACAGTGACCTTGCTTTTGTCCCACTGTAACATGGCATCAGAATGACCTTGTCTGATGTTGGTGTTCTGTGAGGTCCTTTATGTCCAACAGGAGAACAGTGTGGTCCAGTTGTGAGTGTCAAAGGAGCTTCTAACAACCCAGGGGCCAGCTGTGAGCATCAGACCAGTGGGTGGGTGCTGGGCTGCTTTTGTTTCTTGGTCTCTTGGGTGCTCTTTTTCTTTTCCAAGAGCTTTACATGATTTATCTCCATGAGTCCTTACAACTGCCTTATAACATAGGCATTTGTCTTAGTGTGGGCTTTCTAGAATGCAGAACCTGAGACAAGGATGTGACTAGAGCTTGTCTATGGGAAAGTGACGCCAGGAAGCAGGAGGGAGGAAGCAGAGAGTGAGATAGAGAAGGAGGGGAATCACTCCAGATCCTGCTGTGAAGGTTGCTGCTGTAGGCAAGAGACGCTGGCCTCCTGGGACTCTAAGGAGCACTCAGAGAGCCCACAGAGTCTGTGGCAAAGAAGAACTCACAACTTCCTTCACCCATGTCGGGTTGCCAAGAAAGCTCCCATGGCCTCTTTTGCTGGCAGCTTAGAGACTGGTTCCCATTGTTTTTCACCCCACACACACCTGCTGATCATCAGTGGTATCAAACAACACTGGCTACTTGGCCTTGGGCTAATGGTTTTTATCCCTCTGGAATTTATTTACCTTTCTATTTTAGGTCCCAAATGCCCAGATGTCATAGGCCATGTCTGTGCCTGTCATGAGTGTCACGGGGAAAGAATCTCACTGAATGACCCTGCAACTGAGTCAAGTTTCCTGGGTTGGGTCAAAAAATGAGTGGACAGAGATCGACACCAGGAGAGCTATTTTCCATGCAATGGAGCTGACTACGTATCAATTTTTACACTTGGATGTATCTTGTTATGTTTTTCAAGGTGTGTCTATTTCATTAGTAGCTTAAGGTAAATGACTGCATATTTGTTCTTTCCTCTCTATCCCCCACAATATGACTGATAGTGAGACATGGGTACGTGTGGGTGAGAAGAGAGGTGGTAGCCCTCTGTATCATGGTCATTGGCCAAGAAGTTGAACAGGGATGGATTATGTCATGCACTGGGCTTGGACTTGGGCAGCTAGCTGATAAAGGGGAAAACTGATGGGCTGAGCAAAGAGGGTTGCTGAAGGAAAGCCCACAAACTTAGAGGATGATGTGTAAAGCTCTGCAAGCCCAAGGGGCTGAGCTCAGAATCTGAGATCAAGAAGGAGATAATAGAAAAACATGAAGGGTTCCAGCTGGCAGCTGGACTCAGAATCCAGGAGCACCCCAAAGACAGTCAACCATGAGCAGCATAAAGGAATGGGGGCCTGTGCATAGGCCCAGGGCAGAGGACCCCTCATTCATGCTCCCTCCTTTGCAGGGGTAGGGACAGGCTGTCAGGCATGCGCCTGTAACCAGAGGCAGAATTCTGGGCACGTTCTTGACTGTCACAGAGGAGGCAGGGCTGGGCGTGAGGCTCTACAGGCCTTTGATCTTCTTGGCTTCTCCCTTTCTTGGTCACCTTAGTCGGGCTGTCACTTCAGAGAGACCTCACCAGGGTAGAAGCTCGTCTTAGGTAGTTCACTGCTGGATGGTGAATGGAATTCACAAGAAGGCAGCTGGTAAGGACATGTAGCTGGTAGAAGCAGAGTGTAGGGGTCAGGGGATGGAGAGATCTAGACGCTGGTGCCCCGTTGTGCTCCAGAAACCATTTTTGCTGATCTTCCAAGGCTCAGCTGCCCAATGTCCATTAGAGCTCAGAGCCAAAGAGCCTTGGCAGTTTCAGCAGTAGTAATGGTATTGAAGAGATGGAGTCAATGCAAAAAAGTAAATTGCTGGCACGCTTACTAACATTCCCGTTAAAGAATCTGGAAAAGCACAAGAGCTGCTGAAGCAGTTGAATACTTTGTAATAGATTTTAAAGAAAAGGGAATCAGAGATTGAAGACTGGTGGAGCTGCCCCAGGCAAATGTGCAGCTTTTGTCTTCAGTTTAGCCCTTCTTGCTGAGGCCCCATTCCTTGTGCAGATCTCTCCCATCCACTAGTCTCAGCGATGTTAGCAAAGGTGGATTGAGCACCTACTGTGTATGAGGCATGCATGCAGGCAGTGAAGATGCAAAGAAAGAAGTGAGAACATCCCAGCCCAGGCAGATGGGCGTCACAGGCAAGGTGTCAATATCCCTTTTACAAAGGAGCCTGGACTAGGGATGGGTGAGGGACTGGGACACTGAAGCTGTCTCTCTACTATCCTTGTTGTGACAGATGGAAGAGTGTTAGTTCTTTAATTTCAGTGCCGCTTTTGATTGACAGCTCCCATCATGTGACTGCCTTTTCTGGTCACGGCAGCACATTGGGCATGGTTCTTCATGACGGTCCAAGACATTGTTAGGAGCGTCGATTCAGGAATACTGGGCAACTTGCTAGTCCTCTCCAGCCCGCAGTTTCTTTATCTGTGAAATGAGGCAGTTGAACTTTTGTGTGGACATTTATCAAAGACCTTCTAAAAACTAAGTAGAGCAGTGCTCCCCATATGCTAGTGTGCACTTGATCACCTGTGCATCTTGTTAAAATGCAGATTCTGGTTCAGTAGGTCTGGGTGGGGCCTGAGAGTCTGCATTTTGCACAAGCTCCCAGGTGCTGCTGGTGCTGCTGGCCCATGGACCACATTCTGGGTAGCAAGAAAGAAGATCACATCACATGGTGTAAAGAGAAGATCTAAGGTTTTCTGTCACATAGCCCTGGGTTTGAAGTCCAGTGCTGATATTGTGCAGGCTTGGGCAGGTTTCTTAGCTTCTTTGGGCCTCAGTTTCCTCATTTGTAAAATGGGGGCAATACGACCCTACTTGCATGGTGGGGATAAGGGATAAATTAGAGAATGCTTATGAAATGGGTTGTATAATGTTCATATGTAGCAACTACTCAATAATTGACAAGCTCTGCCTGTACCTACTTTCCAGAAAGCCCTCGGTGCCTAACCCCCACCACCACCAAACAAAGACCACCTACTTTCTCAGGACTCTCAGGGGAAAATTGCTGGGGCTGGGTGCATAGGGGGTTGGCATTACATCACTGGGGCTGCTGCAGAGAGGCAGGATCTGCCTGATGCTCCTTTAGATTAAATGTCCCCATTGTGTCCAGGGTCTACCTTCTCGAGTGTAAAATGACGCACATTGCCATGGTGCTCATGCAAGTGACCCTCACTGTCTATAACCCGTGAACCCTCAGGAGGCCTCTCACACACAGGCGCGGGAACAACAACTACTTCTGTGCCCACACTCTGACCACTGCTTTCCAGTGTGATTCCTGAATGTCGTCATTACTTGTAGGTAAGCCTCATACAGTGATGTGCCTGTGGCTAATTTGTCAATTTGTTTTAAATATATTCCAGCAGGACCAATTTCTTTCTCTCTCTTTCTTTCTTCCTTCCTTCCTTCCTTCCTTCCTTCCTTTCTTTCTTTTTTTTCTTCCTCCCTTCCCCCTTCCCCTCTTTCTTTCTTTCTTTCTTTCTTTCTCTCTCTCTCTCTTTCTCTCCCTCCCTTCCTTCCTTCCCTCCCTCCCTCCTTTCTTTCTTTCTCTCTCTCCCTCCCTCCCTCCCTCCTTTCTTTCTTTCTTTCTTTCTTTCTTTCTTTCTTTCTTTCTTTCTTTCTTTCTTTCTCTCTCTCTCTCTCTCTCTTTCTTTCTTTCTTTCTGTCTTGTTTCTTTCTTCAGCGTTTTGCTCTTGTCACCCAGGCTAGGGTGCAGTGGTGCAGTCTTGGCTCACTGCAACCTCTGCCTCCTGGGTTCAAGCAATTCTCCCACCTCAGCCTCCTGAGTAGCTGGGATTACAGGTGCCTGCCACCACGTCCGTCTAATTTTTGTATTTTTAGTAGAGGCGGGGTTTCACCATGTTGGCCAGGCTGGTCTCAAACTCCTGACTTCAGGTGGTCCACTTGCCTTACCCTCCCAAAGTGCTGTGTTTACAGGTGTGAGCCACTGTGCCCGGCCAGGACCAGTTTCTTAATGCTATCCTACAGAAACAGAGGTAAGTACTTGTGGCCTCAGTTACTCCTGTCTTGTTTATTCTTGGGTACATCTCCCAGTTCCCCATAACCTCAGGAGATCCCACTGGTTGATCTCTTTTCTTTGACATTTAGAATTCAAAGACTGCTTACTGGTCTTGCAGTTTTTTGCAAAGTGTTCCTCAAGCATGTTCCTCAAGCAGGTTCCTGGCAATGAATTCCTATTTTGTTCCTGCCCCTCAAAACCAAGATACCCACAGTTCCTGTGGGCTCTGCTTTCAAAATTCATCAGGCATCGGACAGTGGCGTGATGCCTCCCTGAAACCTTATTCTCTGCTGTGGGCACCTGCACTGGTTTCCCTGAGCCTTGCTTTCCTAGGACTTCCCTAACAGAGCATCACAAACTGGGTGGCTCCAGCAATGTAAATTCACTCTCTCCAGTTCTGGAGTCCCGAAGTCCAAAATCAGGGTGCCAGCAAGATCCTGCTGTAGGACAGGAGCCTTTCTTGCCTCTTCCAGCTTCAGGCAGCCCCAGGCTTTCCTTGGATTGCAGCAGCGTAATTCCAGCCTCTGCCTCCATCTTCATGTGGCCATCTTCTCTCTGTGTCCATGTCTCTGTGCCTTCACATGACATGCTCCCTGTGTATCTGTCTGTGTACACATTTCCCTCTGTTTATAAGGACGGTAGTCACGTTGGATTAAGGCCCACCCTAATGACCTCATTTTAACTTGATTAAATCTGCAAAGACCCTATTTCCAACTAAGGTTGCATCCATAGTTACTGGGAGCTAAGGCTTTAGCACGTCTTTACTGGGGGACACAATTCAACCCATAACACCCTGCTTCCCCACTTCTTAACATCCCCTCCTTCACCACTCATCTTTCAAAAGTCAATACATAATAATTGTTCATATTTGTGGGGTACATGTGATATTTTGATACATGCAACAATGTGTATTGATCAAATCAAGGTATGAGGATATCCATCATCTCAAGCATTTATTATTTCTTTGTGTTGGGAACATTTCAAATATTCTCTTCTAGCTATTTTAAAAAAGACAAAAATTATTACTAGCTATAGTGACTCTACTGTGCTATCGAACACTAGAACTTATTCCTTCTATCTAAAGGTTTTTTTTGTCCCATTAACAAACCTTTCTTTGTCCTCCCCATCTAGCTTCCACTCATCTTTTTATAACGCAAATCAGATCGTTTCACTCCTAGTTTAAAACCTTCCCATGGCTTCCCATCACATTTAAAATATACTTGACACTCTTACTGCACCCTTTTACCATGGCCTAAGACCCTCATGGACGATCTGGCCCTGCTGACCTCCTCATCTTGTCACTTTCTGCCTGGCTTCCTGTGCTCCACTGGCCTTCTTGCTGGGCTTCTTGCTCTTCCTCATGCTCTCAACTCCATTCATTGCTCCAGCAGCCCCTCTGCCTGAGATGCTCTTCCACACATAGTCACCAGGCTTACATCTTCTTGTTCAAGTCTCAACTCTTCCTGTGCCACGCCTTCACAGCAGTCTGCTTCACGTGTCCGATCACTAATTTATTTCTCAACCAGCTTTATTTTCTCCCCAGCACTCATCACTGGACCATGCTATACATACAGCCTTGTGCACCATTCATAATCTGTCTTCCTCTACTGAACTGGAAGCTCCATGAAGGCAGTTCTTAAGCACCGCTGTATCTAGGATGTGGATCATGGTAGATGCTCAATCAATATTTGGTAAATGAATTAATAGATTAACGAAGACACTGCCTCATTTGATGACCTTTTCCGTTTTTCTCACCAGGACCATCTTTTCCTTTCTTCATAATGGACCCTGCTCTCCTTTCCTAGTACCCTCCCAGTGTTGACAGCCATTTAGTGAATTATTTTAAATACATGGGGTTTTTTTGTGTGTGTATATGTGGATACTTAAGAGGCATTTTCTTGTACTTCAAACAAAACTTTATTTTTGAAACAATCTCCAAGCTACTTGTAGTTAATTGATCTTTAAAATTCTGCAAGAGTTGGATTTCTTGTTCTGCAGTCACTATTATTTAGCAGTTCATCTTCTATTACCCTACCTGGCAAAACCAGGTTCTTTTTCCTCATCTTGATTTCCATTCTTATTCGTCTCTCCAGTTCAAGTCTTCAGTCTCTTATAGGGACCATTTCAACAGCCCCCACACCTTCAGATTCTATCCATCCAAGTCATTTTTGAAAAAGCAGCTTTATTGAGATATTCACATGCCATACATTTACTCCATTTAAAATATATAATTTAATGGCTTTTAGAATATTCACAACATTGTACAGCCATTATGACAGTCAATTTTAGAATATTTTAATTAACCCCAAAAGAAAACTCATACCTATTAGCCTTCCCTCCCCAAGTCTCCCATTGCCTTACTCCCAGCCCTGGGCAATCAATAATCTACTTTGTATTTCACTTTACTTTGCTTTGCTTGCTTGCTTGCTTTCTCTCTCTCTCTCTCTCTTTTTCTTTCTTTCTTTCTTTCTTTTTTGAGACAGAGTTTCACTCTTCTTGCCCAAGCTGGAGTGCAATGGCATGATCTCGGCTCACTGCAATGTCCGCCTCCCAGGTTCAAGCGATTCTCCTGCTTCAGCCTCCTGAGTAGCTGGGATTACAGGCACCCACCACCACGCCCAGCTAATATTTGTATTTTTAGTAGAGACGGGGTTTCACCATGTTGGCCAGGCTGGTCTCGAACTCCTGACCTCAGGTGATCCACCCGCCTTGGCCTCCCAAAATGCTGGGATTACAGGTGTGAGCCACCAGGCCTGGCCTCTACTTTGTATTTCTATAGATTTGCGTATTCTGCACATTTTCTGTATATGAAAGCATACTAGATGTGGTCCTTATGACTGGCTTCTTTTATGTGGCATAATGTTTTCAAGGTTAATCCAAGTGGTAGCATTTGACAGTACTTCATTTCTTTTTATTGCTGAATAGTATTCCATTGTGTGGCTCTACTGAAGATTTTAAAAAATTTCTTCTTAGGTCACTTTAAGTAGTTTATGTTTTTATAGGTTGTTCATTTCATATAAGTTAATCACTTGGCTTAGAATTGTCTGTAGTATTTCCTTATTTTCTTTTTATTTCTGTAAGGTCAGTAGTAATGTCCCTTCTTTCATTTCTGATTTTAGTAATTTTTCTTTCTTCTTTTCCTTGTCAATGTAGTTAAGGGTTGGTCAATTTTGTTGATCTTTTTGAAGAACCAACTTTTGGTTTCATTGATTTTCTCTATTGCTGTCCTACATTCTCAATTATCTCAGCTGTAATCCCTAGGCATTACCATATACATGTTATCAGAATTCACTTGAGTTTTATTCCAACTTAATTCCAGTGAGATATAGAAATGTTACTTCTAGATAGCTCTATTCCTTCTTCCCTGTTTTTGTGCTATTATTGTTATACATGTTATATCTATATATGTTACAAACCCAACAATACATTGTTAAAACTATTACTTTATATAATTTTATGTTAATTAAAGGGACTGACAAAAGAGATGAAAAGCAAGCATATTTTTATAGAGGTTGCTTTATTTACCTTCTTATTTATTATTCCCAGTTCTCTTTGTTCCTATGGGTCTGAGTTATCATCTGGTATAATTTCTTCTCTTTTTTTTACTTTAGAGACAGGGTCTTGCACTGTCATTCAGGCTGGAATACAGTGGTGCTATAACAGCTCAATATAACCTTGAACTTCTGAACTCAAGTGATCCTCCCACCTCAGCCTCCTGAGAAGCTAGAACTACAGGTGTGCATCATCATGCCTGGCTAATTTTAAAATTTTTTTGTAGAGATGGGGTCTCACTATGTTGCTCAGGCTGGTCTCCAACTCCTGGCCTCAAGTGATCATCCCGCCTTGGCTTCTCAAAGCACTGGGATTACAGGCATAATGGTGTAATATCTTGCTCCAGTACAACTCTGTTCACACCCACCTCCTTTGTGTGGTTACTGTCATTTCTATATGTTATAGGTACAATAATACAGTTATATACATATTATCTTATAAAATGACTTTTAAAATCAGTTGAGAGAAAAAAGATGCATTTACACTATCTTTTATAATTACATCATTACCTTTACTGCTGTGTTTTGCTCTTTCATGTGGATTTAAAATTTCATCTCGTTCACTTGCTTTTAGCCCTAGGAACTTCATTTATTTCTTATAAGGCAAGTATGCTGGCAATAAAGTCTCTCATTATTTGTTTATTGGGAATTTCTTTATTTCACCTCAATTCTTGAAAGATAGTTTTGCTGATGTAATATTTGTGGCTGGCAGATTTTTTCTTTATGTTAAACATGTCATTCTTTTGCCTTTTAATCTTCATTGTTTCTGCTGAGAAGTCAGATGCTAGTCTTTCTGGGGTTTTCTTGCCTGTGATGAACAGCTTTTCTCTTTATCTTTGATTTTCAGCATTTTTTCTATGATGTGTCTGGCTGTGCATCTCTACATTTGTCCTGCTTGAGGTTCATTGAACTTCTTGGATGTGCACGTTGTTTTTCAGCACACTTGGAAAGTTATCAACCATTTTCTCTATTTATTTATTTATTTATTTATTTATTTTGAGGCGGAGTCTCGTTCTGTCGCTCAGGCTGGAGTGCAGTGGCGCGATCTCAGCTCACTGCAAGCTCCGCCTCCTGTGTTCATGCCATTCTCCTGCCTCAGCCTCCCGAGTAGCTGGGACTACAGGTGCCCACCACCACGCCCGGCTAATTTTTTATATTTTTAGTAGAGATGGGGTCTCACCGTGTTAGCCAGGATGGTCTCGATCTCCTTGACCTCGTGATCTGCCCGCCTCGGCCTTCCAAAGTGTTGGGATTACAGGCGTGAGCCACCGCGCCCGGCCCATTTTCTCTTTAAATACTCTTCCTGCTCCTTTCTCTTTCTTCTCTTCTTCTAGTACTTCCATTACACATATGTTAGTGCACTTACAGACGTCCTATATTTCTCTGAGGCTCTGCTTATTTTTCTTTATTGTATTTTCTCTCTGTTCCTTCGGTTGTATAATCTCTATCAATATATCATTAAATTTGCTCTTTCTTTCTTCTGGCTAGTTCAAATGTTCTGTTGTGCCCCTCTAACTAACTTTTCATTTTGGTTATTGTACTTTTCACCTCCAGAATTTTCATTTTAATAATTGGCAAGGCATGGTGGCTCATGCCTGTAATCCCAAGACTTTGGGAGGCCGAGGTGGGCAGATCACTTGAGGTCAGGATTTGAAGACCATCCTGGCCTACGTGGTAAAACTCTATCTCTACTAAAAATACAAATAAAAGTTAGCTGGCATGGTGGCACATGCCTGTAATCACAGCTACTCAGGAGGCTGAGGCAGGAGAATCTGAATCACTTGAACCCAGGAGGTGGAAGTTGCAGTGAGCCGAGATTGCACCACTACACCGCAGCCTGGGCAACAGAGCAAGACTCCATCTCAAGATAAATAAATAAAAATAAAAATAATTTCTATCTGTATATTGATATTATTTATTTGATGAGACATTGTTTTCCTATCTTTCTTCCTTAAGCATGGTTTCCTTTAGTTCTTTGAACTATAATGGCTACTTTAAAGTCTGTTAAATCTGATACCCAGTCTATCTTACAGACAATTTCTCTTGCCTGTTTTTTTCCCCTTTGCATGGGTCATACTTGGCTGTTTCTTTGCATGTCTCATATTTTTTTGTCGTTATTGAAAAGTAGAATTTCAGGTAATATACTGCAGCAACTCTGGATATTAATTACCCTCTCCCTTCTTCTGGACTTGATTTAGTTGTGGTTTGCTTGTTTCATTATTCTGTGACTTGGCTAAGTAAAGCCTATTAACCCTGCAGTGTGAAGGCTTTGGTGCTGTTCCTCAGAGGGCATGGCCTCCGGCATGCACATAGCCAACCTGAAATGAGAGTGGTTTGTTTTTGTTTTTGAGACAGAGTTTCATTCTTGTTGCCCAGGCAGGAGTGCATTGGTACCATTTTGGCTCACTGCAACCTCTGCCTCCCGGATTCAAGAGATTCTCCTGCCTCAGCCTCCCAAGTAGCTGGGATTACAGGCGCCCACCACCACTCCTGGCTAATTATTTTTGTATTTTTAGTAGAGAAGGGGTTTCACCATGTTGGCCAGGCTGGTCTCTAACTCCTGACCTCAGGTGATCTGCCCACCTCAGCCTCCCAAAGTGCCGGGATTACAGGCATGAGCAACCGTGCCCAGCCGAGAGTGGTTTTATCAGGGCTCTGTCTACTGTCTCTTTTCTTGATCTCTCTTTTGAACTGTCTCATTTGGTATTACATCAGTCCATTAGACTCCATTAATTACTGGCTAACTGCTTTATTGTTTTTGCCATAAATTGCTTAACAGTATGACCCAATTGAATTCTGGCAGGATGAGCTTTAATTTTCTTTCAAGTGTATGGTCATTTTTATTTAAGAGCATATGAACAAATTTATAATATAGTCTCTATATTACATTTGCAAAGTCACCTCTTATAGTGACTATTCTCAACACAGGAAATGATTATCTCATAATTAATCACCCCATCTACTCTACCCCAATTTTTTATTGTGATAAAGTACACATAACATACAGTTTACTATCTTAACCATTGTAAGTGTACAGTTCAGAGGTGCTAAGTACATTCATATTTTTGTGCAACCATTACTGCCATCAATCTCCAGAGCTCTCTTCATTTTTCAAAGCTGAAACTCTGCCCACTAAAAATAGCATCTCATTCCTCCCTCTTCCCAGTACCTGGCAACCATGATTCTATTTTCTGTTTCTATGATTTTGACTACTCTAAGTACCCACTGTAAGTTTCACTTATAGTGGAATCATGCAATATTTATCTTTTTGTGAGTGGCTTATTTCACTTAGCATAATGTCTTCAAGGTTCATCCATGTTGTAGCATATGTCAGAATTTCATTCCCTTTTAATGCTGAATAATATTTCATTATCTGTATATACCACATTTTGCTTCTTTATTAATTTGTTGTTGGACACTTGAATTGCTTTCACATTTTGCTATTGCGACTAATGCTGCTATAAACATGGGTGTACCAGTTTCTATTTAAGACCCTGATTTCAGTTTTTTGGGGTACATACCCAGAAGTGAAATTACTGAATTATATGGTAATTCTATTTTTAATTTTTTGTGAAACTGCCATACTGTTTTCCACAGCAGCTACCTCATTTTACATTCCCACCAACAATGCACAAAGGTTCCAATTTCTCTACTTCTTTGCCAACACTTGTTATTTTCTTGTTTGTTTGTTTGTTATAGTGACCATCCTAGTAGGTGTGAGGTAGTATCTCTTCATAATTTTGATTGGCATTTCCCTAATGATTAGTGATGTTAAGCATCACTTAGATTGTGTGTGTACTGACCATTTGCATATCTTTTTTCAAGAAATGTCTACTCACGTCCTTCGCCTATTTTGAAATAGGGTTGTTTGCTTTTTTGTCGCTGAGTTTTAGGGGTTCTCTATATATTCAGATACCCTTATCAGATATATAATTTGCAAATGTTTTCTTTTTAAATTTATTTATTTATTTATCATTTCAACTTGTATTTTAGATTCACAAGGTATATATGCAGGGATGTGTGTGTGTGTGTGTGTGTGTGTATTTGTTACATGTGTATATTGCATGATGCTCAGGTTTGGGGTATGAATGATCCTGTCGCCCCGGTGGTGAGCATAGTACCCAACAGGTAATTTTTCAGGCCCTGCCCCCAACCTCTCTCCTCCTCTAGTAGTCCCTAGTGCCTATTGTTCCCATCTTTACGTCCATGTGTACCCAATGTTTAGCTCCTACTTATAAGTGAGAACATGCAGTATTTGGTTTCCTGTTCCTGGGTTAATTTGCTTAGGATAATGGCCTCCAGCTGCATCTATATTGCGGCAAAACACAGATTTTGTTCTTTTTATGGATGCACAGTGTGCCATTATGTGTATGTACTACATTTTCTTTATACAGTCCACCATTGTTAGGCACCTAAGTTGATTCCATGTCTTTGCTATTGTGAATAGTGCTGTGATGAACATATGAGTGTGTGTGTCTCTTTGGTAAAACAATTTGTTTTCCTTTCTGTATATACCCAGTAATGAGATTGCTAGGTTGAATAGTAGTTCCATTTTAAGTTCTTTGAAGAATCTCCAAACTGCTTTCCACAGTGCCTGAACTAATTTACATTCCTACCAATAGTGTATAAATGTTCCCTTTTCTCCACAACTTTGCCAGCATTCATTATTTTTTGACTTTTTAATGATAGCTATTCTGACTGGTGTGAGAAGATATCTCATTGTGGTTTTAATTTGCATTTCTCTGATGATTAGTGATGTTTAGCATTTTTGTATATATGTTTGTTGGCTGCTTATATATCTTCTTTTGGGAAGTGTCTGCTCATGTCTTTTGCCTGTTTTTTAAATGGGGTTATTTGTTTTTTGTTTGTTGGATTGCTGAGTTCCTTATAGATTCTAGATATTAGACTATTGTGAGACGCATAGTTTACAAATATGGCCTCTCATTTTGTAGGTTTTCTGTTTACTCTTTTGATAGTTTATTTTGCTGTACAGAAGCTTGTTAGTTTAATTAGGTCCCAGTTGTCGATTTTTGTTTTTGTTGCAACTGCTTTTGAGGATTTAGCATAGATTCTTTCTCAAGGCCCATGTCCAGAATAGTATTTTCTAGATTTTCTTCTGAGATTTTGGTAGTTTGAGGTCTTACATTTAAGTATTTAATCCATCTTGAGTTAATTTTGGTATATGGTGAAAGGTAGCAGTCCAGTTTCAATCTTCTGCATATGGCTAGCCAGCTCTCCCACCACCATAGGAAGTTCTTTCCCCATTGTTCATTTTTGTCAACTTTGTTGAAGATCAGATGACTGTAGGTGTGTGACTTTCTTTCTGGGTTAATGTGTCTGTTTTCATAGCAGTACCATGCTGTTTTGGTTACTGTAGCCTTATAGCATAGTTTCCAGCTGGGTAATGTGATGCCTCCAGCTTTGTTCTTTTTGCTTAGGATTGCTTTGCCTATCTGGGCTCTTTTTGGTTCCATATGAATTTTAGAATTTTCTATTCATGTGAAAATTGACACTAGTACTTTGATAGGAATAGCACTGAATCTCTATAGCTATTTTTTGGGCAGTAGGGCCTTTTTTTTTTTTTTTTTTTTGAGACAGGGTCTCCTTCTGTCACCCAGGGTGGAGTGCAGTGGTGTGATCTGGGCTCACTGAAACCTCTGCCTCCTAGGCCCAATTGATCCTCCCACTTTAGCCTCCTGAGTAGCTAGGAATACAGGCACATGCCACTGTGCCCAGCCAATTTTTGTATTTTTTGTAGAGAGGGGTTTCGCCATGTTGCCCAGGCTGGTCTCGAACTCTCGGGCTCAAGCTATCCACCAGCTGAGCCTCCCAAAGTTCTGGGACTACAAGTGTGAGCCATGCACCCAGCCCAGTAGGGCCATTTTAATGATACTGATTCTTCTAATCCATGAGCATGGAATATTTTTCCATTTGTTTGTGTTATCTATGATTTTTTTCTTTTTAAACACAAGGTCTCGTTCTGTCACCCAGGCTGAAGTGCAATGGTGTGATCACAGCTTGTTGCAGCTTTGACTTCCCAAGCTCAACCAGTCCTCCTACCTCAGCTTCCTGAGTAGCTGGGAACCATAGGCATGAGCCACTATGCCCTGCTAATTTGTTTATAATTTTATGTAGAGACAAGTTTTCACCATGTTGCCCAGGGTTGTATCAAACTTCTGGGCTCAGGTCATCTGCCCACCTTGGCCTCCCAAAGTGCTGGGCTATGATTTCTTTCAGCAGTGTTCTGTAGTTCTCCTTGTAGAGATCTTTCACCTCCTTGGCTCAATGTATTCCTAGGTATTTTTGTGTGTGTGGCTACTGTAAATGGGATTGCATTCTTAATTTGGCTCTCAGCTTGAGTGTTAGTGTATAGAAATGCTACTGATATTTGTACATTGATTTTGTGTCTTGGAACCTTACTAAGGTAGTTTATCAGTTCTAGGAGCCTTTGGTTGGAGTCTTTAGGGTTTTCTAGGTATAGAGTCATATCAATAAAGAGAGCTAATTTGCCTTCTTTTTTTCCTATTCAGATACATTTTATTTCTTTCTCTTGACTGATTGCTCTGGGTAGGACTTCCAGTACTATGTTGAATTAGAGTGGTGAGAGTGGGCATCCTTGTCTTGTTCCTGTTCTTAAGGGAAATGTTTCCAGCTTTTGCCCAGTCAGTATGATATTGACTGAGGATTTGTCATAGATGGCTCTTATTATTTTGAAATATGTTCCTTCAATGCCTCGTTTGTTGAAGGTTTTTTTTTTATCATGAAAGGATATTAGATTTTATCAAAAGCTTTTTCCATATATATTGAGATGATCATATAGTTTTTGTTTTTAATTCTGTTTATGTGGTAAATCACATTTATTCATTTGCATATGTTGAACCAACCTTGCATCCAGGTATGAAGCATAGTTGATCATGGTGAATTAGCTTTTTGATGTGCTTCTGGATTCAATTTCCTAGCATTTTATGGAAAATATTTGTGTCTATATTCATCAGGGATCTTGGTCTGTAGTTTTCCTTTTTCTTTGTTTCTTTGCTAGGTTTTAGTATCAGAGTGATGCTGATTTCACAGGATACATTAGAGAGGAGTCCCTCCTCCTTTTTTTTCTTTTTTTTTCAGGACAGTTTCAGTTGAGTTAGTACCAGCTCTTCTTGTACATCTGGTAGAATTTGGCTGTGAATTTATCTGGTCCAGAGCTTTTTTTGGTTGGTAGGTTTTTTTGACTGATTCAATTTAACTTGATATTGGTCTCTTCAGGGTTTCAACATCTTCTTGAGTCAATCTTGGGAGGTTGCCTATTTCCAGGAATTTATTCATTTCCTCTAGCTTTCCTAGTTTGTGTACATAGAGGTGTTCATAATAGTCTCTGAGGATCTTTTTGTATTTCAGTGTGATCTGTTGTAATGTTACTTTTGTCATTTCTGATTGCTGACTTGCAAATATTTCCTTTCATTCTATGGGTTGCCTTTTTACTCTGTTGATAGCGTTTTTAATATATATATATATATTTTAATATTATGTAGTCAAATTTTATGAAGTCTATTTTTTCTTTTGTTGCCTGAGTCTCTGGTGTTATGTCCAGGTAATCATTGCCAAATCCAATGTTGTGAAGCTTTTCTTTTTTGTTTTCTTCTAAGAGTTTTTTAGTTTTAGGTCTTGCATTTAGCTCATAGATCCATTTTGAATTAATTTTTCCACATGGTGTTAGGAAAGGGTCCAACTTCATTCTTTTGCATGTTGATATCCAGTTTTCTCAACCCCATTTGTAGAAAAGACTGTCTTTTCCCACATTGGATGTTCTTGGCAGCCTGTTGACAATCATTTGACCATATATGCAAGGCTTTATTTCTGGCCTCTCTATCCTATTCCATTGGACAACATGTGTCTTTATGCCAGTACCACACTGTTTTGATTACTATAGCTTTATGGTAAGTTTTTGAATCAGTAAGTGTAAGTCCTCTGGCATCATTTGAGGCCAGGAGTTCGAGACCAGCCTGACCAACATGGTGAAACTCCGTCTCTACTAAAAATACAAAAATTAGCCAGGCGTGGTGACACATGCCTGTAATCCCAGCTACTCTGGAGACTGAGGCAGGAGAATCGCTTGAACCCGGGAGGTAGAGGTTGCAGTGAGCCAAGATCGCACCACTGCACTCCAGCCTGGGCGACAGAATGAGACTCTGCCTTAAAAAAAAAAGTTTATTGTTTAATTTCTACAAACTTGTGAATATTTTAGTTTTTATGTTATTGATTTCTGACTTTATCTCATTGTCAGAGAAGATACTTTGAATAATATCCGTCTTTTAAAATCTATTGAGAGTTAATTTGTGGCTTAACATACGGTCTGCCTGGAAAAGATCCCATGTGCACTTGAGAATAATGTGTATTCTGTTGTTTGGTAAAGTGTTCTGTATATTTCTGTTAGATTTAGTTAGTTTGTTGTGCTGTTCAAATCTTCTATTTTTTTAATTACATTCTGTCTGGTTGTTCAATCCATTATTTAGAGTGGGGTATTGAAGTCTCCAACTATTATTGTAGAACTATCTATTTCTCCCTTCAATTCTGTCACTTTTGCTTCATATATTTTGGTGGTCTGTCATTAAGTACACAAACGTTTATAATTGTCATTACTTTTTGCCACATTGAAACTTTTATTAACATATAATGTCTGTCTTTACCTTTGTTGACTTACAGTCTATTTTGTTTGATATTAGTATAACCACCTCTGCCCTTTTTTGGTTACTATTTTCATGGAATGTCATTCCATCCTTTTTCTTTCAACCCATCTGTGTCTTTGGATCTGAAGTGTGTTTCTTGTAGATGGGATATACTTAGTTGAATTATGTTTTTTAAATCCATTCTACCAATCTTTGTCTTTTGATTGGAGAATTTACATTACATTTGCATTTAAGGTACATAAAAGTATCAGTTAGAAGTACTTTCTGTCATTTTGCTGTTTGTTTTCTATGCGTGTTATAGCTTTTTTGTCCCTTATTCACTATATTACTGTTTTGTGTTTAATTGATTTTTGGTAGTGAAATATTTAAATTCTTATCTTATAGGTGTGTATTCTTTAGCTATTTTCTTTGTGGTTATTATTGGGGATTACACTGAATATCCTAAAGTTATAATACTCTATTTTGAATTTATACCAGCTTCATTTCAATAACATACAAAACTCGTTCTCCTTTCATAGATCTATCTCTACCCCTTTCAGTTGTTGATGTCACACATCTTTATATATTGTGTGTCCAAAAACATAACTAATAATTTGCAATACATTAGTCTCTTAGATTATGCAGAAAACAAACTGTGGAGTTACAAACCAAAGTTACAATAACACTAGCTTTTAGACTAATAATTGTTTCTTTAAGTGCATTCATCCCTAATGTCACCTAGAACACCAAAAGCGAAGTTACATATCATTGTTAAAATAATACTAATTTCTATAACTGCCAATGTATTTGCCTTTACTGAGATCTTTATTTCTTTACACAGCTTCAAGTACCATCTAGTATTCTTTCTTTCTTTCTTTCTTTTTTTTTTTGAGACAGTCTCACTCTGTTGCCCAGGCTAGCATGCAATGGCACTTTCTCCGCTCACTGCAACCTCTGCCTCCTGTGTTCAAGCGATTCTTCTGCCTCGGCCTCCTGAATAGCTGGGATTACAGTGTGCCCCACCATGCCTGGCTAATTTTTGTATTTTTTAGTAGAGATGGGGTTTCTCCATGTTGGTCATGCTGGTCTTGAACTCCTGACCTCATGATCCGCCCACCTCAGCCTCCCAAATTGCTGGGATTACAGGCATGAGCCACCATGCCCGGCCATATTCTTTCATTTCAACCTGCAGAACTCCTTTTATAATTTCTTGCAGGGAAGATCTAATTGCAATGAACTCTTTCAGTTTTTGTTTATCGGGAAATGTCTTTATTTTTCCTTCACTTTTGACAGACAGTTTTGTCAGATATGGGATTCTTAATTGACAGGCTTCTTTGTATGTGTTTGTTTTGTTTCGTTTTATTTTTGTTTTAGTATCTTTAATATATTGGCCCTTCTGTCCTCCAGAGTTTCTGATAAGAAATCTTGCTGCTTTCAAAATTGTCACTTTTATCTTGTCTTTCAACAGTTTGATTATTATGTGCTTCAGTGAGTCTCTTTCAGTTTATCCTATTTGGAGTTCGTTAAGCATCTTGGATGTTTATACTCATGTCTTTCATCAAATTTAGAAAGTCATCAGCCATGATTTCTTGAAATAGTCTCTCTTTTTTTCTCTCTCTCTCTTCTTCTTGGACCCACACAATGAATATGCTGGTGAATGAGTACTTGATGGCATCCTACAGGTCCTTTAGGCTCTGTTTGCTTTTCTTCAATCTTTTTTCTTTCTGTTCCTCAGATTTGTTTTTTATTGTTCTATCTCCAAATGTACTGATTCTTTCTTCTGCCTGGTCAATCTGCCTTTGAATCCCTCTAGTGAATTTTTTATTTCAGTTATTGTACTTTTCAGGTCCAGAATTCCTTTTTGGGTTTTCCATTTCTTTATTGATATTTCAATTTTGTTCATACATTGTTTTCTTGACTTTCTCCATGTCTTCTTTTAGTTCTTTGAGCTAATTGTTTTAAAGTCTTCTTCAAGTAGATCCACCATCAGTTATTTTTTCAGAGACAATATCTATTTTTTTTTCCTTCAAAAGGGCCATACTTTCCTGTGTCTTTGTATACTTTGTAACATTTTTGTTGAAAACTGGACACTTGGATTTTATAATGTAGTGACTCTGGAAATCAGATTCTCCCTTCTCCCCAGGGTTTGCAGGATTTTGGTTTAGTTATTTTATTTTATTTTATTTATTTATTTTTATTATTGTAGGCTGTCTTTGTGCCAAAGATCAGCCGAAGGTGTCAACGTAAAGCCTTCTCAGCTGTTTCCCAAGCCTGTGCTTTCCTCTGGCATGGTGACTTTCTAATTTCTTCTATATGTGTGGTTACTCTGGAATGTCTCAGTCTTCAGCGTCTGACTCTCAAAAGGAGAAGAAGAGAAAAATAAAGTGAGGGAAGCACTGACCTTTAAATCTGTAAATCATTTTACCTGGAGCGGGAGGGGCCTGCAATACTGGGGTGGTGCATCAATAGCCACTCCTCCTTTGTCTGCATCTCTGTAATCAAATGCAACAATCAGTGATCAGAGCACAGATCCTAAGAGTTAGAGAACAGTGTCCTTTTGGCCACTTTGGATCCCACTAGCTGTGTGCAAGCTGCTGCAGGCACATGTGCAAGGACTCTCTGACATAGGGCTGGGTGTGGGTGACGAGTAGCTAACAGCTACTGTGCTCACAGCTGAAATTGACCAAAATTCACCATGATTTATGTTCTAAGCCATCGATCCAGAGTTCCAAAATAGTTACAGCAGACATATTCTGTCAGTGTAATTGTTGTCTAGGTGGGGAGACAGATTTCTGGTGCTTCACAATCAATCATCTTACCAGAATTCTCCCAGGGGTAGCTTTTGAGGCCAGTTTTGGAGGTTTATTCTGACCCCAAGAGGGCTCTTCTTTACCTCTCTCTTCCTGAACTAGCTAATCTATGGTTTTGCTTATTGCTGTTAATTAAAATAAGTTATTGTTTTCTAGAGCACTCGTAGGCTAACACTATGCCACACTATGTTTTAAATAAAGTCAGTTCCTTCGGCCAGACCTTTGAAGTTCTCTTTTTTTTATGGACTGCCCCTGGGCAAAATCTCTGAACTACTTCTGTAAGCTCTGGGTAGCTGGTGTGGTAGCCTCTAGTCTTGGCTTGCCTCTGTCCTACAGGTGAGCAAATGGGTGAGAGTGATCTACAGTCTGGTATTCTTGGTTTTCTACACCTGGCACAGGTCCTCCATCCTATGGATTAAGTCTGGATGGAAGAATAGAAGAGAGCTCATCAGGAATTTAGCTTCTTCAACTTGCAGTTGGAAGGGTTGAGAAATGCTGGTGGCCTGCCTTTTCCAGTGAGATATGATAACCATTGACTAGGCAGTGAGAGAAGAGGGAGCCCTGTCTTCTTGACCACATCTATTTGCAGTGGAGTTCTCATGGAGCTGAAATGGGGTAGAGAGAGGAAGGGCGACAGGAGACAGGCAAGGCTCAAATGCTACAGATTCTTATCGTTCTTATTGAGTTTTAACACATTTCTTTCAATAAATATTTCTTTATTTGTTCTATGCCCTTAGGACAATTTCCGGAGGCTTTAAATGGTTATTTTTCTGAAAATAGTTTTCACCAGCTTTGCTTGTTTTGCTGGAGAATGGGTCTGCAGAGCTCTGCATGCTACCAAACTGGAAGTGGCATTTCTGTCCAATCCTCCATTTTATCCTCCACTGATGAGGTGGTTTTCTTTGGGGCATTTGGATTGATATTGTTACTTTGTTTAGAAACTTTCAGAATTCCTGTGCCAGGAACCACTAGTTGAGATTTAATATCTATTTTCCCCTTCCTTCTTAAGCACAGAATCTCAATGTTATTTGGGACAGCAAGGTACCCAGCTAGAAGACTACAGCAGTGAGGTGTGCTTGTGTGAGTGAGTTCTGGCCAATGAGTTGTAAGGGGAAGTGTTGCCTGCATTTTGGAGGGGGCTGCGGAAAGGGAGCTGATTAGGTAGGATTGTGGCCCTTTGCCTTTCTTGTTGCCTAGCATGTGACCTTGAAGGCTGGTGTGCTAACAGTCATCTTGGACAACGAGGCAACCTTGAAAATGGAGGTTGCGCACTCAGGATGGCAGAGCAAAAATATAGAAAATCTTTTTGCATTGATTACTAGGTTCTTTGGGGGATGCCTGGAGATGCCATATCAGTCCTGGATCATGTTCTTATAAAGAGTATAAATCCTTCTATGTTTAAGCCACTATTTTTTCTGAAATGTCACCTCTCCTATGAAGTAATGCCTTATCTCTTGACAGTTAGAAATGGTTCCTTTGGCTTTTGAATTGTCATAAGTTACCTCTAATTCCCCATGGTACTGCTATATAACATTCTCGCTTGTATCGATGCTATTTGGATTTATGCTGTTAGGGAACCAGACGGCTAGCCTAATAAAATCTAGTGCAGATCCTCCAAGGCTGGCTCTGGGAGAGGAATCACCGAGTAGGGAGTGCTGGCTGGACCTCAAAGCCCTGACTCCTACTCTCAGTAAATGCTCCTACCACCTACAGGCTGGCCTCAGGGACCCTGCTTTACTTTTGAGGGTTCAGCCCAAGTACTATGACATATAACTCTTTACTTAATTCTATTTGACACAACTGAGAATAAGCTAGGAGATTATTGAAAGCTCAGGGTACAAGAGGGGGAAATAAACAAAGACAGTAAAATAACACTAGGTAATCAATCTTACTAGTCCTCTTTGGCTTGGGGTCCCTGCTGCACCCTTTACTGCTTCCACATAGCAGATCCCTTCTGTGCCTTGTCATCTCTAGATTCAGTGGCAAAACTGTTCAGATGAAGCCACCACATTATCTGAAAGCCTTCGGAATATGAAAATAGTGGGCATCTGCATCTGGCATGCCCAAGCTGAAACCTGGATCCTAGTACTTTTGAAAACTTGGTAATTAAGAAGATAAAAACAAGCAAACAACTCCTCTCATCTAAAATCTCCCTTCTTGAGGTAATTTATTTGGTCCTGGGATTCCATTCAGGGGGAAATTTTAGTTATGCAAATGTAGAGCAAAGATCCTCTTCTAAATGAAGGTGTTTGAGACTAGTTCCAAGGAGATAAACTTTCCTAGACTTTAAGATAATAATGTTGTCTTTGCAGAATGCTGAGTTGTGTCTTTGCAGACTTTTATTGCTTTTGGAGAAAATACTCTGAACTAAGGAGGGGGTCAGTAATGATGGAAAAGCTAGCACAGTGCCTGGGCCTTGGACTTATACAGAACCCCTATATTAATCAAAGGAATGGGAATTAGAAGATAATAGAACTGTTTTCATGGAAGAATTTGTGACACTCAGGGTTTAAGACAAATTTTTAGGGCAGATGACAAAGAGAGAGTAATAATAGCAATATATAATAATAATAGCGTGATGGTTAATACTGAGTGTCAACTTGATTGAATTGAAGGATGCAAAGTATTGATCCTGGTGTGTCTATAAGGGTGTTGCCAAAGGAGATTAACATTTGATTCAGTGGGCTGGGAAAGGCAGACCACCCTTAATGTGGGTGGGCACCACCTAATCAGCTGCCAGTGTAGTTAGAACATAAAGCAGACAGAAAAATGTGAAAAGGCTAGACTGGCTTAGCCTCCCAGCCTACTACGTCTTTCTCCCATGCTGGATGCTTCCTGCCCTTGAAAGTCAGACTCCAAGTTCTTCAGCTTTGGGACTCGGACTGGCTTCCTTGCTCCTCAGCTTGCAGATGGCCTATTGTGGGACTTTGTGATCATGCGAGTTAATACTGCTTAATAAACTCCTATATATATCCTATTAGTTCTGTCCCTCTAGAGAACCCCTACTAATACAAATAGCAAACACTTCTATAGTGCTTATTTCTTGCCAAGCATACTCTAAAACTTTAGGTATGTTAGCTCATTAATCCTCATAGTAACTTTGAGGTAGTACAAAGATTATTATCTCTATTTTACAGATGAGCAAATTGAGGCACAGAGAGGTTAGATAGATTGCCCAAAGTTACTCAGCTGTGCAGAAGTGGATCTGGGATTCAAACCCATGCAGCCTAGCTCCAGAGACTGGGCCTTTACTCTTCTGACTGTTCACTTAAGAAAAGTATCCCTTTCTCTCCACCTCTTTGTGAAACCCTGAATGTCTTAGTTTGTTTGGGCTGTTATAACAAAATACCATAAACTGGGTAGCTCATAAATAACAGAAATTTATTTCTCACCATTCTAGAGGCCAGAACATCCAAGATCAAGGCACCAGCAGATTTGGTGTCTGGTGAGGGCTTGCTTCCTCAAACACAGCGCCTTCTGTCTGTGTTCTCATATGATACAAGGGGCAAACAAACTCTCTTATGCTTATTTTATAAGCACACTAATCCCATTCATAAGTACTCCACTTCCATGACCTAATCACCTCCTAAAGGCCCCAGCCCTAACAGTATCACCTGGGGATTAGGTTTCAAATATGAATTTTAGGGGGATGCAGACATTCGCATTATAGCACCGAGGACTGACAGCTCTTGTCAATGGCATTCCAACTCCCTTATGAATATTCCTGATGAACAGAACGGCAGATGGTTTTCATCTATTTATTTTTCACCTGGTCACCTTATTGAACTCTCATATTAATTCTATTTGTCTTTCAGCTAACTCTCTGTGATTTGCAGTGGTGATGGAGGTAATCATCTTTCCCGCAATTATGCATAATCTGGCTTCCATTTTTTCCATAGCTGTGCCTCCCATTTCTGTTTGCTACCTTAGCACACCAGCTATAATTTATGGAATAATAAAAATGGAATTGGGTTTTCCAATGGTTCTCAACAGGATAAATATGACATCAGAGAATATAGGGGCAGAGTAAGTGGTGGAGAAGAAATTACAGTCATTTAGGTGTGATGTCATGATGGCTTAGTCTGGTATGATTGCTCAGGACATAAAAAGGGGGGATATACGGGAAAGATGCTTTAGATAAAGAAATTACTAGACTTGTGATGTGGGTGAGCAATAAAATAAATACATCTTCCCCAAAACCCACTGCTATACTGATGGTAACAATTTGTAACAGATGTTAGTATCCGTTGAAAACATATGGCTGGTCATCAACAGGAGGTAAGAGGAAGTAAATGAATCACAAGTCTCAGTTTTTGAGAGTATTAGTATATATATATAAAATCAAATCTCCATGGTGTGTGTGTGTGTGTGTGTGTGTGTGTATATACATATACATATATATATTTATTTATTTATAATCTCCATGGTTCATTCTTCACTTCCTGAGCTATTCAGTCCCATTCCTCTCTGCCTGCTCCAGACTCAAATCTTCTGTTTTTTTCCACAAAACCCACTCAGGGCCTTTGTGCATTCTGTTACCTGTTCTTCTACCAATCTTGGTTTAATGGCCCTAGTTCAGGGAGTCCTAGATTTCTTCAGCTCTTGGACCAGTACCAGTGGTGTCTTTTAGCATTCTGCACCCTTCTTTCCAAAGTACTCACCACAGTTGCGATATCTGCCACAGGTCCACTCCTCCGGATATTTGTGTCATTGTGTAATGTCTGTTTCCCTCACTGGACCATCAGCTCCAGAAGGGCATGGAGCAAGGCTGTATTAGTTTCTGCCATATCCCTTGTGCCTAGTACAGAGCCTGGCATACAGTACATAATCCATAAATGCTTGTTGAATGTACTCATTCAAAAACCTATCTTAAATAATTAGCACTTACACAGTGATTTTCTAGCTTATATACAGTAACATTTCATGTCTGCTGTGCCTCACCTGGTCCTGTGCATCAACTCTGTGAAAAATACAGATATGGGACATTTAGCTGATGTCTTATGGATGTATGGTATTTTCACCTGTGTCATCTCACTTAGTGCTCACTGAGACCCTTGCAGTTTATAGCCCAGCAGCCCTAAGCTCTGAATATGACATGCTCCTTACACATGTGGGTCCTTGTCTCTGCCGAGCATGTCCCACCATTGCAGATGTCATTGTGCCCCACCCAGACAGCCTTTCCCAGCCTGTGCACCTCTCCCCTAGCTGCTGGGAGCATTGACTGTTAACAGCTCCTAGCCGCTCCCTTCTCTAGAGAATTGTCCTCCACCAAAGAGCATAGAATGAAGTATCCCACCTGGGAGGGGGCAGCACATAGTCCATGACTGACTGACACAGGGGTACAGAAAGCCATCACTTGGCCTCGAGGAGATTGCTATGGTTTGAATGTGTCCCCTCCAAAATTCATGTGTCGAAACTTAATCCCCATTGTAGTGGTATTAAGAGGTGGGGCCTTTGGGATGTGATGAAGTCATAAGGGTTGTGCCTTCATAAATGGATTAGTGCCTGTGAAAGAGCTCAAGGTTGAAGGGATCACCCTCTCGCACTTTTGCCATATGAGGACACAGCATTCACCCCCCTTTCTTTGCCTTTCCATCCCTTCTGCCATGTGGGGACACAGCAAGAAGGCCCTTACCAGACACAAAACCTGCCAGTGCCTTGATCTTGGACTTCCTAGCCTCCACAACTATAAGAAATGAATTTCTGTTCCTTATGAATTACCCAGTCTGTGATATTGTGTTTTAGCAGCACAGATGGACTAAGATAGTGGGGAGCTTCCTCCTGGGCCTCCTGGAGAGCCCACACCCTCCCTGCCCTCTCCCACACTCCTGCTTCCCTGACTCTCCAATAGATGTCTCTGCAGGAATCCCCTTCTCAGGCTCTGCTGCTAGGAAGATCAACCTAAGATACATTGCCTTGTCCATCGTATGCACCTCTTGCCTGCCTGTAAAGCTTTCTCTGGCGATGTAAGACTGGCAAGTGCAGACAACATAGGAAGCACCCGGGGCCAAGTGGGTTCCTGCAGTCTGGCAGGTATGGAGGGAGTGCCATAGAGTGGGCATATATGAAAGCCACTCTGCCAGGGCCCAGAGCTGAGGAAACCAGCGCATGGCCTTCCCTGGGGCACTCAGGCATACACCACCACTCCTTGGTGAGCTGGCTCTCCTGATGCCAATACTCACTCCTTAGCCTTCCTTCCTTACTTCTAATGCCAGAAGAAAAAGTAGGGGGAGGCTTTGGGCTTTGGGTTCTATAGGGGCTTACAACAACAGGGCTTCATTTTCTCAAGTCCCACGGCCACTGGACCCTTGAAGTTTGGGCTTCTAGAGTGGCCCAGGGAGAAGGTGGAACTTTCTCCCACCTGCCCAAGGCTCACCTCCCTTTTCCAGGGCACTGACAGTAGACATGTGTGCCCCCTTCAACCCCACCACTCCCAGGGGACACCCTGCAAGTTTCCTGCAAGGTCATGGCCTTACCCTGTGACTGCCACAGGTCCACTCCTCCAGATATATGTAGGAAAGCCCAGAATTCATCTCAGAGATGAACACATACAATTTTTCCCGTCTTTGTTCCTGCACTAGATGGTAAACTCCAGGAAGGCAAGAATCATGTCTTGCTTACCTTAGTAGCTCCCATGGTAGCAAGAATATAATTTATTTTTCTGAATTGGAAGAGTCCTTAGAGAAATGTGGTATAATTTCCTAGGGCAAAGTCTTGTGCTCAATCTCATTAAATGAGTGAAGGCACATTTTCTTTTGAATAGGATCTTGCAATAACTTGAGTCAAAGCATATTAAAGTGGCTTTTTAGAGTCAATTTATATTTTTATGTATATTTTAGGGCAGGGAAGCCTATAGGTATCCTCAAACTCTATTAAATGAGAAGACACCTTTTGATGCTCTCTCTTGCCACTCTTACTCAGTATAGTATTGGGACAGGCAACAGAAAGAAATAAAGCACATCCAAATAGGAAGAGAGGAAGGCAAATCATCCCTGTTTGCAGTCGACATGATCCTATATATAGAAAACTCCACAGTCTTGGCCCAAAAGCTCCTTAAGCTGATTAACAACTTCAGCAAAGTCTCAGAATTAAAAAAAAATCAGTGCACAAAAATCACTACCATTCCTATACACCAACAATAGTCAAGCCAAAACAATTCCATTCATAACTGCCACAAAAAGAATAAAATACTAGGAATACAGCTAATCAGGGAGGTGAAAGATTTCTACAATGAGAACTACAAAACACTGCTCAAAGAAATCAGACAGGACACAAACAAAAGGAAAAACATTCCATGTTCAAGGAGAGGAAGAATCAATATTGTTAAAATGCCCATACTCCCCAAAGCAATTTATAGATTTAATGCTATTATTTTAAAAATAACATTGAGATTCCTTATAGTGCTAGAAAAAACTGTTTAAAAAATTCATATGCAACCAAAAAAGAGCTTGAATAGCCAAGGAAGTCCTAAGCAAAAGAGCAAAGCTAAAGACATCAGGTTACCTGACTTCAAACTATGCTACGGGGCTACAGTAACCAAAACAGCAGGGTACTTGTATGAAAACTGACACACAGACTAATAGAACAGAATAAAGAGCCCAGAACTAAAGCCACACACCTACAACTATCTGATATTTGGCAAATCTGACAAAAACAAGCAATGGGGAAAGCACTGTCTATTCAATAACTGGAGCTGGGATAGCTGGCTAGCCATATGTGGAAGATTGAAATTGGACCCCTTCCTTACACCATATACAAAAATTAACTCAAGATGGATTAAAGACTTAAATGTAAAACCCAAACATATAAAAACCCTAGGAGACAACCTAGGCAATACCATTCTGGACACAGGAATAGGCAAAGATTTCATAATGAAGACACCAAAAGCAATTGCAAGAAAAGCAAAAATTGGGATCTAATTTTCTCCAAAATTTTGTCTAAAAATTAGACAAATGGGATTTAATTAAACTAGAGAGCTTCTGCACAGCAAAAGAAACTATCAATAGAGTAGACAGAAAACCTACAGAATGGGAGAAAATTTTTGCAAACTATGCGTCTGATAAAGGTCTAATATCCAGCATCTATAGGGAACTTAAATTTACAAGGAAAAAACAACTCTGTTGAAAAGTGGGCAAAGAACATGAACCAACACTTCTCAAAAGAAGATACATGCAGCCAACAAGCATATGAAAAAGCTGAACATCACCAATCATTAGAGAAATGCAAGTCAAGACCATAATGTGATACCATCTCATGCCAGTAAGAATGGCTATTATTAAACAGTAAAAACAAAAAACAAAAAACAGGTGCTGGCGAGGTTGTGGAGAAAAAAGAAATGCTTATACACTATTGGTGGGAATGTAAATTAGTTCAACCATTGTGGAAAACAGTGTGGTGATTCCTCAAAGACCTAAAAACAGAAACACCATTTGACCCAGCAATCCCATTACTGGGTATATACCCAAAGGAATATCAATCATTCTATCATAAAGACACACCCACACGTATGTTCATCAGAGCACTATTCACAATAGTAAAGACCTAAGTCAACCTAAATGCTCATCAGTGGTAGACTGAATAGAGAGAATGTGGCACATACACACCATAGAATACTATCAGCCATACAGAAGAATGAGATCATGTCCCTTGCAGGAACATGGATGGAGCTAAAGGCCATTATCCTTAGCAAAGTAATGCAGGGAACAGAAAACCAAATACTGCATATTCTCACTTATAAATTGGTAGCTAAATGATGAGAACACATAAACAGATAGAGGGGAAAAATACACATTGGGGAGTTTCAGAGGGTGGAGAATGGGAGGAAGGAGAAGATCGGGAAAATAACTTATGGGTTCTAGGCTTAACACCTGGGCGATGAAATAATCTGTACAACAAACCCCCATGGCACAAGTTTACTTACGTAACCAACCTGCACATGTACCCCTGAACTTAAAAGTTAAATTTTAAAAAAGACATATTTTAAAAAAATCTATTACTAAGGCTTGCATGAAATTTTGAGATAGGAAGAGAATAGGCTACAAAGAGAGTACTGCAGGCAGAACCAGAACCTTTCACACAACCACCTCCCCATTACCCCTTCTGTTTTCCTTCCTTCCTTTTTTGCTCCCTCCCTCCCTCCCTCCCTCCCTCCCTCCCTTCCTTCCTTCCTTCCTTCTGTACATAGTTGCATGGATGTCTCCCATAAATGGTGTCCATGAGTCCACACCTGTTTTAGTCTGCTCAAATTGCCATAACAAAATATCTTCGACTGGGTGGCTTAAACCAAAGGAAGTTATTTTCTTACAGTTTGGGAGGCTGGAAGTCCAAGGTCAAGGTGCCAGCATGGTTAGTTTCTGGGGAGAGCCCTCTTCCTGGCTTGGAGAAGGTACCAGCTCACTGTGTCCTCACATGGCATGGAGAGAGAGAGGGAGCTTTCTCTCTTCTTATAAAGCCACAGCCCTATTAGATTAGGGCCCTTCCCTTAACTCATTGAACCTCAATTACCTCCCGTGGCTTGAAGATTAGGACTTCAACATATTATTTTAGAGGGGGAACATAATTTAGTCCATAACAACATCCTTTGCCCTAAAACTTTGTGGCTTGATTTGGCCAGTGTCAGCAAATGCAAAGCAGAGGTGTAAATGGTACAAGCACATTCCCACTTGACCTCCTGCACACTTGGGCTTGCTCACTCCTGCACCTCTACCTTGCCATGAGAACACATCTCAGCCAGCCTCATTGAGTGATGCGAGAGACATGTGGAGAAGAGCCAAGATCATCTTAGAACAAGCTGACGGGCCAGCTGATCCCCTAAAATGTGAGTGAGCCCAGCCAAGGTCACCTGAGCTGGGGCTTCTTCAGCAGAACTGCCCAGCTGACCCATGGATTGGTGAGAATAAAAAATGGTTGTTTCAGGACACTGAATTTTGGAGTGGTTCGTTACACAGCAATAGCTAACGAATATCCTTTCTCTGTTCCTTCTTTTTCTTTTTCAAAATATGTTTATGTGTATGTGTACCTTTTTTCTACATTTCTTCTGTTAGAGTTTAAGGACTGAATCATATCTCCAAATCTCCTTTAATTCCTGATCACCTGAACTAGAATGCTACCCTTAGTCCTCTCTAGCCTTTCACCTTTCTTTACTTTTCTTCATGGCATTTTTTGCCGCTTGACATACTATGTCATATGCTTACTTGTCCATTGTTTACCTCCTCCAGTAGAATGAAAGCCACATGAGGGCCTGGACCATGTCTGTCTTGTCAGTGTTGCATTCCCTGCATCTAGAACGTGTCTGGCACTTAGTAGGCACTTTATAGGTATCTGTGGAATGAATGAGTAAATGAGTGAATACATTTTTGGAAACACTAAAACAATGATATTTATTTGAGATGTGCTTGTATATGTTTATGTATATGTAAACTGAGTCCTTATGGCATGGATTAAATAGAGTAAAATAGAACCTAGGATTTAAGTTTTGGGGCTGGTGCTAGCATTTTGCTGAGGTACCGAGACGCATGCCAGTAAAAATTGACAAGGAAACAGCACAAACAGTTGGCTTTCACTAACCAGAATGAAGAGGATGAATGTTGCCAATGTGTGTATTGTAGGAGTAATAAGTCCTTCAAACGGGGCTGGGGAATTGTTTGCCAAGTGGGTTCAAGCTGTGGCCTTACCCACAACTATGTGCTTGTGTTAGCAGAATCTGGAAGCTTCACTATTTATGAAAGGATTGGGCTTTTTAAGTATTATTTATAACAATTCATCTCTTTTCTGAGTTAGAGTGTCTTATCCAATTAATTCATTGGTAATTCAATTACTCCCTCTCCTCTTAAAAGGGAGTGGGTCAGGCTGGGCACAGAGGCTTATGCCTGTAATCCCAGCACTTTGGGAGGCAGATCACTTGAGGCCAGGAGTTCAAGACCAGCCTGGCCGACATGGTGAAACCCCGTCTCTACTAAACATACAAAAAATTAGGCTGGGCGTGGTGGCTTATGCCTGTAATCCCAGCACTTTAGGAGGCTGAGGTGGGCAGATCACTAGGTCAGAAGTTCGAGACCATACTGGCTAACGTGGTGAAACCCCATCTCTACTAAAAATACCAAAAATTAGCCGGGCCTGGTGGCGGGCGCCTGTAGTCCCAGCTACTCGGGAGGCTGAGGCAGGAGAACCTGGGAGGCGGAGCTTGCAGTGAGCCGAGATCGCGCCACTGCACTCCAGCCTGAGCGACAGAGCGAGACTCTGTCTCAAAAAAAAAAAAAAAAGATACAAAAAATTAGCAAGGCATGGTAGCACATGCCTGTAGTCCCAGCTACCTGGGAGGATGAGTCGGGACAATGAGCTGTGATTGTGCCACTGCACTCCACCCTGGGCGATGAGACCTTGTCTCAATAAATAAATAAATAAATAAATAAATAAATAAATAAATAAATAAGGGAATGGGTCATTTAAGGGAAAATAAAGTCATGTTCAGAGTTCCAAGCCATCTGCAGTGCAGTGGGGCCAAGTGGTCAGCTGGCTTCCAAAGCAGAGGCTGCTGGTGGCAGGCTGGCCAATGGCCATATTAACGTTCTATGAGATCTGGATGTTACTGGCTGTCAGTAAGTAATTTGTGTGTGTCTTTGGGAGGTAGGGAATTGGCAGGGAGGAGTAGAAAGTAGGGGCATTCGACTCTGGTAGAATTGAATATGAAATGAGTGATATGGAGGACACCAAGTATTGAACGTTGCTGCATCAGCATCTGTTTCAGGAAGAATTCCACAGGGGAGAGGATGAGGTCTCTTTCATGCCTCCATTAATCCCCAAGTTTCATTCACAGCAACACCATGGTTGTTTTCCCTTTTCTGGACCTGCCTGTCCACCCTCCCCCAGCCCAATTCACTTGGTTAAACGAGTACTCATGACAGCCATGATTGCTGAACACGATTTTGCTCTTGGTTGGAGTTCATTTGTCCAACAGCGGCACCTGACCTGGGCTGAGACCATCGGAGTCCAGAAGTAAAACTGAAACTGAGAGAGAGAGAAAGAGAGAGCACACGTGCCCTTTCATAATTCTCCAAGGGGATAATTATCAGCTTTTTTTTTTTTCTCCTGAGCTCAGTTGCAGTCCAGCCTATTTCTTCAAGAATTATAATTAACTCCTCTCTGTTTTTTGCCTTAGCTAGCCTAAGTAGATTTCTCTTGTTTACAACCCAACACACCCGTATTATGCCCCTCCGTTGTTGCCATTCATGGTATACCAGTTCCATGCCCTGTGGGAGGTGCTGTCTCTGGCTTGAAAGCCAATGGGCCTCAAGTGTCAAAGAACAAAGGAGCCCAAAAGGCTGGAGCTATTCACCCAAGTCTCCAATTGGTAAGAAGGGCTACCTGCTTGGCTTTGCTGGACAGTGAGTCCAAGGGGAAGGGTCAGAGATCCCATGGAAAGAGTGATCAGAATCTCTCCAATTCTGTCCTTGAATTTCCAATCTCATTGGTGTTTCTAACTGTGCTTAGTAATCTTCATTTACCTGAGTACTCTTCTATTTACAAACTTTTAGTGACTTCCCACTGCTGGCTGAAGGCCACCCAGACACTGTGACCTGCTGTTTAAGGCTCTCAATGATTTGGCATGATTTTTCAGTTTTACTCCCTAGATGTCTCCACACAAATTTGTACCACTTTACCCCTAAGAGAACAAATGCTTGCATACCTGGTCCCTTTGCCATTTTGGGCAAGAAGTCTGTACCTGTAAATTTTTCAGGATTTTGATTTATGTTGCCCTCTCAGAAAAATTTTACAAACATACCCCGCTACCATAGGATAAGAGAAGGCTGCCTTCCTGGTATACTTTAGAACATCAAGCACTATTCTTTGTAATCTTTGCCAGTGGAATGGGTATTCCTTTGGTTACTAATGAGGCTGAATAGTTATTCATGTATTTCAGGATAATTCTTTTATGTATTGTGTTTTAATGGTCTTGGCTAGTTTTTCTACTGTGAATTTACAACTGTCATTTTTCTTGTGAGAATTCTTTTTTTTTTTTTTTTTTTGAGACAGAGTCTCTCTCTGTCACCAGGCTGGAGTGGAGTGGCATGATCTCAGCTCACTGCAAGCTCCGCCTCCTGGGTTCAAGCGATTCTCCTGACTCAGCCTCCGGAGTAGCTGGGATTACAGGCATGTGCCACCAAGCCCAGCTAATTGTATTTTTAGTAGAGGCGGGGTTTCACATGTTGGCCAGGATGATCTTGATCTCCTGACTTCGTGATCCACCTGCCTTGGCCTCCCAAAGTGCCGGGATTACAGATGTGAGCCACTGCGCCTGGCCGAGAATTCTTTATTAAAGATATCAACTCTTTGTCACATATGTTGCAGAAGCCATCCTTAACTGATTGTCTTATTTTACTATTGTGTATGGTTTTTGATGTATAGAACTTTATATTTTTAGGAGGGGTAATATATTGCTTTTTTCCTTTGATGGTTGCTATCTTGGGTTTTTGCTTAGAATGGCTGTTATTTCTCTTTTAATTTTGCTACAGCTTATCTTCCAGCTAGACTGAGGCTTTTTGAGGGAAGGGTTTATTTTGTTTCCAAAGTTGTATCCTTTGACTCTACTCTCTGCTCTATTTCAGTGTAAGTGATCCAGAAGGAACAACTAATTAACTTATTGGCTGCTGTGGCAGGCAGCTTTTTAAGATGCCCTGGATGATACATGACTCTTATTATTTACATCCTTGTGTGACCATTTCCCTCTGAATGTGTGCTAGACCAGTGACTTGCTTCTAATCAATGGAATATGGCAAAAATGATGGATGAGATTAAGCTATGAAGAACTGTGGTTTCTGTCTTATTCCCTTTTTTTTTTTTTAACCATGCAACAAAACGCTTATTAACATTTTGAGCAGGTTCAGCTATTACCGAAACTGGTAATTTATAAACTTAAATTGGGGCAAATGGCTTTAGTGCAGAGTAGTGCCATCACTTGTCACTACGAATGCAAGACTGAAGAATTAATAGCCACCCCTCAGATGGAGGACCAGGTGCAGGGCTGACTCTTTCTGAATGTTGTAGTCACAAACAGTGCAGCCATCTTCTAACTGCTTGCCTACAAAGATGAGACTGTGCTGGTCAGGGGGGATGCCCTCTTTAACATGGATCTTGGCCTTCACATTTTGGAGGATGTCACTTGGCTCCACCTCCAGGGTGATGGTCTTGCCGGTCAGGGTTTTCAGGAAGATTTGCATTTTGACCTCTTGGAGGATGCGAGGAAGCTGCAGATCACCAATCACATTCAGCCACTGGAATGCCTCCAGACGCTCGCCATTCAACAAGGCCATTCGCCACTCTGTTCCCTCTTTCTTACTTGTTCCTCATGATGCCTACAGCTGTGTGAGGCCCACATGATGAAGAACAGAGGGCAGCTTCTAGCCAACCCCCAGTGAGGAACTGAATTCTGCCAACAACCACATGAGTGACCTTGGAAGCACATCCTTCCCCTGCTGAGCTTTGAGACGACAGCAGACCTGGCGGCATGAGAGAGAACCTGAGCCCCAGGACCCAGAAACATGGTGCCCAGATTCCTGACCCAATATGAAATAACAAATGTTGTTTTAAGCTGCAAAGTGTTGGAGTAATTTGTTACATGGCAATAGATAATTAATACAAGTGTTTAGTTCTTCTAGTCTTTGGGTATTTTTCTTTCACTTCTGTTGAAGAAAACCCCATTCCATTTACTGCTTCAAAAAGTAAAGTGGAATCTCTACAGGGAACCCCATCAACTTTGGAAATCTCAAGTGTCTTTATGGAACATATTTACAAGCAACTGATTTGCTGAGGTTGCGGCTGTGTATTGCCATTGTGGGTAATGGAAAACATGTTTCTATTCATTTTTCCTTCCCACAGCCTCTGAGGAGGATGGAGCTGGTGACTACAGGAGACCCTTTAGTTTTGCTGAACACAGTGATAGGTTTGGGGCTGCAAACTTGGACAGAGCTGGGATACATGGACTGGCTCTGTCTGCATCTGGGAGGAAGAGTCCAGGGGAAGTCAGGACATGGGAGAGAAGAGTGATGTGGGATGTCAGGAGAGAAAGGGACCTTCTGTGGCTGCATGATGGGGATGGGACTCTGGAGACTGTGGGGTGTGCGATAGAAATCCCTCATCTGTGTTTCCTGGTGCATTTTAGTAAGTTTACATGACTTCTTAATACATCCCTGCAAGTGGATGTTTAGAAGAGCTACCAATGTTGAATTCTTATCCAAATGGGGGCATGAATGAATTAGACACAGTTTCTGGAAGATGAGGGAATAGCTGACATGCAGGTCATGCGGGGTCAGCCCTGAGGCAGGCAGGGGGCTTTGAAGCCCCTTGCCTCCTGTATCTCAGCTCCTCACTGGGCCCAGTGCCTCGTGCCTGCATGCTGCCCTGAGATTGCCAATGCTCATTCACAGGTGCCCTCACCCTACCACCAGGACACAGAGCTTGGCTTTTCTCCCTCCTTTCCTGTCCCTCCTTAGACTCAATGTTTTGCCGTCTTATTTTTCCAGAGCCCTGACTTTTTTTTTTCCAGTAAGAATGACTACCAAACTGGAGGTTTAATCTAGCAACATGAATCTCAGTCAATGTGTCAGCTCTCCTGGAAGAGAAAGGGCTTTTTCTTTCTGATCAGCTAACGTCATGCTAAAGGGATGTGATAATCTTTACTTCTTCCCCACTGAGGCTGGGTTATCTGGCCGTCTTGAACTGAGGTGACAACTTTTGAAAGACATCCAGATTTTCTACTCTATGGCAACAGATTATTTCTGCAAGTTTTAAAGGCATTTTTAAACATCTTTAAAACCATTTTTTATCTGCTCATTTGGTTTTTAATCTTCACTAGGGTCAGATATTTTTTGTACTTATAGGAATGGCGCTGGGCCCGGGCAATCAGAAATGATTAGACCCACATGGTAACCTGCAGACCCCAAGGTTTGAGTTAAATGGCTATCCCAGAGGCTGCCGAAGATGGGGAGCTGATGTGAAAATTGAAGCAATTACCCAGATCACTCAGGCAGAAGAATGTCTGAGGCTTTTTTTCCCTTGAACAATCCAGATAATTGCTTCAATTTACACTTCTTACTGGTGGTGGAGATGGGTACAGACATAGCTCTCCAGGAATGGGCTGAATAGAGGGAAACGGTGCTTGGAAAATGAGTCTGATAACTCAGGGGGAGAAAACACTGGGAAAAATTCACATGCTTCGGCCTTGATTTCTACCAGCCTCAAGCAAGTCAAAGTGAGACTGTTCATTGTTGCCTGAGTGATCTAGGTAATTCTCTATTTTGTGTTTCATCTTCACAACGAAGCTTTTCGGGCCGTGCAAGTGTTGCTGGTGGAGACAGCTGAATAAATCATGGCTGGGAACTTCAGGTTTGAGACCCTTACCCTGTGCTGGCTGGTGAGTTTCCCAGTTCATTAACCACTCTTGAAGGACCTGCAAATCCTTGCTGTGAGGAGGCCTTACAGGTCAGGAAGGAGAGGGGGCAGGTAGGCGCTCTCCTTGCAGAGCTTACTACACCTGTTAATGTAACTATGAGTAAAAATCAAGGTAGCAGGACTTCATGATTCCCTGAAGCAGATGGTTCATTTACTGAGACCCTCAGGGATTCATTTCTGCAACCGAAAATCCACATTTGTTAAAACAATGGAATGACGAATGTATCAAAGATTTATTGAGTTGCTACTTTGTGCCTGGCATTATGCCAGACCTTGGAATAATCACATAATTTCATATTAATACAGGATTTTTGTTTTCTTTTCTCGTGTTTTCTTGGTGGGGGTAGGGGAATGATTCGTTTGATCTCTTTACAGCCTCTTCCAGACTTTATTTCCAATGCATTTTCTCAAATATTTCTCTTTTCATTCTCACTTATCAAGAGTAGATAATATTTTTAGCACCGTTTCAACAGATGGGATAAAAAAATAAACATTCAGAGAAGTTCAGTACATTTTCCAAAGTCACAAAATTTGTTAGCAGCTGACCTGGAATGAAAAATAAAGGATCCTGAACCAAAGGCTCCATCTGCAATGCAACATCATTTCTTTCAGGTTCGTTACTGATTCATTTGTCTTTGCCATTATCATGATTGTGATGGATATGGATTGATCATCCAGAAAGTATTTATCAAGCATGTAAATAAGATATGATACCCACAACATAAAGAAGCAAGATACACACACACACACACACACACACCCCAACAGCATGAAGAATACTGTGAGGTGAAAAGAACTAGAGAAGAGTATTGGACAATATGAAAGTGATTGCAGGGCAGGCAGAAATCAGATGCTGAGTCACAGGGACCAACGACTTGAGAAGAAAGAGAGCCCTGTGGGCTAGAGCTGTTCAGAAAGATTCCTTTAAATTCTATTTTTTTTAAATTGTGGTAAAATACACACAACATAAAATTTACCGTTTAACCATCTTAAGGTGCACAATTCAGCGGCATTAAGTACATTCGCAACATCATGCAACCATCACCTCTATCTAGTTCCAGCACTTTCTCATTACCCCAGATGGAAACCTCTGTAATCAGGAAGATTTTGTAGAAAGTTTGGTAGAATCTTGAGGGATAGCTAAGATTTAGAGAGGCAGACAGGTGAGAGGAAATCCACAGGGCATATTAGAGTGTGAGCTGATAGCACATGTACAGTGTCTGGAGCATGGTGAGGACTGCAGGGCTTTGTGGAGGAGAGTGCTGTGCAGTAGGTTTGGGTGACTCCCATGGACTTTCCCTGTATAACAGCAGGTTTGCCTTTCCCTTTCTCTTTCAGGATCACCTTCCTTTAACATGTTCGGAGGAAGAAGCGTTGGTCTCACATCCTCCCAAGGGAAGCCCACCTCTCCTCTGTGGTTGCATTCAAAACCCTCTTTCAGCTTTGCTGTGGAATGGCTACTCTGTCTGATCTTATCACTGCTGCATCTCTGGGATTCTGGTCCTCCTGCAACACGATGCTGCTGTTGCTGCTGGCACCGCTGCCATGTCCATCTCAGCCAGGAGCTGGTGGGGCAGGAGACTGTTTTTGTCTTTGCCTTGGGCTGTAATTCCTTCAAGCACCACTGACAGACTGAGGGGTGCAGAGACTTCACTGGAGGAGACTTTATCATGGGGGAAAATCCTCAAAACTAGGTTCCATTTTTCACTTTTCCCAGAGTCCAAGGGTCCAGGATCATCCACAAGACACAATACTCCTCACCAGTACATTTTCTGGATGTTATTTATGGACCAATAAATTTTGAATTGACAGTGGCATCTAGATCAGTGCTGTTCAATAAAAATATCTCATGAGCTACATATGTAATTCAAACATTTCTGGAAGTCAATGTAAAAAAGGAAAAAGAAACACAGGTGATGTTTTATTCAATTATTTAATATATTTTATTTAACCCAATATATCCAAAGCATTTCCATTTCAACATGTAACCAATAAAAATAATTATTAATGAAATATTTTACAGTCATTTTCACACTGTCTTCAAAGTCCTGTTTGTATTTTACACTGACTGCTCATTTTGTTATGGACATTAAATTTTTATTAGAAATACTTGATCTGTGTTTAGATTTTATAAAATTTACAGTTGAAAATGTGGATTTACCAAGTTGTTCTAAACACACTTAAAAGTTTCCAATAACTCAATCAGGTATCACCTTCTAAATTTAAATTGTAATTAATTAAATGAAATAAAATGAAAAATTCAGTTTCTCAGTCATACTCAACCCATTTCAAGTGCTCAGTAGCTATTTGTGGCTAGTAGCTATTGTCTTGGACCATGCAGATCTAGAAAGTCTAAGACCAACAGCACCAACTAATTGCCACGATTATTTGATTTGCTTTGTGTCCAAAGATGATTCCAGGTTAGTCCAATGATAAAAATCCTTGGCTTGACCGTCAAGTTTTTTGCATGATTGGATCCTAAATTGCCTTTTGACTGAATTGCTTATTAATTCCACTCTAGTCACTCAGGCTTCCTCACTGTTTTTGGGCACGTAAACTTAACGTGCACTGTGACTCTTGCTGTCCTCCACCTTCAAGATTTAAAGAACAGGCAAGTTTATTGGCTCATGAACAAGAAGTCTAGAGCACAGTGGGCTTTGGTTTTGGTGGATCCCAGTGGCTTGATCATGTCACCAAGGACCCAGCCTCATGGTTTTTGTCATATGCATCTTTGGCTTCATCTCTGGTCTAGTTTTCCAAGAAGTCATAGAGTATTTCCTATAGCAATTGGAGCTGGATGTTATCCTCCAGCTGGAGATGGAAAGGCAGAGTAACACAATTTCTTTCCAAAAATTTGGCAAACTTTTCCTTTTGTCTCCTTGACATTTATCTTGCTCATCCCTGAACCAGTCACTGGGAAAAAGAATGGGGTGGTCACGTTTGACTGAGGCTAATCAAGACCCATTCTTGTATTTGGGAACAATTCTCCAAACCACATTCTTCCTACACAATAGGAGAAGGGGGAAACACATCATCTCAATAACCAAAACACCTCTTTTTGGTTTTTCACTTCTTTTATCTTTTTTTATTGTGGTAAAATAGATACAACATAAAATGTACCATTTTAACCATTTTAAAGTGTACGGTTCGGTGGCATTAACTATGATTACACTGTTATGCAGTCATCACCATCATCTATCTCTAGAATATTTTCCATCTTCCTGAACTGAAATTCCATACCCATTAAATAATAACTCCCCATTCCCTCTCCCTCCCGTATCCTGGCAACCACCATTCTACTTCCTGTCCCAGGAACTTGACTACTCTAGGTACCTCATGTAAGTGGACTCATATAGCATTTGCCCATTTGTGACTGGCTTATTTTCACTTAGCATAATGTCTTCAAGCTTCATCTATGTGGTAGCATAAGTTAGTACTTCTTTTTAGGGCTGAATAATATTCCATTGCATATATACACCACATTTTGTTTACCTATTCATCAGTTGATGGACATTTGGGTTGCTTCCATCTTTTGGCTATTGTGAATACTGCTGCTATGAACACAAGTGCACAGATACCTGTTTGAGTACCTGATTTCAATCTTTTTGGGGGTATATACCTAGAAGTAGAATTGCTGGATCATATGGAAATTCTATTTTTAATTTTTTGATGAACCACCATACTTTTTTCCATAGCAGTTGTACCATTTTACATTCCATTAACCATGCACAAGAGCTTTTATTTCTTCATGTCTTGGTCAACACTTCTTTTCTTTTCTTTCTTTCTTTTTTTTTTTTGGTAGTAGCCATTCTAATGGGTGTGAAGTGGTATCTCATTGTGATTTTGATTTGCATTTTCCTGATGATTAGTGATATTGCATACTTTTTATGTGCTTATTGGCTATTTGTATATCTTTTTTGAAAAAATGTCTTTTCAAGTCCTTTGCCCATTTTTTTTTAACAACTGGCGATCAATTTATTAAAATAGTTGACTTAAGCATCTCCAATGATGACTTCCACCTCAACTCCTGGCTCCATACTGATGGAAGTAATCTGCTTAATCTCAGAAGGGCTGTGCAAGTCAATGAGTTGCTTGTGGATTCTCATCTGGAAATGATCCCATGTCTTAGAACCTTCACCAAAAGGAGTTTTTCTTGTAGCGATTCTCGAAGTCTTAGTAGGCATTTGAACTGGTCCTTTCACTTTGAGATTCCTTTCCTTTGCTCCTCTGATCAAGTCAGCACACACCTCCTCCAGGGATTTTAAGCTGTGGCTCATAAACAGTGATTCGAATTCAGTGAATTGCCACCTCCGGCTCCAAGGGTGTTTTTCCAGTATCTTTAAAAGCCACAGCTGCTGCGTGGCTTCCTGACCGACTGGTTCCTTGGCGAGAGCAACAGCAGTGAGTCAGGAGCAGGAGCAGAAGCGGGCAGACCACAGCTCGGCACCACTTTCGACGGTGTCTTCCTCAAAGAGCTCTAACTTTTTTTTTTTTTTTTTTTTTTTTTTTTGAGACGGAGTCTCCCTCTGTAGCCCAGGCCGGAGTGCAGTGGCGTGATCTCAGCTCACTGTAACCTTTGCCTCCCAAGTTCAAGCGATTCTCCTGCCTCAGCCTCCCGAGTAGCTGGGATTATAGGCATGCACCACCACACCCGGCTGAAGTATTTTTAGTAAAGATGGGGTTTCACCATGTTGGCCAGGCTGGTCTGGAACTCCTGACCTCAAGTGATCCGCCCACTTTGGCCTTTCAAAATGCTTGGATTACAGGTGTGAGCCACTGCACCCTGCCCAAGAGCTCTAATTTTTAAATAGCTTATTTACAAAGCACTCTATGCTTCAGGTCAAACATTTGTCAAGCATCTGCAATATGCCAAGAACTATACAGATTTCATTACCTAATTTTAAAATTAAATTAAGACCCAGAGAGGTAATAGGATCTATATAAGAATGCTCGAAATAGTGAAAATAGCCCTGTATCTGGAGGTTTAGCTCTGCCACTATCATGATTTCTACTGTACAATATACCCATGCAAGTCACTTTAAATTATTTCATAGGTTAAAGGCCTTTTTACTAAAAAAGAAAGAAAAAATTTTAAATTAAGTCCTTACTCGTGCCAGGACCTGTGCTAAAGTGTGTGTGTGTGTGTGTGTGTGTGTGTGTATATATATAACGTTTCTCATTTAAATCTCCTGAAACCTCTGTAAGATAGGTTCTGTTATTATCCCCATTTTACAGATGGAAACATGAGCTTAGAAATGCTAAGTCACTAGCTAGAAATAATGCAGCTAGTAGGTGACAATTATTTGAATAGAGTCTGACATCAGAGACTGTACTCTTTAAAGCACACACACAGTATTTGGATACTCTTGTATCACAGATAATATAGGGAATTTCAACATGTAAAACAATTCAATTAGTTCACAATTTTAGTCAATTTGGTACATATCATTCACATGCTTATAAACAGAAAATAATAGGAAAAATCAGTCAACAAACACCTGGGGAGAGAGGGAAAAGGCAACTTCATTTCTCTTTTGATAGGATTCTAAATACCACAAATAGGAGAAAACAGCCAAATCAAAAGTTAGGAAATCTGTAACTTCAACCTTCATAAAGCGTAAAGTGTGTCTTTAAGAAGCAAAGATTTAGGGAAGTGCCATTTGGGCACCTCTCACTCTCAAAAATGAGAGAGCTGTTCTCCTTTTTCTTTTTTTTTTTTTTTGCGACAGAGTCTCATTCTGTCACCTAGGCTGGAGTGCAGTGGTGCGATCTTGGCTCACTGCAACCTCCGCCTCCCGGGTTCAAGTGATTCTCCTGACTCAGCCTCCTGAGTAGCTGGGATTACAGGCGCATGCCACCATGCCCGGCTAATTTTTGCATTTTTAGTACAGACAGGGTTTCACCATTCTGATCAGGCTGGTCTCAAACTTCTGACCTTGTGACCCACCTGCCTCGGCCTCCCAAAGTGCTGGGATTACAGGTGTGAGACACCGAGCCCGGCCCTGTTCTCCTTTTTCTTTCTTTTGCCTATTAAACCTCTGCTCTTAAAACGCACCTCCCCCTCTGGCCCTGCCCCCCCCCAAAAAAAGAGGCAAAGATTTAAAAAGTTAACAGGAAAAGACTACTTTATCACATTTAGCTTGAATGCTAAGTAGTAACATTTACTAAGGTCCACAGTTTACTGCTTACTACACAGTTTACCACTTTACTACACAATAACCCACCCTGGACTGATGGCTTCTTCAGGAACACTGAGAGAATGTAAAATACAGGAATCCTGATAATTCTGCATTCTTCGAGCAATCATTATAATCAAGCTGATGTTTTTATCCGTCATCATTGTGTATAGTTCCTTTGTTGTAATTGCTCCTTTCTCTTTGGTCTCACATTTTTTCACTCTTTTCACCATTGCTCTTTTGGGTTTTGTCTTTGGAATCCAATACATTCTCCAAAGAAACTTTAGCCAATGTGCCACCATCCTCTCTTCCTGTTTCCTGCCTTTTTTGTTGTAGTTGCTGTGCTTCCTTCTGCCTGTCCTTTTCCTCAAGTTATTTCCGGACTTCAGCTTCTTTATATCTTAGTTTAAGGCTCTCAGAGAGTCTTTCAGCTTCTTCAATGGCTTTTTTGATGTTTGCAGTTCCAAGTATTGAATGGACGTAATCCTCTTAGTGCTTATTTTCTCTGGTTTAACTTCTGTCTTCTTATTGAGGTCTTTTAGTGAAGAACTCAGGTAGAGTTCTTTAGGAACTAAAGCCACAGCAGGCATGGTGAATTATCTTTACTTTTCCACGTTCACGATAGATGCTATATTTCCTTAAAAGTAGTTTTTTCCGTGGCGTCGGGTGCGCTTCACTAACACCAGCCTTCTTGCCAAAGGCCCATCTCCCAAGAACTCGAGGGAGAATTAGCCTTGGCTACCAAGATGGAATCCAGCCCAGCTCATCATCCTTTGCCCATTTTTAAAATTTTTTTTTGGTTGTGAGTTATAGGTATTCTTTATATATTCTGTATATTAACTCCTTATCAGATGTATTATTTGCAAATTTTTTCCCATTTCATGAGCTGCCTTCTCACTCTGTTCATAGCATCCTTTGATGTGCAAAAGTTTTAATTTTGATGTAGTTAAATTTATCTGTTTTTTCTTCTGTTACCTATCTTTTTTTTTTTTTTCCCTGAGATGGAGACTCACTCTGTCGCCCAGGTTGGAGTGCAGAGGCACAATCCTGGCTCACTGCAATCTCTGCCTCCTGGGTTCAAGCGATTCTTCTGCCTCAGTCGCCAGATTAGCTGGAATTACAGGCACGTGCCACCATGCCTGGCTAATTTTTGTATTCTTAGTAGAGACCAGGTTTCACCAGGTTGGTCAGGCTGGTCTCAAACTCCTGACCTCAAGTGATCCACCCATCTCAGCCTCCCAAAGTGCTGGGATTAACATGCGTGAGCCACGGCGCCCGGCCTGTTACCTATCTTTTGGTGTCCCTTTTCAATTGTTTTGAATCCTACTTAGCCCATTTCCTATATTAAGCCTTCTCAGACAACACTGAGAACTTCATCCTCTGTACTCCCACTAGTTTCTAAGCTGCCTGAGGGCGATGACTTATTTTGCAACCTCCCTTCAAATGAGAGGCCCTACGTTATCTCCCTTGAAAAGGGTTCACTTAATAAATCTAAGTTTACAGAGTGACAGCAAATGCCATTTGCTCAGTTAATAGCTGATGAATGAACAGATGAACGAATGAATGATGACTGAACACAGTGACACACAGATACGTCTCTGTCCACTTGAGATAATCCTGACCTCCTCAGATAAACCAGTGTATGCAAGGTTCTGGGCATCTTCTGGTGGGCTCAGGGAAACTGAGAATTGGATTGTCCTCTCTAGTATATTATGAAGTTGATCATTTAAGATGATGGGTCTCTGAGCCAGAGCCTGAGAATTACTTAATTTAAAAACAGATGAGAAGGTGGCACCTGGGTCTTTTTAATCTACTTCCACTGCACATGAGGAGATGAAATAGAACTGGTACTACTTACAAGGGTTTATAAAAGTTGATTTTAGTAGGTCTGTCCTCTCAGCTAGGCAGAGAACACTTGTATTTTCAGGTATTACCCGAATTTAAGCAACAGATGTGTTCCTAAAATTAACTAACTTATTTGTTTTATGATCATTTGTTCAGCACCCAATAACATCTAACTTTCAAGAGCTTATCCTATATACATGTCAGGCACCGTGCTAGGTGCTTTAAAAGCATCTGTCTTTTAATTCCCCCAGAAATCACAAGATGATATTATTCCAATGACAGAGATGAGGAAACTGAGTCTTAAGGAAATTAAGACTTCTTAATTTCCTCCGCTCTTAATTTCCTCCGCCTGTTGGTCATACATCTAATAAGTGGCTGAGGTGGGATTCACACTCATGCATTGCTTCTTCCTAGGGTAGAATCCTTATTCAGTATGCTGCCCACTATGTGCTAGATGCTACAGACACAAAGATATCAAGCAGATATCACCACCCAAGTGCAGTGCTAGAGACAGGCACAGCAGATTAGGGGAACATCAAGGAGGGCCACCAACTCTTTATAGGTGTTTAGTGAGCTGGGAAAGTCTGAGGAAGGAGGGTTGAGCTAGGTCTTAGAGGAAAAGGAAGTTCTGGAAAAATAGAGTGGACACTCAGTTGTTCTGCCAGCCCGGCACCATGTCTGGGAATACCATCCCTCTTCTTTTGGGAACCTTCCCACCAAGGGATTCCTCCATAATCTTACAAAATCCCTGATTCTGGTTGATTGGTTTAGCACTAGATGCCAACCTAAACCAAGGCCAATCAAACCCAAACTCTGAACAGACATCCATCCTTATCTAGTGGTAGAAGTTGAAGGATGAAACCCAGGGGCTATTGGGAGCTGTTTCCCAAGTGATTTTCTTTTGGGATCAGGATGATCCAGACCCAGTTATCTAGAGATTTTAACCGGAAATATTGGATATGACCTCCATCCGGTTCCGGCTTGGGCAGCCAGACCGGACTTGCAGGCTCTTGGAGGTCGCATCCTGTCCTTCCCCCGGCAGGTAGAGTGACTACAAGTCCCGGGATGCGCAGCGCTCGGAGTCGGGCGGGGGCCGGGCGGACCTCTACGGTGACGTCACCGTCCCGGGGCGGGCCAGGGGAGGGCGGGGCGGAGGGGCGGGTCTCAAGGCGGCAGAGCGCGCTGGTGCTGATGCAGGATGGCTGAGCGCGCAGGAGCCCGGGAGGTCTGAGCCGGGCGAGGCTCGCTCCCTGCGCATCGCCTCCTCCGCCCGCCGCGTGGTCGCGGGCAGGTGGGCCGGGGGGCGCTGGGCAGGGGCGGGGCAGGGCCAGGGCAGGCCGGTCTGCAGCCGGAGGGGCCGGAGCGGAGAAGCTGCCCACCTTCCCGGGCTCGGAGCGGCCGGGGCTGCTCAGCCGGCCGGGCTCGCGATGACCTGCTGAGAAGCGTCGTCGGAGGCTGCAGGAGGCGGCCTAGCTGTGGGCGGTGCAGCTCGCGGCCTCCTCCCTCGTCGTTCCCGGCCCCGGCCCCCCACCCATCCCCGTGCCCCCTCCCTACCGCCGGCCGAGATGGCGGATCCAGCCGAATGCAGCATCAAAGTGATGTGCCGGTTCCGGCCCCTCAACGAAGCGGAGATCCTCCGCGGGGACAAATTCATCCCCAAATTTAAAGGCGATGAGACCGTGGTGATCGGGGTAAGTGGCTGGGGCGTCTGCCTTCCCTGCTGCTCCGCGCCGCAGCTGGGCGCCCCGACGCCCCAGACGCAGCGGAGGTGTTTAGGCCGCCCCCTCGGACATTCCCGCGGGGCTGGCCTCTCGGGTGGACCTGACCAGAGACCCCTCGCCCCGCGCACTATGGTTCCCTCCCGGGCGGGTGGAGAGGCGGCCGGGAGCGGCGGGCCGGGCGGGGGTGGCGGGGGTGGGGATGGGGGGCGAAGACGGGCTCGGCGCCGCCATTGTTCGCCGGGTGGGGGCCCGGGTGGGCCCATTGTTCCCCACGCTCGCCTCGCCGCGTGGGTAGTGTGTTCGGGTGACCCTCAAGCCGGGTGCCCAGGCCCCCTTTAAAGTGTGAGCTCTGCAACCCGCAAATGCTTCTGGGCATCAATCAATTCGATTTACCAAACGCCTTGCCTCTTCTTCTCACGACCCTAGCAAAAAAGAAAGAAAAAGGGGTACAGGAAAATTTCTAGTCGCGTCTCGGAGCTCCCGCGGCAGTGTAGACGCGGCTCCCCGCGGTGTTACACCTGGCTCCGCGCGCGGAAGGCGGAGGGTTGGGGGAGTACTGGTGGCCTCGGTGTCCCCTGGAGGCCTGGTGTGTCTCCCGCTTCCTCTCACGCCTGGCTGCCCTGGATGTGGAGTCCCGGCTTGATCCCTCCCCTCTGGGATGACCTCCCTCCCATGTCTGCAGACCCTCTGATGCGCCTCACGCTGGGTGGAGAGGAGGCTGTGTCCACATCTGTGGGGCGAGGGGGCTCAGAGCGCAGTAGCCCCCTGTGCCAAGAGCAGAAGTTACTTCGTGCGGCTCGGACCCCCCTCCCTCTCTATCTCCCTTCCCCACCTTTTCTCCCCCACCCCCTCCCCCTACTTAGCTCCCTCTCTGCAGCTGGGGCTGCTGGTAGGGGGAGGGAACACCAATGGATTGTAGTTCTTAAAGGAATCTGTCAGATGAAACAAACCAGCTCGGTCCCCCGCCCCTTCCCCGCCCGCTGTCCGTAGCGTGTGTGGCTGATGGTGCCCCCTTTGTATGCGAGCCGCGTGGGGAGGGACCGAGTTAATGGGAGCCTCCCGGTCCCCGCTGACACGTTCCTGGCAGCCTGCTCCAGGCTGCTGATGCAGCCTTCCCGTCCCCAGCATTGATTAAGTGATGTCATCCTGATCACTGAGCATGCTCCGACTAACCCCCTCCTCCCCTTCCTCCAGTGGCTGGTGTATTTAGGTCAAGTGATTGACAGGTGACAGTTTACCGAGGGTATTGCAGGAGTCCGCCTGGCCTTTCTCAAGCGCCAGAGGCCGACGTTTTCCAGCCCGGGCGGTCCCCAGCATCTTTGCCAAGGTTGTCTGCCGCAGTCGCAGCGAAGGGCCCTGGGGACCAGCAGGTGCCAGCTGTACCGTAAGGCGGGAGCTCTCCACGCTAGAGGAGCCTGGGCAAGGCTCTGGCCTCAGGGCTTTAACCTGTACCTGGCTTTAAAAGGCTGCTCCCTTTGACGACCTCTTCTCACCTCCCCATTTTCACAGTCATCAGGAACGTCTGACCTCCAAACGCTGTGTGGATGGGCGATCATTCTGCGAGCTGACCTATGAGGGCAGGAAAGCGGGGTTTTCTCTCTGTTTAGTGTTAAACTTGCAGAGAAGATATAAGCTACGATTATTGATGAGGAAGGAAATTCTGCAGTTAATGGCAGATAAGTGTTAGTGACATATACATAGGCAGTACCTGGGGCAGTTAGTGACTTATTTGGTTTACAGCTCTCAGCCAGTATCTGCCTACAGCCTGATCTGCTACTTTCTGAGCCAGGCTGTGGTTTAGATAGAGTGGGAGTTACTGGGGACATCTAGTCCCTGCCCCTTGGCTTGTAACAATTTTTAAACAAATAATTGTGCAGTACTGGAACATGTTCTGGCAACCCTATTTTTTTCCCAGAGGTTTTGAAGAGCCTGAAGAAGTTTTTCTTCTCCCCTCCTCCCTCCTCCCCCATCCCCTTTCCCCTCTCCCCTCTCCCTTCTCCTCCTCTTCTTCTTCCAGAACCAATGAAATGAAGTAATAAATCATCTTCCTTGACCTGTATGCAAGGCAGAGCTCCTTAATTTTAGAATTATCCTTCTTTAATATGACATTGCTATGAGTATATATTTCCTTATCTAAATAAACATATATTAGTGGCTAAACAAATTAAAACCAAGTCACCATATTAAATAAGAAGTTTAAATAAAAATCATAGATGTGAATATACACATTGCTTTTCAACCGTAAAGTAAGTTTTGCTCATCCTACTATAATCCTTTAATACAACAGTTTTCAGTTTTTCTAAGGTAAACTTTTTATTGAAATGAAGCATTCATATAGAAAACTGTTATCATAAGTATACAGTTGGATGACTTTTCATAAAGTAAATGCTCCCTGTAACCACCTCACAGACTAAGAAACAGACATTTTGGGACCCTAGAAATCCCCCTTGTGGCCCTTCCAGTCCCTAAATCCCCCTGCTTCAGGGTAACCATGATTCTCACTTCTGATGCTATTAGTTTTGCTTGTTTCTTTTTAACTTTATATTACATAAAACCATAGAGTATGTTCTCTTTTGTGTGTGGTTTCTTGGGATTAAGTGTTATGCTTGTCAAATTCATCCTCATTGTTTTGTAGTATTCCATGATATGAATATACTACAATTTGTCTACTGACTGTTGATGGATATTTGGATAGTTTCCGGTTTGGGGCTAATATGGCTAGTGCTGCTATGAACATTCGTTTATGTATATTTTGGTGAGTGCATGTACAGAATAGAAGACTGCCAGATACTGAAGGGTTTGGGAGTTGGGTTGGCATGTGCCAGGATCCTTCCCATTCCTAATTGATAATGTGGCACTAAAGGAAATGAGGGTTCTGGCAGTCTGTATCATGCCATATGCAATGAGTAGAATGGTCCCAAGTCAATTCAGTTGGAGCCGGCTGACATGGCTCAGTTGCAAGTGAAAACTGTCTGAGATGTACACAACCTTCCTTAGTTCTAGGGGCACAGACTGTGGATGACCAAAGAAGCCCAGATCATCCAGAAATATGTCACCTTCAAACAGAGACAAGTAAAGAATGAATTTTGGTGGAGTTATCTGTTAGTCCAAATTCAGAATCCCAGAAATTCTTTGTGTTTTTGAAACTGGGGTCATTTTTTCCCTTAAAGTTCTGTTTGTTATGGAGATATATTCCAAGAAAGAGATTTTACAGGTGGAGTTTCTAGATTTCTCTTTTATGAAAATGTCCTGTTTGGGAGAAATGTTCTCCATCACTCCTGCAGTTTTTCAGCTTTGTGCAAAGCTGTCTTTCTCTGACCACACCAGCCACAGTCTTTCCCCACTTTGAACTCCTATAGCATTTGTTTTGTATATGATCTCCCAAGTTTTTTGCCTTGGATTATTATTAGCTTTGGTCATATGCCTAATGACATTGTAAGCCATGTTTAGAGACAAGAACTGTGCATGTTTTGCTCCTTTATACTTCCCAGGGCTTTGTCTGTAGAAGGCACTTAGTAAATATTTATCGATCTCTCTGTGAATTCTGGAAACTTTACTTTGGTATATTTAACATAGTTTACAGAGTTTTTATTGGCCGTAGGCTGTGGGGAGTAGTTAAAAAATAATTTTAAAGATAAGTGCTGTTTCTCTGAGTGGGCCTGGTAAGATAGCATATATAATACTTAAAATGATATAAGAAAATTGGGAAAGAACTGCATTCAGCTTTGGCAAAAATTAGAAGAGCTAAAGATGCTGATGGTGAACTAGAAGTAGAGGGTGGGGGTGGGTAAGTGATTAGAAAAGAGGCTCCCTCCCATAACACATTAATTTTTCAGCAAAAATATTGGATTTACAGCATTTCTCAGAGTACTCCATTAGCTGCTAAAAGTCCTGGTGAGTCATCCATTACTTTGGGTTCTGCCTATTGGTTTTGAAGCAACTGTATTAATGGAAGCTCTCTGACATGGTGAGTTCTCAGTAAAGTTCTTTGAAATGGATTTTCACACTTCACTTTCCTCTTATTGGGCTTTTCTCTTGTTTGCAGTCCTGAGAAAGCAGGTCTTGTTAAAGATGAGTGCTTCCTCCTGAGGGCCTAAGAGCCAGAGCAAAACATCAGCCACAAACCCTAAGCTGGAAAGTGGCCCCAGTCTTCAGAAGCTTAGATTATTTCTTGGCAGTAGATGGATGGGGAAGGGGCCTGGAGACCAAATCCGCGCCTGAGTTAGGATTTTAGAGATTAAGTGAAGAAATACAGCTACACCTTAAAACTTTTCTTCTTTCCACAGTAATGGTCTTCCAAAGCAATAACATTAAAACAATTTTTTCAAATTTACACGCAGTAATACCACTTTTTTTTTTTTCTTTGAGACTGAGTCTTGCTCTGTCACCCAGGCTGGAGTGCAGTGGTGTGACCCTGGCTTATCGCAACCTCTGCCTCCTGGGTTCAAGCAATTCTCCTGCCTCAGCCTCCCAGGTAGCTGGGACTACAGGCGTGTGCCACCACATTCAGCTAATTTTTGTATTTTTAGTAGAGATGGGGTTTCACCATGTTGGCCAGGCTGGTCTTGAACTCCTGACTTCAGGTGATCCACCTGCCTTGGCCTCCCAAAGTGCTGGGATTATAGGCATGAGCCACCATGCTCGGCTTGTTTCCAGTTTGGTATGATTATGAATAAAGCTGCTATAAACCTTTGCATATAGGTTCTGTGTGAGTATACATTTTTATTTCTCTTGGGTAAATATCCAGGAATGGGATTGCTGGGTTGTAAAGTAACCATACGGTTAACTCTGTAAGAAACTGCCAAACTGTTTTCTAAAGTGGTTGTACCAATTTGCATTTCCATCTAAAAGCAGTAACATTTTAAACCAAAGTAAGTTTATTTAGTCACTTTGTCTAAGTGCATTCTAGTCTAGTAGTGTCAGGATGTATCAGTTCTTCATTCCTCTGTGCCCTAAATTCAGAGATGTTTATATCACCTGAAATGGGTTAGTGGTTTCCTTCACATGTACCCTGTGAAATCATGGACTGAGGGAACATCATAGAGAGCTGTAATCTGGCGTGTGTCACTGAGGCCACTCACTATTCACAGTAGGCACACAGTCAGTGAATGGGGTGGGTAGAGGTAGCAGGAAGGGTGAGACAAAACCGAGTGTAGATTCACTAGCTAAAAAAAAACCTAGTTTTTTTTTTTTTTTTTCAAGTTGCTGAGCTTTCCTGGGCATGAGTTTTCTTGTATTGAAAGTGCAGATAATAATTACTTACCTCACAGGGTCATTTGGATGAAATGAAATGAAGTGGTGAGAGAGTGTCTGGCACAGAGAAAATGCTCAATAGGCGCTGATTACCTCCTATGTCTCCTGTTCCCTTGGTGACCTTCCTCATGTCAACATTAGCTTTGGCCCCACAAATTAGTGCCCCTTCTGGCTATCCCCTGAAAACCCTTCTTGCATTACCATTTCTTAGGCATTTGTTCACCCCATTCTCCTGGTTGGAATACCCACTGTTTTCATCTATTTCTGGTATTTCTAACTATCCTTGAAGGCAAAACTCATATTTCATTTAGCTCTAGACTACGTTAGCTGTTCCTTTGTGATCATGCATGTTTGTGTGTGCGTGTGCGTGTGTATATCTTCCCATGTAGCTTTTTCTTTTTCTTTTTTTAATTAAATTTTTGTCTCCTTTACTGTAGTTGTGTAATTGCTTAGTAAATGTATCTTGACTGAAGGTTTTTTTTCCCCCTTTCCCTGCCTGAAATCACGACTCCATAAATGCCAATTTCTGCATTTCTGTAAATAACTTGGGTATCACTGGAGACTTCCCTCTGCCTCACCTGTGCTTGTCTGGCCCGACTCCCCTATTTAATGATGTTTTCCATTCTCAGCTCTTCTTCCCATTCACAGTTGGAAACCTCCCCCTACCTTTGATTTCCCTTTAGTCCTTACCTCTAAATCATCGTGGTGATTTAGAGGGTGAACTCACTGGAATGGGGATGCTTGCATGTGTAATCTTACTAAGAGCTAATAGAAAGGCTAGGACCAAACCTATTTGTTTATGGGGTGATGTGAGCCCGTCTAAACAGTTTCCCACCTGTGTCTACTTATGTAAAAAAAAGCAAAAACAAATTGCCTACTCCCTAATGGTTTCTCTTGAGTTCAAAAAAATAAAGCCCCTTGACAGATCCAGTCTCACCTTACTTTCTTCCAGGTTTTTTTTCATAAAGTTCTAATTTTGTGGCTGAGAAAGCTCTCCCCATAACCCATTTGCTGCACGTCAACCAAGTTCCTCTTAGTAGGAATTGAGTGGTTGAGTTTGAGGTTGTTTGTAAATATCATGGAGAACTCGGGAGAAAACTATTTTAGATTCACCGTGGCGTCTTCACAGCACCGAACCTGAGGGTGAGTCAGATAGCCAGGATGAACTCTGAGCTCTGAGCTCTGCCACTTCTTATCTGTGAGAACTTGGGCAAATTCCTAAACCACGCTGAGTTCCAGTTTTCTCACCCGTAAAATAGAGATAACAACACTCTCCACTGTCTAGGGCCGTTGTGTGCTAAGCCCAGTGGCTAGTCCACGGCAGGCATCCAGATAAGGCCCAGTAGTGCTTACTTCTCTACACTGTTGTCCGGCTGATTAATCTTGGGAAGGTGCAGACCCTTCAGAGGTTCCCCTGTGCCCTCAGGTTGGAAACCAGATGCTTCAGTAGGGGCATTCCAGGCCCTCCATACTGTGGGCCTGCCTACTCCCTAGCCTTACTCCTCACCCCATATTTCATCTGTGCTTCTGTTCCCCCTCAAGAAGATTAGGCTGCTCAATGCCCATCCCTTTTCCCTCAGCTGCTCACATCAACCCAAATGCCTGGGGAGACTGTCCTCAAAGCTCACCTGCATGGCCTGTGAGCTTTGGAAGGGCATCCATTCGCCTTTAGACTCTCAGCCCACAATACCTCCTCTGACACTTTTTCTGATCAGCCCCTGTCTCCCCATTCTGCCAGCCAGGTGGAATCAGCCCCTTCCCCCTAAGCATCACTGTACTTTGCCCTTCCCCAGTAGAGCATTTCATTTATTTGGTAAATCTGTCCTTTCCTCCAATTAGGCTGAAAACCTTGAGGGCAGGAAATTGTGTCCCATTTATTTCTGTCTCCAAGACCCGGAACAAGGCCTAGAACAGAGTAGTTGCTCAGTATAAGACGTCTTTTGAAAAAAGTGAAAGGGTGCTGACCCTCCTTGGCTGTCAGAGTTTGGGGTTATTTGCTTGGATTGTCACTTTGACCTCTGTCCAGCTCTGGCAATTTGTCTTTCCTCCTTTAGACATCTTTATGGTTTTGTTATTATTCTCTTAAAATAAATAGCTTCTTTTTGTATATGTGGGGGTCCCAATATGTTGCCTGCTCAGTGAAGAAAATTTAGACCATGCAAAAAATCATAAAGAAGGTAAAAATTACATTTTGGCCAGGCGCAGTGGCTCACACCTGTAATCCCAGCACTTTGGGAGGCCGAGGTGGGTGGATCATGAGGTCAGGAGATCGAGACCATCCTGGCTAACATGGTGAAACCCTGTCTCTACTAAAAATACAAAAAATTAGCCAGGCATGGTGGCGGGCACCTGTAGTCCCAGCTACTTGGGAGGCTGAGGCAGGAGAATGGTGTGAACCTGGGAGGTGGAGCTTGCAGTGAGCTGAGATCGTGCCACTGCACTCCAGCCTGGGCGAAAGAACGAGACTCTGTCTCAAAAAAAAAAAATTACATTTAATTTTACTAACCAGAAAACACGATAATTAACATTTTATTGTATATTCTAGTTCTTTTCTATTCTTACAACACACTTTGTTTTAAAACAAAGATATTTTATAAAATCTATTTTAAAACTGTTTTACTTAATAGTATAGTATACTAAACTAAATGCTGATGTCTGAAGTCTAATGTACTATACTTTTTCAGCATTCTAAAAGTTGCATATAATTTCATTATATGCCTAATCAATACTTTATTTCCTACTGATGGACCTTTGTTTTTCTGTTGGTTTTTTTTTCCTATTATAAACAAAGGCATGATATAAACAGTAGTCCACATACCTCCTTGTGGACTTGCCCAATTATTTTGTTAGAATACATTCCTAGAATTGAGATTACTGGGTAAAAGGATATACGAGATGATTTTAAGACACCCACCACAGTTTTTGAGAGGGAGCAATTTAGAAATAGCAAATTGTCTTCTGTTTTATAGTCTCACTTCTCTGCTCACCCCATGGAACTGCTGCCAGTTTGTCTCATAAAGCATCCCTTCATATTCGAGCTAAATTAAATTCTTACTGAGGGTATGTGCTTCGTCATGCACTGTTAACCCCCAGATCCGGAACATGGCAATGCCTTCAGACTTTTAATGTAAACCATAGGATTTTGTAGGCTGTCTTTTGTCAGTTTCAATATCCTAAAGGATGTTGTTTGTTGGAGGTGATCAAAAGCTAAATCTCTCTCTGGAGGCAGACAGAGACAGAGGCCAAGACTGTAGTCTTAGAGAAAAATAGGATGGATATACCCTTTCTTCTTGGTGCTCACATTGAATGGCCTGTGATATCTTCTGGGCAATGGTAAGCTGAGAAAGGAAAAAAACAGCCCCCTCAGAGAAGCCTTAGACAGGACTGCTTTTTCTCTCCCCCCTTGATTCCTAGACTCTTTTAGAAAATTTATTATATAAAATTTCAAACATACACCAAAGTAGAAAGAATAAAAAAAGTACTTATCAACCAGTTTTAACCATGATCAGCAAATGGCCAATCTTATTTTTTGTATACTCTCCTAACCTTTCTCTCCAACCTCACTAGATTGCTTTAAAGCGAAATCTTAACATCTCATATCTTTTGATCCACAAACTTCAATATGTATCTCTTTAATTTTAACATAACCACAATAACACTATCACACATAAAATATTAACAGTAATTCCTTACTATCAAATACCCAGGCAGTTCTACTTTTCTTCTTGCAGTTGGTTTGTTCAAATCAGAAGGCTAGGTACTGTTCATTTCCAGCAAGGAGAAAGAAATGCTCATACATGTTGACCTTGAAACAAGAGGAGCCTTTTGCCATGATAGACTTGTCTAGTGTAGAGTCAGGTGTGGTGGTAGAAGCACACACGGGGCCATCAGGGCTAAGCAAGATTCCCAGCCTATCCCCCCCTCACAATGGCCATGTCCTAATTGTTTTTTTTTTTTTTTTTGAGACGGATTCTCACTCTGTCTCCCAGGCTGGAGTGCAATGGCACGATCTTGGCTCACTGCAACCTCCGCCTCCACTCACTGCAACCTCCGCCTCCCAGGTTCAAGCAATTCTCAGCCTCCCTAGTAGCTGGGATTACAGGCGCGTGCCATCATGCTTGACTAATTTTTTGTATTTTAGTAGAGACGGGGTTTCACCATGTTGCCCAGGCTGGATTCAAACTCCTGAGCTCGAGCAATCCACCTGCCTTGGCCTCCCAAAGTGCTAGGATTATAGGCGTGAGCCACCGTGCCCGGCCCAGTCATATCCCAATTATCCTTTGTAATCCACCAGTGCCAGTGTGTCAGGGTCACCTGGAAAGCTATTTAAAGAGCTTCCTGCTCTGTGGCCTTCTCCCTGCTGCTGCTTCACCTTGCCTTAGCTTGTGTAAGCGTCAGGGAAACAGGCAAATGCGTCTCATTTGTCTTCAGAACCCTGTCTTATTAGATCGCCATCAACTACATTTGGAGCAATCCTCTTAAGTGTGTCTAGGTGTATTGCATATTACCTTTTCCGCCAGTGCATACCCATCCTTGATGTGAACTGAACGCTGGAAAATACGTCCACAGAGCTGAAAAGAAAGCATATATGTGAGAGCAGAATTCAGCACAACACAGTATTTTAACGAAAAAGGTTTGTAGTTCTCTTTTTATGTTTCATATTCCTCTTCTCATTAAAGAAAAACTTTTGAAGGGAGATGGAGTTGGAGGAAAAGTGCAAATAAAAAACAAACCCCGGTGATTTATGCCTTTAGCATCTTTGGCTGCAGGGTATGTTCTTAAGAGCTGCAGATCACTAATAGTATTTTAGAAGCATTTTATTTGAAGATGTTCGTTACACAATTCTGTATTGACACATGGTGGGACTCTTCCTTTGTCAGGCTTAGTCTTTTACTGGTCTCTCCCATTTCCAGGTCTTATTTTGCCAAGCAGTCGGCTTCAATTCTCTGAGGAGATTATATCATAGTTTTTCTCTGAACAACCTGTCTGGCACCTCACTCCTAAGAGATTATTGATTTTCACCTGGGAATCTGGGCACATAACAACTCCATCGATATTAGAAACTTTGGATAGTCATGGGGGAAGGGACTTTTGTTCCCCTTTTACAGCCACCTCTTGTCCCATAGTCAGGGACAAATGCCAATCTGGTCAGTATCCAAACCTCTTCCAGTCCTGGTTCCTGGTGGGCAGGATCCCGAGTGAGGCTGTCAGTTCCTTCCTGCATCTGCCCTCTGTGACAGGCTGACCTCTGTAGGGTCTGGTTTCCTGGGATGGCTTCCAGGGCCGACTTTTTTCTCTCCTCTCTGAATGCTGCTGAGGGGATAAGTTCAGCTGGCTCCACAGATTCAGGCCCAACTGGGCTGGTCTTAAGATTTAGAATAGGTTAGGCTGCAGGATGTTGGGTGGGAAGGTAAGGAAATGGGAAGACTCCACATAAGCCTCCTCACCTGGGTCTTTGGCCAGGTTCCGTATTGGGATGACAGGTTTGGGTGACCTACCTAGGTGGTGCTTGGATACCTGGAGTATCACTATTCTTGTGTAGATCAGACTTGCCCACCCAGCATGGAAGAGGCTGTTAGGGGAGGCTTCTGGCACTGGGTCCCTGGTACTAATGTCATCATGATAGCATCAAATCCCTCTAACTACTAATTGTTTGTTTATATGATATTTGTTGTAAAGTAGACTTTAGAAGGGAAGGAAGTAGTTAGCTGTTCCAGAATAATTAATTACTTCACTAAAAAACACAACCTGCTAATTATCTGTTCAAACAAGCGGGAGAAAAAACACCCAGACTCCCCTAGGATATATCCTAGAGTAACAGCACTTGCTTGCTCATGTGTTTTTTAAAATTTTCTTAATAAATATGGCTCTTGGTAAAGACTGGCTTGAGGATCTGTTTGAAACAATGTTTTCTGGTCTAGACATTTATCCAAAAGAGTTTGAAAGGGGGAAAATATACACCTCTTTGATAGCTACTTCCTTAGTAACATTGCGCTGTCCAAATGGTAGCTGCACGTGACTACTGGGCACCTGTAATGTAGGTAGTCAAATTGGGATAAGCAGTAGGTATAAAATAGCCATCAAATTTCAAAGACTTAGTACACAAAAAGTAAAATATTTTACTAATATTTAAAAATATTCATTACATGTTGAAATGATAGTATTTTGGATATGTTAGGTTAAGTAAGTTATTAATAAAATGAATTTCACCTCTTTCTTTGTACTTCTTTTAATGAGGCTGCTAGAAAATTTAAAATTACATGTGTGGCTCACATTTGTGGTTGGCATTGTATTTTTCTTGGACAGCACGGCTCTAACATTTAGATGTGATATTCTGATTTTTTTTTTTGCCTTTATTTCAGTTTCACTTTGATATATGGAGAGTCTATTGTGTGCTAAGCTCAGTCCTAAGCATCATGGATTTACTATGATAAGACAAGATCCCCGCTATCAATAACCTAAGTCCAATTGGGGGAAAGCAAATTTAAAAAAATCGCTTCGTATCAGTGCCCAAAGACAAGTGGAAAGAAAACATGGGTGGAGCCAAACAGAGAAAGCACATTCGATTCTATTCAGGGAAACCTCAGGCAGAGGGACAATTTGATTCTTACTTTGAAGCTGGGGTAGGAATCTGCTTAGAAAATGTAAAATTTGCTTTTTTTTTTTTTAAATTCAACTTCCATTTTCGATGGAGGGGGTACATGTGCAGGTTTGTTACTTGGGTATCTTGCACCCAGGCAGGGACCATAGTACCCAGTAGGTAGTTTTTCACCCTACGCCCCCTTCCCGCCCTCCCCACGCTAGTAGTACGCTTCGGTTACTTTGCACTTCTCCGTAGCTGCTTTACATGTTTGCGTTTTGAATGTTGTTGAGGAAAGATGCGAAAAAGAATGTGTGCTGGAGGCTGGACCCTCCCCGCCCCTATCACTACCCCTTACCCCCGCAGCAAGGGCTGCGACCCCGCGGGTCCCCGCTGAGCACCGCAGCAATTAAGTACGTGCAAGCCATTTGCGGCAGCGGGTTTGAGATGCGTTCGTAGTGGGTGACATTGAGAACCCCCAGAGGCGACACGGGCGCCTGGTCTCTGAGAGGTGGCATGCTGCCTGCCGCCCTGGTGCCTGGCTGCCCCGGAAGGGGCCCCCAGTCGCCGGCCCCGGGAAGGTGCTCCAGGCTCGCGGCTCCTCGGGGGTCGCCTCTGCAGGCGGCCTGTTTCCAATTTCCAGGCGAGGAGCGACGCCGTGATGCAAATCTGCCACTTACCTTCTGTCACCATTCTGTCGCTAACGCTAGGAATGATGAAACCTCCTGTTCTGGAAATGCATTTCCCTTTAGCACCAGCGCCTTCTAATGAGGTCCCTCTGCCCCGCAGGACAAAAGCGCCCATTAGGGGGCCCTGTGGTGGGAGGCGGCCACTCCGCTTGGCGCCGTGAGGGAAACCAAGGAAACCGTCTTTGTCGCTCACAGGTGCCTCTTTTTGTCCTGGCCTCTGCTTGTGGAAGAGGTCGCCTTGCAGGTGAAGGCCACACAGCTCTTTGGAGAAGGAGTCTGATTCTGTGCTGAAAAATCTCTCTTCCCAACCCCCACTCAGGTCTCTGTTGTCTGGGTTGGCACAGAATTGATTTTTTTCCTCCTTTGTAAGTGGCAAAAACGCTATGATGGTAACATGAAAGCAAGCAACAAACGCAGCCCTAATCTGCCCACCCTACATCTTCCATTTTATTTTTTCTATCCTCCTTTCTTCTTTTGGTTGGTGCTTAATATTAAAAAAAAAAAAGTATATCCAACCACAGATATACAGTTCTGCCTTTTTTTCCTTTTTACCTAAATATACTCCATAAACAGTTTCCATGTTGTGTAATATCTTCATGTTTCTACTTTTCAGTGATTGCTTAAATGTCCATTGGGCTGATAGGTCACAGTTCGCTAACCCATCTCATTGTTGTTCATTGGGATCTCCACTTTCCCTTACTCTAGGTGATGGGCTAATGAGCATCTGCATGCACAGAGCTGTGTTCTTTTGTTGAATTGTTTCTGGAGTATAAATTCTCCAGAAGCCAATTTCCTGGAACCAATGCTGTGAACATTTTAATTTGATCCTATGAAATATTATCCTATTGCTTTCCATACAGGGTCTACTGATTCCTACAACCATCAGGAATGTATGAGTGTCCCATCTGGTGGTTAATTCATTTTTTAAATAAAGGAGATGAATCACTTGAAAATATTTGGAGAGCAATGGTCTGGGATTCATGTATCTTAGAATTTTTTTCCCTGTCTTTTCCTCTGATATATTTGAATTGTAAACTAATTGTATAACTATTTAGCAAACTATTTTAACTTGGAATATTGTTGCCAGTCAGCACTCTGGGGGCCAGGCTGGTGGGAGGGGAGTCTCCTGGGCTATATAGAGGGAGGAAGGACTTGGAGGGGTTGCTGTACCCCACTCCCCAACATCCATCAATTGGTGGAGGAATTGGTTGGAGATGGTGATTTGCACTTGGGACTAACTCAGGGTTCTTCTCACATGCTCACAGATGTAATTATTTCTGCTATTGCATTGGATGAACTTCAGACCTTTGGTATCCCAATAGCAGCACCCATGGGGATCCGTTTCACTTAGATGATCCGGCACTATGTTTGACTGCTTCTGGTAGGAATCCATCCTTCTTCTGGGAGGTGTGGTGACACCACTTACAAGGCATTACTTCATGCTTTGATGGTTATGGATACTCAGGGATCCGCACGTCTTTAGTTCTGGAAGAGCTCAGCCACCAGGCACATCATCCTCTGGGCATCACTGGCAAGCCCAGGGGCTGGGACAGGAGAACCTGAGTAAGGTAAACAAAAGGAAAAGCAATATGAGGAGGAAATTACGGTGGAAAAAGAGAGGAAAGGAATGCTGTGGGCCCCCTTTCTGGGTGTGTTTGTTGTCTTACTTTAGAAGACACAGCATGTTTCCTTTTCTACAAAATTTATTTTGAGTACAAAATGCTGCTCTTTATTGCGTAGGTTTAGTCACTCAAATACAGAGGTCCTTTTTGGTGCCTTAACTATCATGTTGAGTACCATTTACTTAAGAAACTAACTGGTTTGTGAAAAATTTACCTATACTGCTGTTATACCTATTTATAAGCTATAAATAATAACTTTTAAAATGTTTAAATAGAGACACTTTTTGCATACAACTTAAAGAACACACAAGGCACAAAGAAAAAAGGAAAGATGGAATAACAGTTTCTACAGGGGAGAAAAGGTATTCAAGATGATCACTGTTCCAGCCTGGGAAAGATAGCAAGACCCTGCCTCTACAGAATATTTTTAAAAATTAGCCAGGTATGGTCGTGTGTACCTGTAGTGCCATCTGCTTGGGAGGCTGAAGCAGGAAGATCACTTGAGCCCAGGAATTGGAGGCTGCAGGTAGCTATGATTGCACCACTGCACTCCAGCCTGGGCAACAGAGCAAGACCCTGACTCTAAACAAAAAAAAGAGCAGTGATCACTTTGTGTGAAAGGACAAGGAAGCATGTGAGCCACTTTTGAGAGGCCTGAGTATAGAGGAGAGAGCAAGGTTGCTAGAAAGGAGGGGATTGGATGTGGAGGGGCTTGAAAGAGGGCTAGAGGAATTGAAATTTGATTTAGTTGAGTTGGTATTCCACTCTATCCTATAGCTGGATCAGAAATACTCCCATGAGACATTTCTCCTTAAATGTTGTGTCTTTTGACCTCAAATAACCCTTTTCAGGTTCCCATGAGGACGGGTACTGTTGAAGTTTGCATTTCACAGTTTTATGGCTGGTAGCCCAAATGAGTTTCAACTGTTACGTGTTCTTGACTTAGCATCCAAAAGGATAAATATATGAATATCTTATTTAATTAATAGTTGGAGGATGACATTGTTCTGGCTACTGGTTATCATATATATTATATATATAGATCACCAGATTTCAAGGAATTGATATATAATGAAGTATGCATAAATTAAGCCACATTTTAAAAGTAAAGTATAATAAAGTAATTTAAGGCATTTTTCTGTTGGTATAGATGTTCCCTGGAAGAATTTTGCATTGTGGGTCCCATTTGGGATATTGCATATTTCAGAGTCTCCTGAGTGTACAGTAGTAGTTTCATGTCTGTTGAACTTGCTTATCATTTTGAGGGAAGAGGTGGTAGAAAACAATCCTATAAATGGCTTAATATTGGCAAAATTCCTTTAGCACTAAATTTCCTTCCAGAAGATGTAATTTATTCAGGAAAGTGAATATGGAAAGTTGGAGAAAAGGTGCTTTTCAACGTGGATACTTAGGAGGACCATATTTAGAGAAAATCCTCCAACCTTTTTAAGGCTAAGGATTGCTTCTTCTTTTTTTTTTTATTATTATTTTTTTCCTATTCACGTCACCTCAAACCAGACACAAATCTAGGCATTAATGTGTGCACTATAAATATCAATTAGTCGAATGTCTTGATTAGCAGAACTGCAGACAATGTATGTATTACTGCTCTTCTCACAGACCTTTATGGGCCTATTTCATGCAGAGCAATTTTCTTCTTACACCAACAAAGTCATATTCTTCCTCGCTTGTGAAATATTGTAATTCTAACAGTGTAGTGACAACACTTAAATAAGTGCTTTACATATATGAAATCATTCATTTTATTTTTATTTTGTATTTATTTTTTGTTTTTTTGAGACAGAGTCTCACTCTTGTTGCCCAGGCTGGAGTGCAATGGCGTGATCTCTGCTCACTGCAACCTCCACCTCCCAGGTTCAAGCGATTTTCCTGCCTCAGCCTCCGAAGTAGCTGGGATTACAGGCATGCACCACCATGCCTGGCTAATTTTTGTATTTTTAGTAGAGGTGGGGTTTCACCATGTTGGTCAGGCTGGTCTCAAACTCCTGATCTCAGGTGATCCATCCCTCTTGGCCTCCCAAAGTGCTGGGATTATAGGCATGAGCCACTGCATCATTCATTTTAATCTTCAGTATGACCCTATGAGGTAACTGCTCTTGTCATTTTCCCTCTTGCCATTCTGCAAATGAGGAAACTTGGGCATAGAGAGGTTAAGCAAGTTGCTGAAGGTCACAGAAGAGTAAGTTGTGGATCCAGCATAGTGGGCTCCAGCATCCTTGCTTTTAACCATTTGCTATGTTGCACCTAAATTTTGGTTCATACCAGGAATTGAGAATGTTTGAGTGCACAGCATTTTCTAAACTAGAATTTCTCCGAGGCACTAGTTCTTTGAGATATTACCTGATAAAAGGATTTGATGTCAATCAAATGTGATAAGTGTTGCTCTCATTCTCTGCCTCTTGGAGGCTGCCTCTTTGAATCAGCAATCCTGCAGTAAATGGAATAAGCATACCTAGCTTTGTTGTTCCCATTAGCAACCGATTAGACTGAGACGTAAGTTTGGGAACGACTATAGGAGAAGAGAGCTGTAAACCTGGGCTATACTTAAAAGTGGAAGAATTTTTTCCATCTCTGTTGCTTGCCCTTGCATTCATCTCAAATTATGTATGAAGTCCCAATTGGCTTCTCTGTCATGCTGTGATTTCCATCTGAAAGGCTGTTTAGGACCTTCCATAGAATGCAGTGCCATTCCTCTCAGGGTGTGGTGCATTTACTTGGAAACCTCTTAGGCTACACTTATGAATGTTTAGATGTACTATTAATCCACATGGACCTGTCCACAGAGAAAGGATTATGATGCTTTTCTTGTAAAAACCTTTATTTAATCTCTATTCTTCTCTGTCTTAAAAATGGAGAGATTTATGTCTGCTTCTTAGATTTCTAAGTCCATCTGCTCATTCAGCCACACTGCTAAACTGTCTTCTAAAAAATTTTCAGTAGATTTTGAAAGATATATCATGAAGATAATTTTTTCTTCTTCAAATAATGACAGTTTTGTTTCCTTCTTTCCAGATGTAGACTTTTACTTTCTTTTTTCTTATCTTATTGCATTGGATTGGACCTGCAGGACAGTTTAAAATAAAATCAGTGATACTTAGAACCCTTGTCTCGTTCTTAATCTTAGAACAAGGTTTGCTTTACGTTTTTAGTAGATATTTATTGTCAAGATAAGAAAGTACAGTCTATACCTGGCTTGTTTTGTTTTTAATCACAAATGGATCCTGAAGACCTTGACTGGCTCTTGCTTGAATTGCAGTAGTCTTGGAATACAATTCCCTGTTTCCTTTCTACTCTTTGGTCTCTTTTGAACACTGTTGCTAAACTCTTCTTTCCAAAGTGCCACTCAGATTTATGCCAATTCTCTGCTCAAAAACATGTAAGGCTTTTCTTTTGCTCACTAAAATAAGTTTGAACTCCCCAACTTGGTTTCTGTGATTCAGCAAACCCCTCCACACTATGTTCCCTTTAGCCTTTTGCCTTGATGACTGTACTTCACTTCAGGACTCTGCCTTTCTCAAACCTAACTATCCATTGTGTCCTAAACTCAGTCTGCACGTTCACTCGTCCAAGCCTTTATTGATGAGGTTCCCTCTTCTTCGAGTGCCATTCCCATCTATCTGTGGCTGTAAATTTGTTCTCACCCTAGAAACTCACAGTGAGGTATTTCCATTTCTCTTTAGTCACTTCCTTCTTGGAATTATCCCACTTGGAGTGTGAGCTCCTCTCAGGTCAGGGTTTGCTTGATTTATTTTCATATTCTCAACACATGATTCCGAATGGGTACACATAATACATGATAAAATGAATGAATGAATGAATGAATGAATATTTCTTGTGGCACTTACATTCTCATTTTCATGATTATTTTTAGTCTCATTACCTCCCTACATCCCATTATCGCTTCCACCTGAGGACTAAAGAAGCTGCCTACATATTGCTTTTGTGCAATTCACCGTCTTTGGACCAAACTGCAAATGCAGGCATTTCTTAGGGGAGCACAATTCATTTATCTTACCTTCAAGCAACTCACTGTTTAGTAGAGGAGACAGATGGATAGAAGTGCACACACACACACCCCACCACACACACATACACACACTGGGAATACAGTACCACTGACAAGTGATTGAATAGTACTAAAGGATTATGGAGCATGAAACACCTTTAAGGGTGGGGCAAAGTGGTTTTGCAGTGGTTTCATAGTAGTTTGCAAAGTGGTTTCATTTTCCACAGAATGAAAATAGTTTTGTATTGAATATCCAAACTCCATTATCTTCTATCTAGTTATCCAGTTGGCAGTGCCAAAAGGAAAGAAATTAGAGATTCACTAAGTACAGAAAATGATTGCCTTGAAATGATTTCTCCTTCTACCAAAATATAGAAGCCACATGTACAAAACACTTTTCTCTTTTTGCAACTTGCTAGTCATAAAATTATTTTAATGTGAACTAAAAGCTGGCATCATAAAGAAAGTAAGGTCCAAGAAGTTCTAAATTGAAGACATTAGTATAAATGGACCACACTTAAAATTCTATTGATAGTCCTCAGCTCTGAAAGGGAAATGTCTGTAATTTACCTAAATTGCCTTGAAATGAAAAGAAATAAGAGACTTCCTTCCTTGGATGTCTGTTTCCTGGTGTTTTCCTTATAACCAGGCTATAACCAGTGATTGAATTATTATTACAACCCTGTAGCAATTATTTTCATTTCAAAAGAGGGCAAGTTATTTTCAGCCAAAGCTTACATTTCAAATAAGTTTAGTACAATATATATATATATATATAGGGTGGGAGGGAAGATTAAAGGAAGTATAAAAGTAATCACAAGTGTTCAGTAGTTTCTTTTTACTTTTTTTCTTTAATTTTCTTTCATTTTTATTCCAAATATTATATAAACATTTTAGGTTGATTTAAAAAAATTCAGGAAGTTAAGATTTGGAAAGTAGAAATGCTCCTTATCCCCTCTCCTCTCCCCAAGAATAAGTATGAACTGATGGGCGTTAGGTTATTCTAACACCTTACTTTTATAAATTCTATTCTAAAATACTTAATATATATAAAATAATATATATAAAACAAAAAATTATGAGATGTTCTAAAGAAATTAACACCCATGAGGCCACCTTTTGCTTAACATCACTTTACCAATATGCAACCCTCCCTTCATCTCAGCTGTTATCCCCCTCACTCTGAAGCAAGCACTCCCTGGAATTTTGCTTTTTTTGAGATGGAGTCTCTTCCCAGGCTGGAGTGCAATGGAGTAATCTCAGCTCACTTGCAACCTCCGCCTCCCGGGTTCAAGCGATTCTCATGCCTCAGCCCCCTGAGTAGCTGGGATTACAGGTGTGCACCACCACGCCCGGCTAATTTTTGTATTTTTAGTAGAAATGGGGTTTCACCATGTTGGCCAGGCTGGTCTCAAACTCCTAACCTCAAGTGATCCACCTGCCTCAGCCTCCCAAAGTCCTGGGATTACAGGTGTGAGCCACCGCACTTGGCCCTACTTTTATCATTCTCTATGGTTTTATGGCAAACATTTTTTTGGCCCTAAATGATAGATTGTTTACTTTTTTTTTTATCTTGAATCTCCAAAATATTTATAAAAATACTGTATATATTTGTCTGTGACTTACTCTTTTCTCTTAACATTTATGTTTCAAATGGTCAAAAAACATAGCTTACGTAAATTCTATTTAATATAACTAGCGTATTAGTTTGCTTGAACTGTCAAAACAAAATACTACAGACTCAGTGGCTTAAGCAACAGAAATTCATTTTCTCAGAGTTCTGGAAATTGAAAGCCCAAGATCGAGGTGCCAAGGTTGGTTTCTGGTGAGGGCTATCTTCCTGGCATGTAGATAGCCACCTTCTCACCGTGCATGTCCTCACATGCCTGCTTTTCTGTGTGACACACACACACACACACACACACACACACCCACAGAGATCTGGTGTCTCTTCCTCTTCTTATAAGGACATATGAATCCTATTGAGTCAGAGTCCCACCGTTATCACCTCATTTATCCTTAATTACCCCCCTGAAGGCCCTATCCCCAAATACAGTCACATTGGGTGTTAGGAATTTTGCTAACCTCCAATGTGGGGCTTCAACAGTTAAATTTTGGGGTGGACCCAGTTGTGTCTATAACGAGTAGCATATACTAAAGCCATTATATGCTGCAAGGGGGTTGAGAGATGTGAGAACTCAGACCCATCCTCTGAAGCCAGGAAACCCATCCTCAGCTCATGAAGGGTTTCCTGGCTTTTTCCAAATAACAAAGTTTAGATTCCCTAGAAGAGAGCTCTCAGCGAGCCCTCCTAGAGAGTGGCTTGTGTGAGCAGTGAACAACACATACGTGAGCTAAGCCTGCAAACAAAGGAGTAGAGAGGCCACGTCAGCAGCATGCCAGCTTTTCCTGGGGAGGAGTGGACATTATTGGACCTTGAAGCCTGAGTATTGGAAGATGCTTGGATATCCAGCTGCTTCTTTCACAATGGGGTGGATGGCTACATGAAAAGAATTCTACAGCAATCAGACCATTTCATGGACTGCCTCCCCTCTGGAGCATCACGATGCTGATGTGTATCCTGTTTTATTCAGTGAGAAAAGAGAATCCCAGGCGAATGTTTTGGTAAGGGATTGAGAGTGTACTGGAACAGAGAATGAAAGGGAGGTAATTCTCTTAGCATCATTATGCCTTGCTGGAACTGTCTGGGACAAAAGACAATAGAAACCTAAGAAGTTAAAAATTAGCCATTTGGAACTGAGTTTTTGGTAACTATCATCCTGTGAAAGGCTAGCCTATTCCAGAATTCTGTGATGAGAACGTTTTTAGTAGAGCAGCAGTTTTCCATTTGTTTTTGACTATGAGATCATGATCCTTCCTCTCTCTCTCTCTCTCTCTTTCTTTCTGATGGAGTCTCACTCTGTCACCCAGGCTGGAGTGCAGTGGTGTGATCTCAGGGCTCACTGCAGCCTCCAGCTCCCAGGTTCAGGCGATTCTCCTGCCTCAGCCTCCTGAATAGCTGGGATTACAGGCACTCACCACTACATCCGGCTAATTTTTGTATCTTTAGTAGAGATGGGGTTTCACGATGTTGGCCAGGCTGGTCTCAAACTCCTGACCTCAGGTGATCTGCCCGTCTTGGCCTCCCAAAGTGCTAGGATTATAGGCATGAGCCACTGCGCCCGGCCAAGATCATGATTCATTTTAACAAGAAATACAAATATATTGCAACTTAGCACACAGACACACATCTGAAATAATAGTTTTATGAAGTGACACTGTTAATATATGTGATGTCCTCTAATATTTTCTATTCTACTCTGTCTCATTTTATTTTTTAAAATGCTGCTTATGATCTACTAAGTTTAATTCATGAACCAGCACATAGTAGACTAGGGTTTCTTGAACTTTTGGGAGTTATTATAGCTTCCTTTCAAAAATTGAATTTTCCCTAGCTCATTTGAAGGGCTGAAGGACATCAAAATCTTATTTTTCAGCATTCTCTAGTCCTGCTCAGCTCAATGCTCCACCTCACAGACATTATAAAAGTATGCGATATTTATTAATGCAATAAATATTTTTGAGTCCCAGCTCTGGTCCAGACACTATGCTAGGTACCAGTGAAATAAATTTTCCAGATTAGTGGCATGTTTGTTAAGTGTGTATAGAATGCATTTAAAAATCATCCTGTGAGCCAGGTGATGTGGCTCACACCTGTAACTCCAGTACTTTGGGAGGCCAAGGCAGGTGGATCACTTGCAGTCAGGAGTTTGAGACCTGCCTGGCTGACATGGTAAAACCCTGTCTTTACTAAAAATACAAAAATTAGCTGGTTGTGGTAGTGTACACCTGTGGTCCCAGTTACTCAGGAGGCTGAGGCATGAGAATCACTTGAACCTGGAAGGCGGAGGTTATAGTGAACCGAGATCATGCCACTGTACTCCAGCCTGGCTGACAGAGTAAGACTCAGTCTCAAAAAAAAAAAAAAAAAAAAAAAAAAAAAAAAAAAAAAAATCATCCTGTGTGCTCCAGGGAGAGGTGGTGCTGGCTAGCAGAGAAAGCTCAGGGTTTGAGGGAGTGGAGAGGAGTTGAGCCCTGATTTGCACACTGTGCCTTCCTCCCATCAAAGACTGGCTCTAAGGCCTTCTGCATGTAGATCACTGTGGGAAGTCCTGTCTTTTTCCTAGCCCTCCCTTCCTGCCAAATGTCCTGTCTAGTCCACATAGGAATGGAGACCTTCAGGCACCTAGGGAGTGGAGAGTCCTAGATTGAGAGGCTCTCTCCAGTCTGAAAAAGCCAAAGTTGCCAGTTCCCTGCAGTAGAATAGGCAGGCTCATGTTGAATGTTACCACCAAACCAATCATTAAATGCAGAGGCCACAGAGCCCTGAACTGAGTATCTCATGAGACAATTCTCATTTCCTCTGTAGTAGGCAGAATAATGGCCCTGAAAGATGTCCACTTCTTAATCCCAGAACCCGAATATGTTATGTTGCATGACCAGTGGGAATTAAGGTTGCAGATGGAGTTATGGTTGTTAACCATTTGACCTTCAAATAAAGATTGTCTAGTGCAATCACAGGGATTCTTAAATGGGGAAGAAGGAAGCAGAAAAGTTGAAACCAAACTGATGGCCTCATGAGACTTGACGGGCCATTACTGCTTTAAGGATACAGAGGGGTCATGCGAGCCAAGGAATACAGGCGGCCGCTAGAAGCTGGCAAAGGCAGGAAAACGGAATCTCTCCTAGAGCCTCCAGGAAGAAAGCAGCTCTGCAGGCTTCTTGACATCAGCCCAGTGAGACTCAAGTTGGACCTCTGACATCCAGAACTGAAAGATAATAAAATTTTGTTGTCTTAAACCACTAAATTTCTGTTAATTTTTTATAGCAGCGAAAGGAAACGTCACCCTACTACATGGTATTATTTAATTTTTTTTACAAAGCAAACACAAGTTTTTACCAGAAGATATCTGTTCCTGTTAGAGAGCAGCAACGAATGTTCATGAGCTATTCTCTATGAAGAAAAACAGTAATATTTTGAAGGGTTTATGTTCACATTAATAACCAAACATCTAGCATTCAGAGAAAATTTTATATGAAATGGAGACATTATGTATATAATCTCTGCTAAAATAAGAATTGTATTAGGTGCTTGCTATATAGAATATTAATTAAATAGTATTTTTTTCAGAATTCAGATTAGCCTATATAGTTCTTTCGTCATCGAACACCTTTTAATCTTATTTTTTTAAGAGTCAGTGACAAAGCATAGAAAGCCATATCTTACTCTTTCCTTTTAATGTTATTTTTGTTTCAAGACTACTTGCTGCTTTATTGTTAAATACCATTGGCAATGTCAGCTTTTGGATTAACGAAAATGGAACAGGTGAAGTAAAGCAAATTAAAGAGATTTATTTTATTCTCTTAAATGAGAACATCTAGATGTGCTTATGCTTGGCATAAGAAAACAGCTGGGTCCAGGCGTGGTGGCTCATGCCTATAATCCCAGCACTTTGGGAGGCTGAGGAGGGTGAATCACCTAAGGTCAGGATTTCGAGACCAGCCTGGCCAACATGGCAAAACCCCATCTCTACTAAAAATACAAAAAATCAGCCGGGCGTGGTGGTGGGCGCCTGTAATCCCAGCCTCTTGGGAGGCTGAGGCAGGAGAATCGCTTGATTCCAGAAGGCAGAGGTTGCGGTGAGCCGAGGTCGCGCCACTGCTCTCCGCCTGGGCAACAAGAGCAGAACTCCATCTCAAAAAAAAAAAAAAAAAAAAAAAGAAAACAATTGGATAATTACTACTCCTCAGTTACCAACAGACTCCTTAAAAATGGTTGCAATAGATTTCCTCAGCCAAGTCATGGGTATTTCTTTCCTGAATTCCATGAGGTTGGGCTTTCCCTTCTCATATTTCTGTGTATGTCTCCTGTGTTCACAGCTGAATGTAGGGTATGCCTGGGCATTAAGGCAACAGAATGATTTCAGATCTCATGGAAAACAAGTGCTTGGCCACTTCATTCTGCCTAACTTTAAGCTCAGCTCAAACCGATGCAGAGACAATTAAGGTTGGTAGCTGCCCCAGAGTCGGGCTGCTTGGTCAGCTTTATTGAACTGTTTTTCTACTCTTCAGGTACCTTGTTTGATTGCTCTTGGAAAGCTATTTTGCTGATTTTGTGATTTTTTTTCCCCATTTGACTTCTATGCAGCTTAGTTTTCAGTATTCCCCAAAGATGTCTCTATTTTGCCAGTGCCTTCTATTTCTCAGACCTTGGAGCAGATGGTTTTCCTGATAATTTATCTCCCCCTTCATCCTTAAACACATATCATTGTGGACACTCTTTTCCAATAACCCACATTGCCTCACCATTTTCTATTTAAAGCTTACAGTCCAGTGATCTAGTCATGTAGGGAATGCCTATCTGTGATGGTTTTATGCTAAGCCCAAGAAAGGCCTCTGATTTGTTTTCAAAATCTTGGAAATCAAGTCTTAAAATGTTCCTCATTTTTTCCTTCCATGAGTGCAGACAGTCAGCTGACATAGGGGCCTCTCCCTCCCTGCCAACAGAACCCTGGGAATGGCTCTTTCTCATCCCACACTACCCTCGTTTGCCTCTTTACAAGCTTCCTGCCTCCTTTCTGACAGTTACTTTAATTGTAAAATGAAGTTTGCATTCAGTCATTCCCATAGCAACACTGGTCAGAGATCGACACCTTTACTCTCTAATTACAAACTGCCTTTGGGAAAGGGTTTGGCAAATATTTAATTGGTGCTTTGTACTGGAGATGCATTGGGGACAAAGAAATGGAGCTTGGGCTTACAGACCAGAGGGAGAAAGAGAAAATTTCAGAAGTGATTATGGTTCAGTGTTGGAAAGCAAGTGTAGGAGTGGGGCCACAAGGAGGGTACCTGGTCTAGAAGGGGGCAGGTAGGGTGGGGCAGGGACTTGTGTTGGAGGATTCTTCATAGAGAATAGCTCATGAACATTCGTTGCTGCTCTCTGACAGGAACAGAAATCTTAATATCATAAAATACAAAAAACCCCAACAAACCCACATTGCATTACAGTTACAGAAATAAAAATGGTGGTTGCTGAGATGCGGTTGACCAGAAAGGGACATGATACAAGTGCCCTGTTTAGTCTTAGGTGGTTGTTGCGAGATGTTGCGAGGATATCTAATTGTCAAAATCATCTAGTGGAATACTTCACATCTATACATCATTGTATGTAAATAAAAAATAAAGCAATATGAGAAAGCTTTCCATGTACTGATATATGGAAAAGTCTTCAAGATATATTAAGTGGAAGAAGCAAGGTGGAGGCAGGTATATATAACCTGCCACCTTTTGTAGCACAAAGAGGAACAATTAGGGATGTATGGTTGACTGCTTCTGTGTGCACAAAGAAAGAACTCTGGAGAGAGTGGTGAGGCACCAGCAGAAGTGTTGGGGCTGGGAGGTGGTGAGCAGCTGGCAGCTGCAGGAATAGAGGGCAGGGATGTGAGGGAGACGTTTCACTTTTATACTTTATACCTTTAAAAAATCCTTTATACTTTTTGGTATTTGAACTATATGAACATATTTCTCATTCAAGGAAAATAAAAAAAGAAAGCAATATGGAAACCGAACTAAGGAGATTTTAAACTGAGATATAAGATGCTTTCAATTATTCCCAATGACAGGCTATTTATCAATTTAATATTTTTAAGCAACTTCCTCCCATCAGTGCTCTGGGAACCAGCTGGGCAGATGTGGTACACCCATGTCAGATACCCCAGTGGCAGGCTCCTGTCACTGTAGCACTTGGTCCCTCCATCCCTCCCAGCCTTCCTAGCTCCTTGCTCCTGGAAACCTCCCCCCATCAATCTCTGACATTTCAGAGGAAATACTGTTTGTCACCTCTTAAGGAATCTGGAGGACGGCCTGTGAGATATGGCGTCAGTTACAGCCTCTTAAAGAGTCAATAGCCCCTGCAGAGGCCAGAACACTGGAACAAATGTAAGGAAGGTATAGTTTTTAAAGATTTTTGACTTGAATTAAATAGGATTGGTTACTTCTTGCCCCTCCCGAGGGTGGACTGTGCACAGAAGAGACCTCTTCACCGGGTTTGCTGCTCTTTTTCGCACTGTGAGTTGGGGTTCTAACAGTCAGCGTTGGTCCATAACAAAATGGAAATCCTTTCTTTCCCCTCCTGTTAATGCCCCCTGTCTGTGCAGTGACTGTGCAACCAGCACCTTTTGTGGTCGAATCAGCCAGCAGAAGTGCCCCTCGTGTTCCTGGATTCTCTCTTCTGTGGTTCCATTTCTTTGAGTCCTGGGTTCTCGCCCTGAATGGCTCAACAGGGGGAAAGGCAGACAGCTTCTTCGTGCCAGAAACATTTTTTTTTTTTTGAAATAGTGTCTTGCTCTGTTGCCCAGGCTGGAGTGCAGTGGTGCGATCTTGACTCACTGCAATCTCTGCCTCCCAGGTTCAAGTGATTCTCCTGCCTCAGCCCCCCAGGTAGCTGGGATTACAGGCACACGCCACCACGCCCAGATAATTTTTGTATTTTTAGGAGAGTCGGGGTTTCACCATGTTGGCCAGTCTGATCTCAAACTCCTGACCTCAAGTGATCCACCCACCTTGACCTCCCAAAGTGCTGGGATTACAGGCATGAGCCACTGCCCTCGGCCCAGGAACATCTGTAGTAAGTACTTTGCCATCTCTGTTCCTTCATATCTCTTCTTTCAAATGAGGATGCTGCTAGTTTTTCTTATGGGAGCCCAAGGAAAATTAGAATATTTTGTAGTGCTCGTGTATTCCTGCAAAGAGCATTTCACATTGGTTATGTTTTATAGCTTGGACCCTTTAAACCTTTTCCCTGCAACACACACAAGATGTATTATGTATTATATTCCTAGCTGTTTTAAATTCAAATGCCTAATCAAGAGAAGCTAAGTAAAATAATTCTTGGCCCCTGCTGAGTTTTAGTCCTGTGCCTCATTCTCTGCTTGCCTGCTTATTCCTCTAATTCCTAAATTCAACATTTATGCACAGGCAGTGGCTTCATGGAGCATTGGGTTGAGAGGGATTGTAAGGCTGCCCTTGAGCTGTACTTGGGCTCTGCAGGCAAGTGTGCTGTGGCTGAAGAGTGATGTCTGCTTGGGGAGACATCAGAAAGATGGGGAGCCTCGGTCTAGGTATTTGCCAAGGCTGCTTTGATAGTCCTACCCTAGATTTCATGGTATTCCATACACCTAGTGCTATTTACTAAGTGTATGCTCCATAAATAATGCTCATGTTGCCTTTAAAAACTTTGTCCTTCTGGAAGCATGATTATCTGTCATGTTAAATAAACAGGTCTGCCCACAAGAGCATGGCTACTGGCACTGAAGCTCATTCCAGCAGAATTTAAGTGTCATGATGCAAGGCACTCAGGTCTGTTTCCCGTGCCCTTCTCCCTCCTTGAAAGAACCTCAGCTAAACGCCTTTGCTTTATAGTTTTAGCTCCATGTGGCAGACATTGGAGACACCCTTTAACTGCTCCTTAGTGGATGCGAACACACCCTTACTGCTGTTTTTAGTGGCCCTGATGAGAACCTGGAAGTATTTCCAAGGCCCGTCATGCAGGTGTGGCTCACTGTCTGAAGCAGTAGTATCTGTGGCTAGATGCAGTGATCGAATGCCATGTGTCCAGGTAGTGTTCCAAGTGTTTTACATATATTGTTATTTCGTCCTCACAGAATCTTATGAGAGAGCTGCTGCAGTATTATTATCATCCTCACCTGAGCTCAGAGAGCTGCGATAACTTGCCCAAGGTCACATAGCTACTAAATTGTGAAGGCTGGTTTTTAGCTTAGGCAGTCTGAATTTAACCTGTTTAACCAGTGAAGTGCCTTGAGCACTTAACTAGAAGGCAGAGCCCTGTATGTTCTTGGGAAGTTATTTTTTTTCCCCTTTTTTCCCATCTATAAAATGAAGATTTGGGCAGGATGGTTTAGATTCCTCTGAGCCCTATCTTATTTGATTCTAAGTTACATGTTGAAGGTATCTTTGAGCCACTCTACTGCTACTCGCCATAAAATGTGATGAATAATGTATGTATGTGCTAGAGGTATACAGATTGAAGTGAAGACTTGAACCTTCTTAGCACACACCAGAATTATAGCTTGTCAAGAGCAAGAGATTTATTTTCCCAAACAATTAGAGGACACCAGTAATTATGTTTAATTACATGTTGAATGGTTTTCCTGTTGTGTCAACCCCATTGTCTTAATTGTGCTTAAGAGCAGCAGGCTATTATTTTGAGGTTTGTGAAGTTTAAAATTGCTGTGTCTCAGCATCGGGGGAGCACAAGCGTTAAGAGCACAGGCTCTGGCATCAGACGATCTGCAAATCCTGGATCTGCCACTTACAATAGATCCTTGGCAAGTTCCTTAACTTCTCTAATGGTTCCTCGTACTGGGAATAATAACAGCATCGATCTCACGAGTGTATTGTGAAGATTGAACAGCACATATATGAGGAGTGTCGTGCTGCGTTTGGCATGTAAACCTTTCAGATGTTGGCTATCATATTATTTATTATTATGGATTAGGCGTTGATGGTGGGCAGTCTCTGACATGTTCCAGGATCCAACCCTGATGGATAGAGCCATCTGGGGTAGATCTGGGCTCCAGCTTGGATGGATTGCTGCTGTTTGGTACTAGTTTTGACATTTAGGGTGTTTGTTGTCTATCTTGTTTCTAGTTTATGTCTGTAATCTCATTTTCTAAAAGCATGTGGAATGGAGCTAAGAAATACGGCAACCATTGAAAAAGTTACAATTGTTAAGTCCTCTGAAGAGAGTCACAGAGGAAGGAGAACTAACTCTAGTATTTAGTAGGAAAATTATCTTTGTAGTTGATAATTTTAGGCAGTACACAGCAGACATGGGCTTAGATAACATTGAATCAGGTAGTGGAAAGTTATTTTCATTTTATTCCTCTTTCAGCCCTTCTGAATCTACCAAAGACAAAGCTTCAGTTTGGTGCTAGTGTTTAATCTCTAATACTTTGGAATTTCCCTCTTAATAAAAGGAAAGAACAGGTCCTAGGCTTGGAGTCCTTGACATGCAATGTTTCTAGCTAGAGCTCATTAGTATTGCTTTGTTTTCATTGTATCTCTTTTTATTGCCTTCTGTTTATAGCATGTAATACTGATTTTTCACTTACAACAGTAATATAAAAGTTTCATTGAAAGTATATTTAAGGAAAAATAAGTTAATTAAAAAAATATTAAATTAAAGGTAGAGTGGATGGTACATGGTTATGACAAAAATTGTGATGGTGCCACCCAAATCCCTGAGTTAGGACACATTGGTTTAGAGAGGAAAAAAAGCACAAAAACTTAATGCTAGGGAAGGCCAATATTTAAAAAGAGAAATTAAAGAAGTTGGAGAAATTAAAGAAGGGGAGAAATCATTGCAGAAGTGGGAGGGGCAGATGCTTGGAGAGGGTGATAAAGGGATGGCAAAGGAGAGGCATTGGTTTGCTAAGGGGACAGCTGTGGGTGCCTTTGCTGCTTCCCATTTAGCAAAAAGACTGGCATAATGAGAAGTGAGAGGAAGGATGCTGGGAGTGTGTGCTACTTATTTCCAAAAAGCTTAGTGTGTGGTGATAGCACAGTGAGTTGAGGTAGAAGCAAGGTCGATGGCAGGTTTTTTGCTTTTAAGGATAGCACACATGTAGTCATGCTTTTAGCTAATGGAGGAAGCCTACGAGAAGGGAGAGATGGAGCCAGGGTCAAGGAGTGGGAGGATGGTATATTAGTCCACTTTCACACTGCTGAAAAAGACATGCCCGAGACTGGGTAATTTATAAAGAAAAAGAGGTTTAATGGACTTACAGTTCTGCATGGCTGGGGAGGCCTCGCAATCATGGTGGAAGGTGAAAGGCATGTCTTACACGATGGCAGGCCAAAAAAGAGAGCTTGTGCAGGGAAACTCCTCTCTGTAAACCCATCAGATCTTGTGAGACTTATTCACTGTCATGAGAACAGCACAGGAAAGACCCACCCCATGATTCAATTACCTCCCACAGGGTACCCCCATGACATGTGGGAATTATCGGAGCTACAATTCAAGATGAAATTTGGGTGGGGACACAGCCAAACCATATCAGATGGGTTTACCTAGGAGGGAGGGGAGAGAGAGTGAGACTCCCTTGGGGCCAGAGGGAAAAAGGGGAGGCAGAGGAAAGGGAAGGGAAGCTGCGTCTTCTCTTGCCAGTAAATTCAGCAAGTACATTTTAGCCAATTCGTGATGTCTAAATAATTCAGCAGAAAAAGAGGGTGAGGCGCAAGTATGAGTGCCTGGAGGGAACCAGGCTGTGAAAGTGGAGACTGAGGAATCTCAGGAAATACTGACTCATTGATCATAAGGAAGTCCCATGGGAGGGAGATGCCACAGTTGGCATCTAAGTAACTGATGTGCTTTACTGGAGGAAAGGCTTGGAGCTCAGGGCCTGACAGTGCTAGAAAACTGAGCAGGAGGACACAGTAGCTCATGCCTGTAATCGCAGCTAAGGTGGGAGTATTGCTTGAGCCCAGGACTTTGAGACCAGCCTGGGCAACATAGTGAGAACCCCATCTCTAAAAATAAAATAAAATAAAAATAATGAAGTCAGGCATGCTGGTGCATGTCTGTAATTCCAGCACTTTGGGAGGCTGAGGTGGGAGGATCGCTTGAGCTCAGGGGTTCGAGACCAGCCTGGGCAATGTGGTGAAACCCTGTGTCTACAAAAAATACAAAAATTACCTGGGTGTGGTGGTGCATGCCTGTAGTCCCAGCTCCTCAGTGGGGCTGAGGTGGGAGGATTGCTTGAGCCCAGGGGGTTGAGGCTATAGTGAGCTGAGATCATACCACTGCACTCCAGCCTGGGCGACAGAGCAAGACCCTGCCTCAAAATAAATAGATAAATTAATTAATTAAATTAAAATTAAAAGAATTAGCTGGGTGTGGTGGCATGTGTTTTGTAGTCCTAGCTACTCAGGATGCTGAGGTGGAAGGATCACTTGAGTCCAGAAGTTTGAGACTACAGTGAACTATGATCATTCAACTGCACTCCATCCTGGGCAACAGAGCAAGAATCCTGTCTCTAAAAACAGAAAAGAAAGAAAAAGAAAAAACTGAGAAGGACAATGAAGGTGGCAGCTGCTTTTCAGACCCAATCCAAGGGATTGGTCCAATGCTACCTGTTTTGGTCCCTCTTTGCTGCTGTCCTGTGAAGCTTCTTTAATTAAGAAAACACTGAGAGAGAGCAGTCCCCTGACAGTGGCTGACTGGCCATGTGGGGGGAAGTGACGTCACCTCCACCTGTGTCACAAGGACCGCCTCCTTGAGGATATGGCCTGTGAAGGACAGCCTGCAGTTACTTCAACTCTCCATTGTGAAGCACATGGGCTCCAGACGCAGTGGCATTAATGCACCCAGGTGTGGATTTATGGCCATGGAAAGGGCCCAGCACACTGCATGACCAGCTGCAAGCTTTGTGCATTAACCCAGGAGGCTGAAGTCTCTTCTGATCTTGCTCCCTGTAACCATATGTCCCTTAGATTTTATTCCTGGGTATATTGGATCATGGAGCTTGTGGGAGCAGAGCCATTTGCAGCAAATCTAATCTAGGAAGAAAAGGGAAGTCATTTTCAGCATATGGCTCCAAGCCTAGTGCTTCCTGACCTGAAATCCAGCCTGTGGGCATCAGGGGAAGAGTGGGAAGGAGGAGGTGAGGCGAGAGCATGTCTGAGTAGCTGACTGATGTGGAGCCAGCCTTTGTGGCCGAGGTGGCCCTGAAGGAAGGTGAGGGGCAGGGAGAAGAGAGTACCTACGTGTCCCTGACTCCTGCCTGACTCTGTGGCTCAGGGGCAGTCAAAGTGGTTAGCGACCCGGGACATACCCGGGACAGTCAACTGGGGCCGCCCAGCAGGCTGTCCAGAGTAAAAGCAATTCCCAGTCATTGGGGTCATCTGGAGATCTATGTTAGAGTCTCCAGACTGGGAGCCCCTGCTGTAGTCCTCGGGCTGTTCCTGTCTCAAATCTGTCCAGCCACTCGGTTGCTTTTGTCACTATTTATGTGAAAAGTTTTGGCTAGCCTGGATTTTCTTTTGTTTCAGCATTGCCCACAAACACCAATGTGGAATTAATCTGGAAAAGGCATCCCAATCTTTACCAGAGTTGAAAGTTGACCTTTTCAGGCAGCTCATATGATTACTTTTAGAAGCACTGTCAACATGCATTTTCCAAAGAAATGCATCAGAGACAGACTAGGTAGGTGAGTCCTGCCTCCCTCCCAGCAAGATCCCACAGTCTGCACATTCTTTATCTCTGTCTTCACCTGCCAGGCTGAGGGTGAAGGCCTTTTCTTCTACCATTAGGGATGATGGAGAACAGCTCTCTCCGTTTATTTAAAAAATATCCTGAATATGCTTTAATTAATCACTCTCAAAGATTTCTCTCCTCCAGACAAAATAAACCTAGGTTCATCCACTCTTGTTTGTTATTTCTAACCCTTTGGTCACCTTAAAGGGCCACCCTGACCTTAGCGTAGTAGGAGAGGGGTTATGGACATGGGCTCTTGTTCTATCCCATTCTTACTGGGTGGCCTTGTGCAAGTCATGTGGCCACTGCAGCCTCAGTTTCTCCAGTATTACCTACACCATGGGGTCATCCGAGGATTCAGTGAGACAGTTTCTCTAGCATGCTCCCCATTGTACCTGCTTTTAGCAGCCAGTAAATACTCTCTGTTACTCTCATTCCCCACTTTGCACTTAGAATCAGTCATAACTGTTTAGTGAGGTACTGATTAGCACTGCTAATATTCTGAATGCTTGCTTAAAATAGAAAAGAGTTACTTTCTATGAGACTTTGCATTTTTTAAAGCTGATTCTTTTTTAAAAAAATTAGACATCACTCTTACAGAATAATAAGATGGAATGAATCCGTGATGTTATCTACATGATGAGGCCAGTATGGCACAAAAGCAGTGAAGTCCCTGAAAATACCAGCCAAATTTCACCTGAGCATATATTATAGAGCTTTAAAGTACCTAGAAGAGAAAAACCGCTTCTTTCCCAGCTTCTTTGCCTCCCAGGCACCACATCACCACAGAGCAGCCAAAACAGAAACCAGATCAGGCCATTCATTTGCTTCAAGGTACGTTACACATGTATGTGCTACCGGGCTTTGCAGCACTGGGCTCTGCCTGGCTCTTCCCCCATCACCCCATTGTACCATTCTGCTCCTTGCTCTCTTCAAATACATCAGCCCACTTTCCAGCAGACCACGTGCTTCCCAGCTCAAGGTTTCACGCTTTTGGTCACCTCTGCCTGCAGTGCCCTGCCGCTGCTCTTCCCGCTGCTGGCAAGCCTCCAGGCTTCTGCTCTGAGGTCACATCCTGGGAGCCATCCTCCTTGACCCGCATATCACAACACTCAGAGGAGTCATCTTTGTTTTGATTGGTTGTTTATTGCTTGTCTCTCTCCACTCCCTCAGAATGAAAGCTTCGTAAAGACAAGGAAACTTGTGGCTCATCCCTGCTGGGTTCCCAGTGTTTTTGAACAGTACTTGGCACATGGAGGATTCTCAGTCAATATCTGTTGAATAAAGCAGTAAGACGAGAAACCCTAAATTTGTAAAACTGTAAGAAAGATGTTTAGTTGTGTGGGGCAGAGGGCTGATTATGCCAGTGTTCATGAGGATGTGGTAATTAATGCTGAGCAGAGTCTGAAAGAGAGCTCTCAGCACTATGGCTATAAGAAGGAAAATAACGTTTCTCTGCTCACAAGAGATGGGAATCACCTCAGTTGCAGAAATTTTAGATTTTGGTGGTTCTAGGTGAATTGGATATCTGTGATCGAGAGTCTTTAATGGTGGGAAATCATGAGCTCTGAAATCAGACCCTCCTGCCTCTCCTACTTATCGCTGTGCGACTATTATGTGTTGTCTCTGAACTCTGATTTCTCCATCTGTAAAATGGATATTATAATGCTAACCTTGGAGCACTGCTGTGGAGATTCATGGTAGTCTCTGCCTGGCACTTGGACCTGTTCAATAAGTGGCAGCTTTAATTTTGGAGTAAAATTTTAAAAATTCTATTAATTCAAAATGTGACATGAAAAATCCAATTTAATTAAACAGCTATTAATGTAAGCACTTTTAATACTTATCATAAATGCTGCAGGGAATCCAAAGATGGGTAAGATAGAAAACATGTCCTTAAATAACTAAAAATCTATAAAAGGGTAAGATAAGTTATAATGTTAATAACATATGTGCAATTTGTAATTTGCAATTTGTAAAGTAATTTTATATGCCTTTTATTATTTGTTCTCACAACTACCATGTGAAGCCAATGTAATACGTGCTTTGTGACCCTGTGCAAGCCATGGACATCTCTGAACCTGACCTTGTCACTTGTAAAATGAAGAGTGGCAATTACATTAAAGAATAGTTGTCAGCAATCTATGTTATGCCCCAGGTAAAACATAGGGTCTAGCATACAAGAGTCAGTCAAATATATTAGCCCTCTCTCACCCCAGTCTCTAACTCTGGATCCTGCATTTTTTCCATGACATGGTGCTTCCAGAGGAATGGGTAGTGTTTTGACAGATAACACGGTCAAATCATTGAGATGGCATTCTAGTTAGAGGGAATCGTCAGAGCAGTGAGGTCCAGTAGAGAAGGACATTCCTGTGGGGATTGGTAGGTCTGCTGTTGCACTAGGGGGATCATATACCATAGAGCATCCTAGCAAGCTCTTTTAGTTGCTGGGCCAGAGGCAGATGGATTTGGCAAAGGATGTGGAGCACATTGGAGAAAAGACAGACAAGTGGATCACTTAGAAGGCCCTTGTACAAGTCTAGGCAAAAAGTAGTAAGAATAGTTGAGACACAAAATGAGATAGATCAAAGAAATGAATGACCACTCTGTGGCAACTGATTGCATGATGGTGGTGAGGGACAACTGTGGGAGAGATAGCTCTGAGCTTTTTATCCTGGATGACTGGGGATAGTGAAAGGAAGAGGTGGAGGAGAAGGAGGCAGAGAAGACAGGCAGTAAGCTCTCTTTTCAACATATATTGTTTAGGGTACTTGGGGACATCTAATTGGAGGTTTTAATTAGATAGTTAACAATGTGGGTTTGGGACTCAGAGTTCAGGATGGACTTTGTTCGTCTTCTGCCTACAGCATGTGGCTAAAACTACAGGAATGTTTGTGCCTTTCCATGTGAGAGAGTATGGAAACGGAAGGTGCAAAAGAGAAGAGAAGAGGCCCAGTGAGAGATCTGGAGACATTCTTAAATTTGGAATTGGCAGGAAGGAGAAAAAGAAAAATTGGCAGTGACAGAGGAAAAGAAGGGGTCAAAGAGGAAGGAAGCTGAGCCAGAGAATGCAGCATCCAGGGGGGCTGCTGAGCAGAGTTTCCACAAGGCCGGGCTGGTGCACAATTCTACCCTTGTGAATATTGAGGATATTGCAGACCATCAAAGTGTCTTAGAATTGAAGATTAAGAGGCCATGAAGCCCTTTAAGAAGGCAGATGAATGAGAGCAAAAATTAGGTGGCAGGATGTGATGGGAGGGGTAAGGAAGTAGAGGCATGAGAAGACCAACCTTCTAAATAGTTTGATAGAGAAAGGGGTTAGAGCTGGGGCAGTAGTTTGAGGGAGGACAAAGAAAAAACTTAAGAGAATAAGAAAACATAAGCATGCTTTACATTGAAAGAAAGGAGCCTGTGAAGAGGTGGATATTGGAAGGAAATCTTGGATGAACCCAGGGCTCCCATCTTAAGGGAGAGGGTGCCAGTAAGTGGCCCTTCAGTACCTGAGCCTTGGTGTATATTAAACAATTATTACCCTAGATTGCTGGGCAAAAGCTGCTTTGGATAGTAGGTTTAAACTATTATCTGCTGGCCCATCCTAGGCTAGTTGTGAAGGAAATGACATTTGCCTGTGGTGCCATCTCCCTCATCACACTGATTTTTCCTGCTTGGCTTGGGAAACCCTTCCCTTCCTCCTGCCCCTCCCTCTTTCCTCCCCATCCCAACTTCACTGCTTAGAAATGAACAATTGGTTTATCTTGGTTCTATTAACTAACGAATCTGATAAGCTAATTGCTGCTCCTAGCAGAAGATTAGAGGGCTATTTTTGATAAATTAGCCTTCTGGAATCATAGTCTTCTTTTAAAAGTTATTGAGTCCATTAGTGGTTCAAATGGTGGAACTTCAAGTCAGGAAGCAGGGGCAGGGGCTGGCAGAAGGAAGTGTTGGGAGAGTTTGTTCTTCAAATTCCACATGTGTGTGGCCACCCAGCTCTTCCAATACCTAAGCGTTGAAAAATATGGTACCCTGTCCTCCAACTAAAATTAGAAATCTTTTAAAAGATGCAATGCTTGTGTGTCAACTACACTCAAAATCACTTTTTAAAGATTTTTGGCTTATAAAATTGTGGCTGAATTCAGCAACAAAAAGTTTTTAAAGAAAAAATTCTATGTGTGTATATATGTTGGAGTCAGGGTCTTGCTCTGTGGCCCAGGCCTTAGTGCAGTGGCATGATCGTAGTTCACTGAAGCCTCAAATTATTGGGCTCACATGATCCTCTCACCACAGCCTCCTGACTAGCTAGGACTAACAGGTGTGCACCACCACAACTGGCTAATTTTTAAAAAATATTTTATAGAGTTGGGGTCTTTCTGTGTTGCCTAGGCTGGTCTCAAACTCCTGGCCTCAAGTGATCTTCCCACTACGGGCTCCCAAAGTACTGGGATTACAGGTATGAGCTGTTGCACCTGGCCTGTATATATATTTTAGTGCTTCAAGTACTTCATCTGCCAGTTGGGCAACCCACCATTGCTACTGTGGGTCAAATGTCCCTTCTCCTGCATGACAACTGAGATGATGTACCCTGGGATGCATGAGCCTTGTGTAGCCCAAGTTCCAGATGGTCCATCTAGATGTAGTTGACTATTAAAGACCTATTTGGAGTTTGCATCCAGCAGCTCTCATTTATAGTGCTAGTGCACTATGTTTGAATGGGAGTGGCATGTTAAATACCCATTGTGATATAGACATCCTGAACTTAATGACTATTGCTAGTTTTGGTTAATGTAATTATACTCATTTGTGGAACATTTTCCTTGTAATTTATGGGAGTTATTTTATCCATAATATGTAGAAGCAAGCCATTGCACTCTAGGTTATATGGCATCATGTTCTAAACCCAAATGTGTGGAATTCTTAGAAAATCTATAGTTGAGGGAACAGTTACAAGATGCAATATGGTGTTATGGGTAGAAGGCTTGGCTGGGAACCAGAAATTCTGGATCCCAGTCTCAGCTCAAAGTTTTGCCTTCCACATGGCCATGGGAAGTTATTCTCCATTCCCAGAAAGTGAAGTTGATATTCTTGTCTGACCCCCAAAATCATGAGGAACAAATGGAACTGAGGGGCCTTAACTTATTATAAAAGTAAAATTGCTGCTCAATACATGGGATAATTATAATTATGTAAGCTGTTTCTGAAGAGTGAAAAAAAGTTAACAAATGTTAATTCTATTGGCAGTAAATATTTGCAGTGTTTTTCAGAAGCCTCTCTATGCATCATACTTAGCCAAGTGAAGGTCTGGGGAAAGCTTTTGTTTTTGATTTTTTAACTAAAGGGAAGAGAACTTTACATGTGTCACCACGTGTTCCCATGTTGGCAGCGCCATCATGAGACTCAGCGTAACTGGGAGAGGTTTGTCGAGCGGCAGTTTGACCGGATGGTACTGCACTGTGCCAGGAAGCCCCACCAGGGCGGTGTACCCCAGAGAGAAGGCTCAGTGCTATCCTTGTTATCTTCCATTTGGCGCAAGAGATCCTCCATTCTACCTTCTGTGAAATGGCTTTTTCACCTCCCATCCAGTGAAGAAGGTTTGTTTTTTTTTTCTTCAGACTTGACTTGGCAGAAAACTTGATCTGCTGAAATAACCATGGCAGCAATTTCTGCTCCTTCCTCTGAGTGCAGAGAACCCGGAGCTCTCTCCTGTTTACAGCTTACCTTCTCTCATGCTATAGGTCAAGGCAGAAGCCATTCTGACGGGAAATCACAGCATTCCTTACCGCTCATTATTGTGATAGCTTGTTAGAGCCAGAACTATTCAACCTTTGACTTTACAGAGAGGAAGAGGCTTAGAAAATATAGGTAAATTGATCAAGGTCTCAAAGCAGGTGAGGGGCCAGTTTCTGGACTAGAACCAGTTGCCTGACTTTTCCTCCTACCCCCTGTAGGTAAGGGTACACAGCAATCAAAGGCGAAAGAGCTTGGGGGTGGGAGAGAAAGGAGTTCACTGTATTTTGATCTGAAATGAAAATCACATACACATAAGAACCTTATTTTTGAGGCACAGGTTCCATTATTCTCTTTAACAGAAGTAACACTTCTGTCTTCTTTATGCCTGTTAGCCAGGCAATGATTCTGAATTTCTTCATTATCACTCGGGCAGTTTGCCTTCTCAGAATGTTCTTTTGTAGCTGTCTGTGATCTTGACAGTGTCTGTGTGTCCACACAGTGGGAATTTTGGCAGAAAGGAAAGAATTCTAGCCTGGTTTCCCGCAGGAAGGCTTACAAGATTCATTCTTGTGTGTTGCCTTTGTTCCTTCTCAATACGTGAAGTGGTTGGCATTGCCTTGGCAACTCCATTAGAAGCCAGTGGCTGCTTTGTGGACATTTGTTTCATTGCAGATTCTCCTGGGAGCAGCCTTGGCTTTGGCCGGAACTGGCACCAGCTGCTTTCCATGCCTTGGGGCATGGAGCCAGTGTGGGGAGGGGGAGGGCAATGTCCAGGGGCAGCTCTGGCTTAGCACTTATACTCCCAGTTACAGCGTCATCCCATGTAGACTGGGCAGGCAGTGGAGTGGAGAGGAGAATGGGGAGCTGGAGTAGAGGCTTCTGCTGACTGGAGATATCAGCATGGCCTTAGGGTCTCCCTGTGAGGCTGCCATTGCAAATGAGTAGACCCTGGAGAGGGTATAATGGTGATGGAAAAGAGCTGGTGGTCATTGCCAGGTATGGGATGTTTTGCCCCAATGTGCAAAGTGGGGTTTTTCCTGCCTTGGCAATTTGCAGGCCAGCTTCAGATAAATGGGAAGGTAGGTAATGGGGTAAAGAGGTAAAGGGGTGTAGAAAGACATAGTGACTTCAGGACTGCTAAAATCTTGGTGGGGAGTAAGAATGGTGGGAAATACGTGAAGTTTCTGACACACTGGAGAAATACAGTGTGCGTCTCCTGTATCGTACACCATTTGAGAGTGGCACCCTCCTCTAGCATCCCTGGGGCCCATCTGGCAGGTATTAGTCATCATTATGATCAACAGACATCTATTGAGCACCTGCCCTGCACCATTAAGGTGCTCTGCTAGGCCAGGGCCTTCAAGAGCCTTTGATGCTTCTAGAATTGTGTCAGTTAGAAACTGATAATTCCCTGGGTGGATGTGGCCCCGTGGGACCATTGCTTGGCAAGTGACCAGCAAGCATCCTTTTATGAAGGAAAAGGTGTACCCCCTTTCCAGGATAGTGTCCCAAAGCCCCAGCTTGTTGAATTTTAGCAAGGATTTCAATTTCCACTCAATTTGTTGGCTGAGCACCAACCAAATGTGATGGCTTCATATTTGACAGTGAAACCACCAGTCCAGATCTTTTAGGACCTACTGAATGAAAGAACTTTGGGAGCAAAATGTCTTGAATTTTGCCTTACTTGGGGCTCCCCCAGAAGCAGACCCTGAGGCAAGGATGGAAGTGCAGGTTTCTTTGGGAGATGATCCTAGGAAACACTGATGAAGAGTGAAGTGAGGCAGGGAAGCGAAGGACCCATATAGAGTGCGCCATCACGTGAGTTCCCACTAGGGGTAATGGGAGCCTCATCCCACTGGGGAGGTCTGGGTGCCAGTTTGGAATACATGCCTCAGGGTCACCCCTGCACTACCACCCCTGGGCATGGGAGCTAAAGTATTGACCCCCCAACTCTTAATAGCCATTGACTAAGAACTGCTGGGGTTGGTACCCACAACATCCCTTTGGCCTGTTGCGGGTGACCAAGAGGGCTCCAGCAGCCAGAAAAGCCTTCAGGTAGAGAGATGCAGGAGCTGACCATGAGAAGTTAGACTAGCCAGGCAGAGAGATGCAGGAGCTGACTGTGGGAGGTTAGACTAGCTTACATGGAAGTGGTGGAGAGTGAGAGGATAGTCAGGCCCCTGACAGCATCTGCTGCAGGTCTGCCATTTGTATTTTCACAGAAGTTTCCAGAGTCTCCAAAGCTGTAACAGTAAAGCTGGTGAGTGTACAAGTGCCTGTACCAGACATGGCTCCTTGCCTTTTGTGAATAGACTTTATGAATGAACATTGAAATTTTGTTTATTTTTAAAGAGTGCAGAGGATGGCCTTGAAACAGGGTAAATTTTTCTGGGGCTCTTGGAAATTAAATGGCCCCTGTGCTCTGTGGAGCTGAGCTCAGGAGTCACAGGCCTGGGGACCTGGAGGGGCCCAAGATGTGATTCAGCACTTAGGTGTCGTGAGGATAATAGGATGTCAAGTTCCTGAGCTGGTACATTGTGAATGACCGTCACTTTTTCATTTCACTTCATTTAGGGGATAACTGCTTGGTAAGTTTAGTGTAATGCAAATGCCTGATGTAGGTTGGTCACCAACTTTTTTTTTTTTTAAAAACAGAATGACACTGACCACATCTTGAGCAAAACTCTTTGTTCATTGGACTAATTAATTTTGTATTTGAAAATAATTTGGAATTGATTGGGAGGAAAGCAGGGGGAAAAAAGGACCAGAAATTCAGGCTTATTGTTTCCTTGACGTTTGGAGAGAGCAAGTGATTTTAAAGTGGAACTTCTAGAGCACTGGATAGGGAGGCAGGAGGTCTGGATGCGAGGCACACATCTGCTGCCTACCTAGCTGGCTGCACGCATGCCATCTACCCTCTCCTGATCTTTCTTTATTTATAAAACATGCTGATGGGTTGAAATGACCTGGAAGGACCTTTTGGCTCTGAAAAATTATACAATTTTAAAAATAACTTCAACTTTCCATAGCAAGCCTTGCATCTGTCTTTCCCTAGCCTCTGATTGGCCTTTGCCCATTTTTAATTCCTTCTGTTGAAAGGAATGCTTGCCATTGCATGCCCTCTGCTTTTTTTAATTTTTTATTTTTTTCCCCAATCTTGCCTTCTTCCCATATCTTCAGTTTTTCTTTCCTCAACGGTTTCATGTCAGCACTACCTTCATGGTTAACACTTTCTTGACTGCCACAGGCTACAGTAGGGATCTCTGTCTTTTGTTACCTCATAATCACTTTGCTTCAGTCTTTCATATTAGTCTTAGCATGTGTTATTGCGGATGTCTCCTGCTTTTCTGGCAAATCATAAGCTTTTTAGGAAACCAGTACTCCGTAAAGGAAGAACCCTTGAAGTAAGGGCCTGGCAGTTATTTCCCCTAAGTAATAGAGCAGATAATATGGCTTGGCCTTAGTTTTCCAGTTTGTAAAATGGGGATAATAATACCTAGCTCATAGAGTTCTTATGAGAATTAAATGGGCTAGAGTATAAAAGGGCATGGGTCATCGTGGTTGGTGATGGTGTTGGTGACAGTGTTAAGGTGACAGCACAGGCTGAAAGAACTTGTCATTTCTGTACTTTCAGGAATGAAATCATATAAGTGCCTGGAACACAGAGTTACTTATTGTTCTCCATAGTCAGTTCCTCTTCTGAATACAGTACTCCTCAGTGTCAGAAGGTAATTCCACAGAGTGAGTTTAAATCTCTCTGTGAAAATTTTAGCCTTTGCTTGTTTCTTTCTTGATAAAGAGAGCAGAAAAATCATTCAAATCATTGGCAGCCTTATGCTACAATTCGTCGTCAGTCTTAGAGCTTGTTATTGGATTACTTCTTAATGATCTCTTCTTGGGGATAATTAATTTCACTTTCCTTAACATCCCTCCTGGTGCCCATCTTCAAAACGTTTATGTGAATCTTTTGCTTTCTGTTGTCTCCCAGAGTAATATTCCTTCCAGGCTGGGAAACAGTTATTGGGTAATGGGTCAAATGTATTAATAGGCAGGCCATATGGTTCCCAGACACCTTGCATTCAACAATTTGATAGAGTTCTGGTGGTATGATTTTTTAAAAATTTAACTATAAAAGTGTAAGAACCATCTGCTGTTATTTTTTGTATGTGATCCTGGTAAATTATTAATTTTAGTTATACTGCTCCTATGTAATTAGCACTGTTCCACATGCAGGCTTCAAGGCAAAGCTTGTATACTTTATTTTCAGTAGTAATGTGTGTGGAATGTGTGTGTCTCATCCAGATTCCCTTCATAAATTGAAACAGGTTTGCCTACATGGGGTTAGGACTTGGGATTTATATGGCTTCTGTTTTAGCTGGTAAAATGCTATAATTGTAGTGGTTAATTAGATTGATTGATAATTAGTCACATACTAACTACTATGGAGCAAACTAATTCAGGTAATGTAATAGAGAGTGATACCTGGGTGGGGTTGGGGCTCCTAGGACCATGAAAACTTTCAGGGAAGGAGAAATTTGAATTGAGTTCTAAAGAGTAGTGATAAGGAGACAGGTAAATGAATATCTGCAGTGAGATAATTCTAAGGGAAAGGAAGAGTTAAGAGCAAAGGCTGTGAACTGGGGAATAAGCATCATACAGAGAAAAGTCCGTGGGGCCACACTGTAGTGAGATGGAGGATGATGCAGGCAGCTGAGGGCAAAGAGGGTCTAATCTAAGAATAATAGGAGCCTTTGGAAGGAATTAGGCAAGGAATTGGTATCTGATTTACAGTTTTAGGAAGCTCATTTTAGCTGCTAAGTGGAAATTTGATAGTTAGGAGCGAGAATTAAGGAAGGGAGACCAGTCAGGAGGTGATAGCTGTTGTGTAGAAGAGACTAATGGAGAAATGATGGACTAAGTTTGCATGGTATAGATGGTGAGAAGTGATAGGGTTTGGGATATAGTTTGGATATGGAATCTATGGGACATATTGAATGGTTCTTAGTTTTCAGTCTGAGTAACTAGGTGATTGGTGGTATAGTTCTTACTCAGATATGGAGGGCTTGATGGCTCTTTTTTGGTCAGTTAAATTTGAGATGGCTCATGGACACCTAAATGGAAATGTCTAGAGGACATGTGAATCTGGATGTTAGAAGAGAGATGAAGGCTGAAATATTCATTTAAATTACATGTAACTCAAGAGTGTAGACAGAAAGGAGGCAGAGGTCTGGGTCTTGAATACACCACCATTTAGAAGTTTGAAAGAAACGCCAGCAAAGGACATTGATGGAGGTAGCCAGAGAGGTTGGAGAGAGCCATGTGCTGCATAGACACCTGGAAGGGACTCGTGTCTCCAGAAGGAGTGACTGGTGACCTCATCATTAGGTTTCAAGTGTTAGTACCCAGAACCTGCATTAAATGTCATTTGAAAAGTGTATTCTGTAGCTGTAAACTCAGTGATGACTAGAGCAAGTTGGGCCCAGTGCATGCCTGGAGAAACCTTTAGCCATGGTGGAATAAAAAATGGGCAATCTTGCCTCCTTGGGGGCTACTGGGGAAGGGTCTTTGTTCAAGTCTCAATCAGGATTTGTGAGATTTTCATACCATTACTAAAGCAGCAAAGAGTAATTAGTGATTTTTTAAAATGGCAATTATCAATTATATATACAGCTGGTACAGCTATGCCCCAAGTCAGTTCTTTGAAAATATTCAATAACTAAATTCTGATCAATCTCTTCCGAGACTTTAAGGTTGACCTAAAATAAAAGCCTATAACTAACTCAGTGCAAGACAGGACACATAAAAATATTTACATTTTTAACTACATAACGTGTTAATCCTGACAAGATAGGTCTCATAACAAATCACTTTCTAAATTTTATCTTTTCTTAGTATCAATCATAATGACTTGAAGGCAACTTCTGTTTGGGAGTTAACTTTAGGTTATGAAGAATCGCTGTATTATCTGTTTGTCATTTGATAAATTATGTTATTTAAATGAGGAATAGAGATTTCTTGCTCTCTACTTCTCTTAAAGTGAAGGCATAATGCATTCTAATAAACATTTTAAACAGAAGGGCAAAACTGAGGAGTCCTTTTTTTTTTGTACCATGTGCTATAATTTAACAGGTCATTTTGTCTGCTGTATTAAGTGTATTTTCTCTAAAACCCAAAGCAGGATCAAGCTGTAAACAAGACGCTTTACTTTGGTGATTCTCATTGTTTGTATAAATAGGGGATTTGTTTTAAATTAAGCAAAGCTACATTTTTGTTCCAGAAAGTTCAATTGATAACAAATACCCAGACAAACTCTGCAAATATTTACTCTTACCTTTTACCTTACTGACATTTAGTTGAATTTTACAAATAGATAAAGCTTAATAAGCATGTAGTAGGCTGATAGTTGGCAATAGACTGTGGTGAGGAATAGTCTATTGGTTATTCAACCAAATCCTTGATTCACTAACTGAAGGAAACTTACTGCAAACAAAACATCAGAAAATGTTCTATTTCTATAATTTTAGCAGAATGACTCTGGTTCTGCTGCTTTGCATCAAAACAAAATTTTATAGTAACTGAAAATTCCCTATTTCTCTAAGACCAAATGGAAGTAGCTCCTTTACCTGGCTGGTGCTATCCAGTTTTCAAAGAGTAAAGCTTAAGGGCTAGGATTTTATCTCCAGTTCAGCTCTACCCAAGTAATAAATAAGTAGAACATTAAGCCATTCTGACAGCTGTGTACTTACTTTGTGTGAAGGTTATAGGATGTAACAAGCCTTGCTCTTGGATCCCTCATGAGCAATTATCTTTTCGAGGAGTCCCACTGTCCTTGGGTGGTTCCTGGTGTCCAGAGCCACACATAGGAGGGGCACAGTGGGAGAAAAGGAGGCTCTTGGCTCTGCTCTCTCCTCCCTCTCATCTTCTGCCCTCCCCTCTGCTATGTGGGGAACATGAAGATGAAGGGCCTCCTGAGTGAGTCCGGCTGTGGAAGAGGGTGAGCATGATTGCCTCCTGCCTGGGCGGTGGTGGTAGAGAAGAGGTGCCCTCAGGATGGGTTCTCCTAGGGAAGGGGCTGTGTCTGTCCCACCCACCACTTCCCCAGCACTCAGCACTGTGCCTGGCACCTAAATGCCCAGTAACTCCTTATTAAGCATACAGTGATTGGGCGTCAGGGCACATATAATGCACGGTGGAGTTTCTTCCCTTACCTCTACTAGTTATTTCCTTGAAACACACACATTTGAGCATCAAACCAAATCCCAAGACCACACACCTGGGGAAATCTCTTGATTTACTCTACAGAAGGGCTCTCTTTGTCTTGGAAGCCTCAACCCAGTTAAAACATCACTTGTGCATGAGAAAGAAAACACAGGAATTCTTTTGGACACAAAGCAATAATATCTTTCTAATAAGAGCAGCTACTTAAATCTGTTTGTCCCATCTTCCCATTGGCTAACATTTAAGCACATCACCTTGGCTAACTGTGCCCTGCATGAATTGGCTCCTGATTTTCTTGCCCTCCAGTTCCTTGAACAAACCAGGCCCTTTGCTGTCTGCTGGGCTTCTGCCTAGGATGCGCTTCTACAGCTCTTCAGGAGCCTCCATCTTCCCGATCCTGTAAAGATACACTTAAGTGGTCCTTCTTCACCAGGCTTTCCTTGCCCTCTCTAGCATTCCCTCTGTCCCACTGTTTTAAACCTAGGCATTTTGCGTTTTCCTATGTGTTTGCTTTCTTGCTTATTAGCTATCTGCTCAACTTAATTGAATGATTCACAAGAGCAAGACTGTTTTGTGATTTTTTTTTTCAGCATCTAGCCCAGTGCCAGGCTCTGTGTAAGTGCTCAGTAAATATTTGTTTGAATGAATGAATGAGTCTCAACCTACCCTTCATTTAAAAAGTGGTTCAATTTAAATTTTTTTAAAATCTCAGATTCTCAACATACAGTGCACATATACACAATGCATGTGTGGTTTATGCTGTAAAAATTCCCTGCTCTTGGTAATGAACTGCCTTAAAGAACAGGGTTGGTGACTTAGTGCCTATGGCCTAGCTACTAATGTTTGCGATTTTTTATTCCTAAACATCTAATGTGTTTTTTCCACCTTTTTCTTCCCTTTGTCTTTCTTTTTTAGCAAGGGAAGCCATATGTCTTCGACAGAGTGCTACCTCCCAACACGACCCAAGAGCAGGTTTACAATGCATGTGCGAAGCAAATTGTCAAAGGTAAGTGCTATTTCTTTATTTCCTCCTGGGCCATTCAGAGTAATTGAAAGCATTAAGTGATATTTGCAGCCTAGGAATCAATGTGCCTTGACTGTAAGCAGAGGCCTGCTAATTGGAAACACTGAATTCTATAGCCTCGGTTCTAGCCCTGATTTGCTATGATGTCAGGCAAATTATTTAATCTCTCTATTCTCCCTTTTCAAGGACATGTCTTTATTTCTTTTGCCACCTTTTTTATTTTGTCACCCAAAAGCTTAAAAGCAAGGTAAGCTGTGTTCACACTATTTCTGTAATAATTTTAAAACACTGGCTGCAGGTATGGAACCTCCTTTTTCCTTTGAAGGAGAAAATATATATTCCTGATGCTCCAGTTGTACATCTTTGGTTGATTTATTCTGTGTGTCTGTCTCCCTTTTACTAATATCTCTCAGCAAGAAGCCTTAAATATGGAAAATTTTTGCCATTTAGAAATTTTCTACAGTGTCATAAAATCACATTACCGTGTTGGTTATTGAGCTGGTCTTGCCATTCAGCATTCCTTAATTATGCTTTCTCCTAACCCATTTTCAACCATCCCACCCAGATCCTGACATTTATTCCTCCAAACAGGTAGCCTCAAGCCTACATTTACATCTTAGAGATCAGTCCTTTTCTCTAGGACTGGCATTGGCCCTGGAGGATTCATGTCAAAATAGCAGCAGGGAGATGAAGCAATTTGCACATTGCTCTACCTTGTCCTTTCAAATCAGGGGCAGGTTGAAGCTTGCATTGGCAGGCTTGCCATCTGGACAGAGCTGGGGGGCATCTCCTGCTACTTTGCTTTTCATCATCAAATCATTTCCTTCAAATGTGAATGCTGTGGCAATTGTGCTTTCAAATGTCTTGATGCTGCCCCCTGTATAGGCAGCTCTGGATTTAATAAGCAAGAAGTAAAAACAAAACTAAAAAAACCTACCATGTCACTTTGGATCTGCTTGTTTTTAGAAGCTGACTAACCTAAGTATTTGAAATTCATGAAAATCAGCTCTGGGTACATCTGTTCGTTTAATTCTGACCCTGGACACCTGTGTGGGAGATGCATGTCAGCATGTAATGTTCCTTGCTGAGGTGGATGGTTATTCACATTCTTGCTGCAGACATCAATTAATTTTGAAGGTCTTCACAGTGAGATTTTTATAGAAACCCAATGAGAAAAAAAATATGACTGAATTCGAGCTCTTTCTGAATTAATAGTATGGACCTATATCGGGTGGTAATTTTTATCTTCTCTCTGCTTTTACTCTTCTGCTTCTCTTTCTATCTAAACATGTTTTCTCTGTTTTTGCAGTATATCTTTCTTGGTTTGCTCCTACTCAGCCCTGCTCCCTATTATTCGACTCATTCATATATTTTTTATTAAAGTAAGATTAATCACATATGTGCCAAAATTTCTTTTTCTCTCCCCCTTCATTATCACAAACAAATAGTATTTACCACATGCTGTGCTAAACATGAGGGCCATTTAAATACATCCTGTCCTCTCTAAGCTGACATAATTAGAAATGGATGCACTCTGTTAAAAAAAAATCCTGTGATTAACAACCTGTAGTAATACTCTTTGAGTCTTTATTCACTAAAGAAGTTTGGGCCTCTTTCAATGTTCGGATTTCTCTACAGTATGAAATGTCAGAAATGGGCAGGTCTTGTGAAGATATGGCCTAACTCTGGATAACTTGAGACCCAATATGTAGTGAGCTATAAAGAAAACCATCTAGCAGAATAAAATCAGGCGCTGACATGATATGACTAACAGACATTTCTAGGGTACCATAAATATGTATGATCATACATACATGCCTTATTCTCCCTTAAAAAGGAATTGATGAAGGTCTGATTGGATTTCACAAATATCCACTGAGGCTAGTGTGAGAAGTGGCCATGTATTTCAGAATCAGTAAGCTAAAACATAGAGGTACAAGAAAGAACTCCTTGGAACAGATGATCAAGTATAGCTGAGGTATCTCTTGCCATGAGTAACCCTATTTAAATCAAGATTGGGAGGCGGTGCTGTGGAGCCCTTTTTTTCTAGAGGCTAATAATTAAATCAGATGATTTCCGAAGAGCACCATAGTCCCCGTGATTCCTGATAATGGGTGGACCAAGGAGCATTCCTTTCAAGTCCATCTAAACTCTTAATGATTTGGAGCATCTGGGAGGCTCCATTTAACTCGATGGCTTTATTCTCTCTCTGGTTTTTCATTCCCTACCACTTCACTGGGTTAAAAAAAATATATTTTAAATGTTTGTTTGTGGAGTCCTGGCATCTCTCATGCTCCCATCTTTGTCTGGTGTTTGTTTTTCAAAATTTTGCTTGAAAAAGCATGTAGAATTCTCCTCCATTTCTTCTCAAAGAGGTTGTAGGGTTTCTGACTACCAGCACAGTAAATGGGAAGGCTCCTTTGGACGCCTAGGAATTAAACACCATGGTAACTGGATGCTATTATTGAAGTACTGTAACTATGTCCCAGCCTACAGAAGCCACACCAATCATTTGCCTTCCAAATTAACTAGATACAGATGATCCAGATGCTAGAGAAGGGGAAATTTCTTGTTTTCCAGTTCTGATTCCTTTAAAATTCATTCATTCAGTTGTTTCTTTTAATCATTCATTTCTGTAAGTAGTAATAAGTACTTACCGTGGGGTAAGCAGTGCTGGGACTGGAGTCGCCATGCTATGTAAGACTGTCTGCAAGGAGCTTTGAGTACAGGGAAAGAGACAGATGTGTACATAATCATCACACACATAGGCATTATGTACTTTAGAAAGGGTGTATGCAAAATGCCACGGGAACACAGAAGAATGTCACTTGTATTGATTTTGATTGGGAGAGGGAGTGGAGAATTAAAGAAGGTTTCTCTGAAAGGTTGGGTCCTGAGGACTATAGAATATAGGAGGGTTGTACAAGCAGAGGGGATTTCAAAAGTAAAAGCATAAACACACAAATTCTGCTTGGACAACTTGGAGCGGCACAGGGTGCAGAGTGGCATTATGGGAGATGAGGCTGGGACATTTAGGCTGGAGCAATTTGATGGCAATGGATGGACTTTATCCTGCAGACAATGTGGACCCAATGAAGAGTGTTAAGCTTAGGATGACATTATCAGATCTGTTTTGTTATTATCTTATATATGACTCTGAAGAAAAAAAATATTTTTAGCTGTGACTTATCAGGCACTGTCTATATACTTGACATATGTTGTTGCATTTTAAATCATAACAACTTTCTGAAGGGTGAGCATTATTTTCCTCATTGTACAGAAGAGGAATTTGAGGCTCAGAGAAGTGAAGTAACTTGGCCAGGTTGGTTCGGGGGCCATGGACTGGGACTCAAGCCTGGGCTTGTCAGACTGACTGACTGATATTCTTCTGTACTCCCCTGCCCCCCTTTCCTGGTGGGCACACAGCTAGCATTTGATGACAATTATTTTATGAGTGGTCCCTGTTCTGTCAGGCCATATGGACTATTATCTAAGCATTGCAAAAGACAGGGCTAGGAATGGTGTGGGAGGAGGGTAGAGAAGAGGGGACAGGGATGGTGGCTCCTACACCTTGTGATGGCCCTGGTGGCCTGCCAGTGATGAGGTGCGTTTCCATTCTGAAGATGCAGCATGCCCTTGCCTGGGCACAGGGACTGCCCTTTAGGCTGGCCAGCCGGCATGCGGGCTGGCCTCAGGTAGTCAGCAGGACCGCCTCATCATCCTCTGATTATGGCCTACCTGAGTGGTTTGGTGACTGGTGAGGATGGCCTGTCAGCCACCATCACCAGAAACCCTACAGGCCCCCATTTCCCCTGGAGAGTCGGTAGGAAGCCCCATGCCTCCGTAGGACTACTGATGGGTAGGTATGATCACATCCTCCCCCAATTCTAATCTGAAGATGGCACTAACTCTTTTGCTTTAGCAAGACCTGGATTCAGAACTGAGCAAATGGGAGGCAAGGAGCATTTTAAGTATCTACTGCTATCCTTCCTCCTCCCCTGGGAGATGAGAAGGCTCTGGGCACCTGCAGTGGAAGCTCCTTCTGGGGTTCATGCGGCTGCGGGATGGAAGAGTGCTGTGGCCCCGGGGTGCGGCGGGCTATGCTGTACCAGTGGAGGTCACATCACACCAGGCACTAACACAAAGAAACTTTCTGTCTGCGGAGCGTGGCTGGCATGTGGAAACATTGTTTCTGCAGAGACTCTAAAACAAATGCATTCCGTGGGCCCAGGAGCGGGCACTGGACGTGATGAAAGTGCCTTTTGTGGGCGCTTCTGTGGGAGTCGGATGGAGGTTGGCGTGGCCCCCGCAGTGCGGAGCGCGGCCTGGCCTTTCCTGCTACGGCTCCCCCTCTGCCTGTGGTCGCGGTGGCCATAGAAACGCGCTGGGCTCCTGCTCCACTTCCTCTCTCTGCCTTCCCTCACCAGCAAATCAAAACATAGACTGAGCAAACAAACAACAAACAGAAAAGAAGCCCCCAAAACCTGGAGTTTCGAAGAAAATAGAGAACACTGGCTTCAAAGGGCCTTTTCGTTTAAATTACCTTCTAGTGCAGCAGGGAGCCGATAGAGGGCGACGTCGGCTCCCTTCGACCTTGATCGCTGGAGAGAGGTTCTGCAGCAGTGAATGAACTGTAACGTGATTGTAAATACTTTCAGTACTTTCAGGGCCGTGATTGTAAATACTTTCAGGGCCGAGTGGAGTTTGTTCTGGTGGGGTTTTATGTGTTCTCCTTTTCTTACAAAAAAAGAAGGAGAAAAAAAATAGTGTTCAGTGACGAAATGGCAGCAAGAAACAGATTCTCCAAGTACAGTCTTGCACGCTCCTCAGCTCCTTAGTCCAAAACAAGTGAAGCCACGGACGAGCTCTGGTTTTCAGGTGCTTGACCCAGTCCTTACTGGCAGGAGTTTCATGAGCAGCGATGGAGTAAGAGTTAGTGGGATTGTGCCTTCTGTTTAGTGATGGACCCAGAGGCGTGGATGAGACCCGGGAGGCCTCGGGTGTGGCCTAATTCAGGAGGAAGTTGAGCTCTGAGCTGTTTCCTTGGGTGTGGCCGGTTGCTCAGTACCACCTCCCTGGGGCCTCCTGCGTGGGAACATCGGCCCTTGCAGGGTGGCTAGCAGAGGTCAGGATGGCTGGACCCCTGGCCCTGGCAACTTCGGTGCTGTTCTAACACCTAGGCCGGTGGGTTCCAGAGTGTTTCATACACAGAGGCTTAAGACAAGGAAAGCCCTTTCAGGGTGTGTGTGTGTGTGTGTGTGTGTGTATAGGGGGGATGGTTAATTTCTAATAAATGGTAATTTCGAATAAATGGAAACTGTGATATTGTGATGTAGCCAGCATTCCAATAGGCTGGAGTTTTTTGTGTTATGAATATGGCATTTTTAAAGTTTGACCTAAGGGTGGGACCTTTTTCCTTTGGGTCCCTCAAAGCATATCATATTCATGTTAGTGTAGAGGTGCTCTGTCTGCTCTGGCCTAAGGAATCTTTTCTTGGAGTAAGTTGGCATTTTTGTGAAAACTGAAGCTTGAACCTCCAAACCTTACACTGACTACTTCAAGTTTTTGCTTCCCACTGTTAGCAGGGGAGCCATTAGCCGAAATCTGATATGTATGAACATTCTCTCTCCCTCCTCTTGCTCCCCCTCCTCTCTCTCCCTGTCCCTCCTCTCCCACCAACCCCCAATATAGCTTGATACAAACTCTTGAGGGCTGCTAGAATTAAAAAAAAATCCTGCCACTTAATTTTTCTTTTCTTACCTTCCTAAAATAACATATTGCTTTTTTGTTCTTATCCCAGTTCACACTTCAACAACCTCAGATCAGTCAAATGTTTATTAAAATTTTTTTAAAAAACATAACAAATCAGAATTGATATAGAAAAAAAATTCAAAAAAGCAAACCTATCAAAGCAAAACAAAAACAAACCAGCATCATAAAATTCAGAGAACCCCCTCTACCATGCTCCCAAAAGAAAAACTCTATTTAGAGCCTGAAGTAGATGGAGCTGATTGCCTGGCTTGGTTTTTTACATGACCCTGAATAGGACACCTCAGTGTGGGGTCCTTCTCCCTGCCTCTACAGCTTGTGCAAATGAAGACTTCCTCCCCTTATTCGGAATGGAGGATCAAGGATATTAATGATGCATTGTTCCTCTTCCAGTGATATTTGTGAGGATGAAGGAGGAAAGCAGGAGAGAAATGAGTGCTAAATATATTTTAATCACCTCTGCTGCTTTGAAAGAATTCCCACAGATAATCTTCAGCTCTTCAGCAAAAAGCAGCCTCCACCCTCGAGCCTCCCCTTGTCCCTGTGTGATGTGGCACCGACCTGCAGTGTGGAGGGGTTTGCACAGTGCTCTCATTGTGTAATTAAAAGAAATTTCCTGATGCTGATGGGCCTGGGCTGGCTTGTTAGCACTATCAGTGCAAACACAGAGACATTAAATTTAAGTGAGGGCCCGGCTAGTTTCTGGGCTGATTGGATTGTCATCCTGAGGCTCTGTTTATAGAGTGGGGCCCTTTTCCTCCCCCACCTCTGGACTCAAGGAGCTCTTGTGGGGCTTTCAGGAGAAACCTCCCCAAGGAGCTAGCCTGGGCCAGCGTTTAAACTGACCCAGATTAAATCTTCAGGAAAGAAATTCTGTTCTTCATCTCACTCCAGAAACAGGGCATAAGAATAATGTTTTCTTTTTCCCCCAACTGATCTCAAGAGATCAACTTATAGAAGAAAACTCAAATATCCTTCTACTAAAAAAAAGTTTTCTGCTCGATGTCTCTATCTTCCTTTTGATGTCATTGGGAGAAAGTGTGTCTGCCTCCTTCTTCATTAATGTATTCTGTGAAATGTGAGTCCATTTCTTTCCATTTGTAGAACAACAGAATTTTCTACTTAAAATTCACATGGAGTTGAAATATATCATTTGTATGAAAAATGAGATGGGCCATTTGGAAAATGTAATTTTAAAATATGCAACCTACACCAGCATATGATCAAAGTAATGAGTTAATTTTAATTTCTTTTTCTTGTTCACAGATGTCCTTGAAGGTTATAACGGGACGATTTTTGCGTATGGGCAGACTTCATCAGGAAAAACCCACACCATGGAGGTAAGATTACAATGTGCTCTAATGCGAATCTCTGAGATGACTGAATGGAACTGACGTTTCCAGCAAAACTTGAGGTGCATGTGGCTTTCTTTACTGGGAAATAGAGACGGTTATGTTTGGCCAATTAATTATGTCTTTGAGAAGTTTTAAAATAGCAGCAAAAAATAAAGTCTCAGGAATTCAGTATTTTAAAAAGTACTTTATTGATAACTTTGTGACAGTAACAATACATTCTATTCAGAAACAATCATTGATTAGCTAAGCAGTAGTGTGAACATCATTCTGGACTTCAGCCTCATTCTAACTGGGAAAGCCTGTTGGGAAAATCATTTACCCTGATGAAGGCCCCCGGGGAGGTTCGTCTCTTAGAATAAATAAAAAACTGTAGGTCAGAGATTTTTAAAAGTTGGCTTGTGGGCCACGTTCAGCCCACAGACATATTTTTGTTTGGACTGCACGGTATTTTTTTTTTTAATAGTAAGCAATGTTAAAAATTGGATGATTTCACACAATTCAAATTTTCCATCTTAGGTTGAATATTCTGAAGATCTGGCAGCACTGGGTGAATTTCACCATAATATAAAATTCAAGCTTCACTGTTCACTTCATTGTCCTGTTCACCTTTTTGTTAACATTTCTAGTGCAGGGAACAGCTGCTGTCACCTAGGAGAAGTTTGGTAAAATATTTGTTAGTATTTGTGAAAATGGTACCTGTGGTACTGGCTCTGGCCACCCCACGTACATGGGGCTGGACTCTCCATTGTACTCACACCCAGCCCACTTCATGCACACTGGGGTGAAGACGAACTTATATTTGGCATCCTTCCTTATTGACTTACATACCTGCTCCCTGAAGGCACTTCAGGGTATGACCCCAGCTCCAGTTGTTGGCTGTGGAATTTTGTGGCTTCAGTCTGTTTTCCAAACAAGGCAGGTCTGCAGACAAAATTGAACCTCTTTGCCTCCTCTTTTCCTTTTTTTTTTTTCTTTAAATCACCAAATCCTATAGGGCCTTCAGAGCCTGATAATTCTTCTAAAGGTGAGGCCCACTTGATAGGTAAGGAGAGGTGGTAAGCGTGGTTATTATAAGAAACTGCACAGAGGAAGTTTGGGGAATTCAGCAGCAGGGTAAGATGAATCCTTAATCCTTCCAGCTTAGTGTTTTTCATTTACGATGCCCTCCTGGGAATAGCACTGAGACGGCTGCTGCAGAATCGGTTTAGCTTATGAATCATTCCTATTGAAGAGGAGATTTCAAAGGCACGAGGCTAAAATCCTCAGGGCTCTGATGTTCTGCTCATACTGATTTCAAGTGTGGGGTACAGTGCCGGGGATCTCATTTCTGCGGTGTTGACTCTCTTTCACCTGTTTTGCTGAAGACAAAGTGGTTCAGAGACTGCACAGATTAAAGGAAGCATGAGGTTTATTTATCACTTCTTTCTGACTAAGCAGGTCTTTCCCCTGACACCTGAGTGGCATCAGCCCATCTTCTCCTCCTCTCACACTCTACTGCAGAACGTCTTGGAAACGCCACCCTGCTATCCTCACGCTCCTGTCCCGGCCCCTCGCCTTTCCCTCTCTTACTAGGCCCCCGACTCTTGACCTTGAGACTATAGAAAAGTTGCAGTTCTACATTTCCTGTGTCCCACCTAGTCCAGTACCTGTAGACAAAAACTCCCTCCTAGGTCAGATGACACTTGAAAGAGAGATACGGTGTCTAGTGAGGAATTCAATCAGTCTAGAGGTTTTTTTGTTTGTTTGTTTTGTTTTATTACCAAACTATATATAATGCCAAACAACAACAACAACAACAACAAAAACAAAAGCAACCTGCATTATTTAAAATCCCCCAAAATCTCTTGGAATGCTTACAATAGTGACCTTTTAAGCTTTGGGATTAGAAAATATAAGGTACTTGCTAAATGCCAGAAATTTAAGCTGTAAGACATCAAGAGAGAGAATGCTCCCCAGTGTAAAATCTTATTTCCGGAGAAGAGATGGATGTAGGGTGATGGCAAAGAGCTATGCCCGCCCTTTAAAACTAATATGGGAGGCCAGGCGTGGTGGCTTACACCTGTAATCCCAGCACATAGGTCAGGAGTTCGAGACCAGCCTGGCTAACATGGCGAAACCCCATCTCTACTAAAAATACAAAAAAATTAGCCAGGCGTGGTGGCGCACATTTGTAGTCTCAGCTACCCAGGAGGCTGATGCAGGAGAATTGTTTGAACTGTGGAGGCGAAGGTTGCAGTGAGCCAAGATTACACCACTGCGCTCCAGCCTGGGTGACAGAACAAGACTCCGTCTCAAAAAAAATAGTAATAATAAATAATAAAATTAAAAACCAAAACCAAAAACAAAAACTAATAGAAGAGATATTTTGCTAGAGGCTCTCAAGCCCTCTGTGTCTTACAGTGTAAACTTCACAATGCCTGACCAGTGAGGACTCATGGGGGACCTGAAAGGAACTGGGTTCTGGACAGGTTTCACCTCCGGTTGCCTCTTCATCTTTGTCAGTTTTAAAAGGTCAGTTGTAATGAGTTGCTTTCCTTTATTGTGACTTTTGCAGATCACATACTTGTGCCTACAGTTAGAAATAGTTGATGTGGATGGGAGTTTTTTCCTAGTGCCACCCACCCCCTCACTTAATCGAGTTCTTTCTGTAGGGTAATTATAGATTGGAGAAAAGGTAGGGGATATTTTCAGAGGAAGACAGAGGGAAGGAGGAGCCCTAAGCTGAAGTCATAGATACTGCGAGAGACCAAGAAATCCAGGATCCTGGAATGCAATTAAGTCAAAAAAGCCCTACAGGGTCTGCATTCTCTGAAAGGAGGATTTTATGTATTCAAATTACACATTGTGATCTTCCAAAGGCTTTCGGAAGGGGATGTTAACTCCCTGAGTGTCCCTGAGTGGAAAGAGAGGTCACATTTTAAAGATGTTTTTCACTTTAATCCCCCTATTTTTGGTCTGACATCCAGTGGTGATTCCATTACCTTGTATTGAGGGGAACAAACAGACAAGCCTACATAAAATTGGAAATATTAGCTTCTCAAGATGGAGCATTTAAGGTAGGTTTTCAGTAAATATATGACTCACTGGACAGTGTTAATGCTAAGCTCGGTGGACACCACCACACAGAAGGTCCTGGGCTTGTGCAGCCCATACCCAGGGTTGGCGCTGGGGAGGACACAGGGGGTTCCAGCTCCAGCTGAGGAAAAAGAGACTGTTCTTTTGTTCTGTGAGTGATGCTGGGAAGGGCCTCTCCTGGCCCCGTGCCCTCCTTTGTGATCCTCTTCTGCACACTGATATAGATGGATGGAGACACCTTGTGTTTTTTCTTTCTGCCCCAAGAGACGCTTGGAGGTCATCTGAATGGTACAGGCTTCCCAGCCGTCCCGCCAAGCCTGCCAAGTGATTTTGAACTAATCTGTCTGAACGCACGGTGCTCATGTGCTGACGGGCTGATGTCTTAAGTGTTTCAGGAAACTCTGCCCTGCTTGGGAGGTCAAGGAGGCAACTGGGGCTGGAACAAAGAGAGTCTTGTTTGGTGGCTGGTGGCCTGGGTCTTGTTTCTTCTTTCATATGTGCTCCTAAAAGATCACATTCCGTGGGAAAAGTTTGCGGATAGAATTATACAGGATGCAGTTATAAAGATCTTTCTCCTATTTGCTTTCCGGGAGAAACAAGGTGATGAGGCAGTGGATTTCTTTGCTCCCCAAGTTCATGTTTGATCCTTTAGCTAAAATACACTTTCACTGTTCTTTCTCAGTTCCTGTACTTGGTTCTCCCACTCGCCTTCTCCGCCCACATCCTCTCTACCCATCCCTAAACTTAACCATTCTTCAAGATTTGGTGTCCCTCAAGCAAGCCATCCCATATTACCCATTTTATTACTGGAAATCTGGGACATTTCTAGTCTCTGAATTTCTATAGCTCTCGGCTGTTATCCCACTTCTTACTGCCCGAGGCAACTGTGCATTGTGTGTCTGGGCTGCGCATCTCATCTGCAAGGGTCAGTGTAGAAGCAGTGAAGACCTCTAAGGAGCACCTCACTCTCATACACACACAGAAACAGCACACACCACATTCCACCCCCCCCACATACATCGTAAACACACACACAGACATATGCACACCACGCACATATACACACAGACACACCACACACCACATACCATACACCCCCACATACATTGTACATGCACACAGACATATGCATACCACACACGTATACACACACAGACACGTCACACACAGACATACCATACACCACTACCACACCCCACATACATTGTACACACACACAGACATATGCACACCACATACATATACACACAGACACATCACACACAGATGCACCACACACCACGCCTCCCACATACATCATACACACGCACACACATACATTCACGACACACCATATACCACATACCCCCCATATACATGATACACACACAGACATATGCACACCAAACACATGTACACACACAGACACACCACACACCATAATATACACACAGACACACCACACACAATATATCACACTCCTTAAATACATCATACACACACACAAACATGTACACACCACACATATACCCACACAGACACACTACACACCACATACCACACACCCTTCCACATACATCAGACACATACAGACATATACATACCACAGACATACCTCACACCACACATGGCCCTCACATACATCATAAACACACACAGACATATATATCACACACATACAGACACACCACATAACATACTGCACACGCATACATCATACACACACAGACATATACACATCACACACATATGCACACACAGACACACCACACATCACATACCACCCCTCCACATACATCATACATATACACACAGATATATACACACCACATACAAACACACCACACACCACACACTATATACCACACATGACCCCTACATAACATCATAAACATACAGAGATGTACACATCACACACATCCATATAGACACGCATACCACACACTATATACCACACCCCCACATACATCATACACACACAGACATACCATATACCAGATACCACACATTGTATGGCATACCCCCTACATACACACACACAGACACACCACACACACAGAGACACCCCCCACATATACATGCACACATACAGGCAGAACCCACATATATCACACACACAACACACACGCATACACACACACACACACACACTCTGCATACATCATACAGACACAGACACCACATATCACACATATACAATACACACACGCCACAGAATGCCACACAGCCACACACATCACAAGCACCCCCACACTCGCCACACTTCCTACATTCACGCTATAGCACATACCTGCACACATTCCCTACGTCCATCTCACACACATATAACCCCCACATCACACATATATGTAATACTCCACATACATCACACGCCCCCACACACGCAGACGTAGCCCTCACACCCCACACGTATATCACACACAGACATATACTACACACATCACACATCCATATGCTCCCCTAACACTACACACACACACACACGTGCACACTCCACATGCCCCTACATCCTCCCCTGCGTACACACACCTGCAGATTGTTTCGGCAGGCCCAGTTTGCTGCACATAAAGCCCTTACCACTCTTGGGCATCTGAGCTGGATCAAGCAGCCCAGCTCCTAGGCCTGTGGTAGATGTGGGTATGCTTCTGTTCCTGTGGGGATGGGAGGCATTATTATGAGAACACTCACTTTTCTCACATTGATTTTAGGGTGAGGACTTCAGAGAGACACAAAGTAGAGAGTGTCCTAGATTCATCTCTCGTTCTGCCTTGGTTCTTGCCCTGACAAAGGCAAACAAAGAGATGTCAGCACTTGTATAAGCCAGGAATCAATGGGGAGATAAATCCATTGAAAGGGAAAGCATCTAGGAAAATAGATTTGAGTCAATTATAAATGATTTTTGGATTATCAATCGTTCTTCTCTGGCTGTGGGCTACTGAGGAGAAGCTAAAGGATTATCATGAATTATTAAAAAGCTCTGGAGGGCTTTGGTAGGGGAGGTCTTTTGATTGGCTGAGTGGAGTCATGACATTTGGCCAGATGGAAATGATGTTCTCACCATAGGTATTGTTTCTGCCAATGATCTCCATGGTTCAGAGCATGTGGAGGTCCATTGTCTAATTTGTTACACATTTATGATGGAATGTACAGTTTAAAAGTTATCAAGATTTGAGATTGTCAGTCATTTGGCACTGTTTTCTTTCCTAAGATATATATTAATTGTCAGGGATAGAAATGTGTTTCAGTCTCTTCAGGTGAAATAAACTGCAATAATTTCTTCGTGAAAACCTGCTGTGAGCTGAGTGATATAATACTAACATTTATTTTAGCCCTTCTCATGTCACTAAGCACTTTATATATCCTATTTAACTTGAATTCTACAATAATTCTATGTAATAAATACTAAATCTTGTAAGCAATGGAGAGAAATATACATGCACTGGCCATCCCTATCTTTAGGAAGTATGCAGTCAAACTAAAAAACAAGAGCAATACATCAAACTATTTAGATTCTTAATAGATAAGGGCATTCCAGAGGAGTATCCATTTTTCCGGATGAGAGAGCTTTGCTGGAGGCCAGACTGCCGGACGTGGTGGCTCATGCCTGTAATCCCAGCACTCTGGGAAGCCAAGGTGGGTGGATCACTTTGAGCTCAGGAGTTGGAGACCAGCCTTGGCAACACTGCGAAACCTCATCTCTACAAAAAATACAAAAAATTAGCCAGCTGCGGTGGTGCACACCTGTAGTTCCAGCTACTAGGGAAGCTGAGGATCACTTGAGCCTGGGAAGTGGAGGTTGCAGTCAGCTAAGACTGCACCACTGCACTGCAGCCTGGGCAACAGAGTGAGACCTTGTCTCAAAAAACAAAAACAAACAAACAAAAAATCTGGAAAATCTCTGGATGTGTTGTTGGCACTGATCACTTTAAACCTGCAGACTGTGTGTTTGTTCACTGATGGATTGTTGAACACATATGAGAACTTAAGTGCTTATTTGACGGTGGGCTTAGGCAAAGGCTCTCTGGAGCTTGTGTGTTGCTTTCAATACTTCTGGAAGTCTTCATTAGGAGTTGCTGTCAGATCCTAAGGCATCTTTTCTAAAATCTTCAGGGGTGGCAAATTCTGGACCTTAAAAATGGATTTGGTAATATCCAAATAGCAGAAGAATTTACCTATCCCTATCCCCACCCACTTAGGTGAAATGAGTAAAGTAGAAAAGCGGGGAAAGAAGAATATAAGACGATCTTAAACATGGATTTAGGTATTAGAAACAGCTAAAAATTATTTGGAACAATTTGGCCTGGGAACCACAGATTTTTAAAAGAAGTTGATGAAATGTATTTTCTTGATTGATCTGTTAAATGATACTGAAAGTGTTGCCAGAATAAGGTTCTTAGAAATTTTGGAAAATTTTGGAAATCAGTTCTAGAGGTGATTTCATTAAACAAGATTGCCTTACTTGGAACTCCAGGCTCAGGTCAGTTTGTAAATACTCAAAACCCAAACCCATATATTCTCGTTCCTTCTCCTGCTCCCTTTTCCTCCTCCTCCTCACCCCACACTAGCCACATAGACTCTGATTTTGTTTCCTTGAGTGGCAGCTGGAGGCAATAATGTGGGGCCTCAGAACTTGGCAGAACAAGTGCTCCCCTGCTGGATAAACAGGCCAACACAATGAGTTTTTCCACCAACTTCTGGTCTGTTGGCAAGTCAGGTAGATGCCCAAGGGAGCTGGCAGGCACACGTGGGTGCTTCCTGCTCCACCGGGTTCTGTCTGAGGAACCCAGAGATGGTTCTCCCTCTCTCTCATGTGTCTCCCAGCATGCTTTAACTGCCCGTGTTTGTATTTTCGCCCACTAGGGGAAGCTGCATGACCCCCAGCTCATGGGGATCATCCCACGAATTGCCCATGATATCTTTGACCATATCTACTCCATGGATGAGAACCTGGAGTTTCACATAAAGGTACGTATTACTGATTGGTCCCCAGAGAAGACACTGGGCCCCAGATAACGTTTCTTATACCTCCTCCTTTCAAGAAGATATAAAAGATGATCCTACTAATTTAAATGACATTCTTGTGGTAAGCAGAGCCCTCTTTATTAGTGACCTAGGCTAACAGGTGTCTGGAGGGTTTGCTTGAAATATCCACATAATGAAAGCAAAAGCCTTCTTTAGGAGGAAATCATCTTGATTGTTGCCCAAATTCTACCCTTTATCCTCTGGATTTCTGTGGGTATGACTGAAATGTGTTTGTGTTTGGGTTAGGGCAGCATTTTCCAAAGTGTGTTCTGTGGAACACAGTCCCTTGTGTTATTAATGGTGGGCTAGCAGGGAAAAGGGCTGTAAGGCCAAATGAGCTGGGAAAATGCTTTCTTGAACAGTGTTAAGTTTATCACAGGTTTCAATATGCTCTGCAAAGGGGACATGCATTAGATTACATTTCCCAGCTTATTTGAATGTAGACACATTTCTCCTCCTAAGAGTATCACAGACTTGTGTTTTGAGCAGAGTGTCACAGAGCAGAACTCTGAGAAATGTTGGGAAGAGGAATTCTCTTCCTTTTTATCTTCCCCCTTGTATTTTGTTTTTGTTTTAAACCAAAACTTGTTATATGACTTAAATTGGCATTAAAAGAGAGATTTCTACTCTCTTACTGTAGCTGTTAAATAATCAAATTTGATAGTAGGGTATATTCATTGGAACACCTCTTTTGCAAGTGGCTGAAAGGCACTTGTTTAAGCAAATAGAGGATATTGTTTATAAGATACAGAATCTGACAGTGGGCATTTTGTGGAGGATGAAGTGTGGAGGGCAGGAAATCTAAGCCCTGTTTTTCTTTTTAAACTTTTTAAACAATTGAGATATTGTTCACATACCGCAAAATTCATCCTTTTAAAGTGTATAGTTTGATGGTTTTTAATATATTCCCAAAAGTGTACAATGATGATCCTTATCCTAATTCTTGAGCATATCGTCACCTCCAAAAGAAACCCCAAACCTGTTACAGTCCCTGCTTTTCTGCCCCCTTGCTTGACTTCTTTCTCTTGTTCTGGAGCATCTTTCTCTCTTTTTGGTGGGAGAAGGGGTTGGCAACATGGCAGCTGCTGCTCCACCATTCCCTTATTTCCAACTCTAAATTCCCTTGGGCAGGGACTCATTGGCCCAGCCTACATAGGTGCCCCCCTTGCCCGATGAGCTGTGTCCAGGATGCACATGCTGTCTGGGGGCCCCCACTGTGGCTGGGGAGGGTGAAGGGGCAGTTCTAAGAAGCCTCGCTAAGCAGATCTGCTAAGAGATTTCCCTTCAGGCTGGGATCTTAGTGCACCAGGCCCATCTGTTCAGAGATGAGGAAACGGAAGTTTAAAGATGCAGGGTTAGGCTGGGCACAGTGGCTCAGACCTGTAATCCCAGCACTTTGGGAGGTTGAGGCGGGCAGATTGCCTGAGGTCAGGAGTTCACGACCAGCCTGGCCAACATGGTGAAACCCTGTCTCAACTAAAAAAAAAAAATACAAAAAAAGTAGCCAGGCATGGTGGTGTGTGCCTATAATCCCAGCTACTCAGGAGGCTGAGGCACGAGAATCACTTGAACCTGGGAGGCAGAGGTTGCAGTGAGCTGAGATCACTCCACCACACTCTAGCCTGGGCGACAGAGAGAGATTCTGTCTTAAAAAAAAAAAAAAAAAAAGACGCAGAGTTACAAGGCCCAACTTAAACACCAAGTTATTGATAAAACTAAGAATAGACCCTAGGTCTGACCAACCGCACATGCGATACCTTTTCAATTATATTAAACTTCTCCCCTTACTACTGTATACCTTTCGTAAATGACATAAAAAGAAGGCACCAACTGTTTGCCCAACTATAAATTACATCTAGCAAATCACTTTTCCTTAGGATTCCTTTTGTTGGCTAAAGCCTGCTTCTCCTTCTTGCCAAGGTTCTTTATATCTAAGGATACAGAAGCTTGTTGCTTTGATGGGATCAAGATTTAGAAGCTTAGTGCTTCTTTAGGGCTGTTTGCATTTAAATAGCTTAAACTACTGCAGGGTTCTTATGTGATAATCCTGGAATAAGATGTTAAACCAATTACTGCCCTCAAAATAGGGTCTTGTGTTAGAATCTTATTAAGATAAAAACAGCCCTAGCATGAAGTTAGGGGAGGAGAGGAACAACACTCTTAAGTCTCTAGGGCTGAATTTTACAGTCTGGATTTCTGTGTTGCATTTGTACTTATGCTTACTTGTTTTATAAATAATAAGTGGGCAAATTAGTTGCTGACTACTTTGTATTCTGAACCGGATAGTGAGAGGCTAAATCAAGAAAAAGAGGACTGACTAAGGCAATATCGAAAATCTGCTCCTTAAATGAGTCCCACAGAGGTTTTAAACTTTATTTCTGAACGTCCTATTTCTTAATGCCAAACAATGCCTATTTATTTTTCTTCCGCCTAGTCTCACAAAGTATTTTAAATGACAAAACAACAAAATCACCACCCTCGCACACACACCAAAAGCAGAAATTAATGAAATCAGAATCCTGTTTCTACTTACATTAAATGTGAATATGATTCTAATTGCCAGATTTGCCAGTATCTAGTTTGTGACTTTTTTTTAGATGTAATTAATTTTCTCTGTAATCTATGGAAATAAGGCCATATGTTTAAGATCTCAAAAATAATAGACAAGTCTTAATGAACATCAGACAATTCTGAAATAAATAGAATGCGCTGAACCAGGGTGGAGTTGGCTGCAGGAAGGACTGGGTTAGAGATGTCCAGGATTGGAGGTCAGACAGACCCATAAGGATGTGGGGAGTGTGGCAGCATGAAAGATTAGAGAAAGCTGTAGGCGTGAGTCTTTCAAATGTCACATAAGTGTGTCCATGAGAGATGGGCCTCAGGGACAGGGAAGTCTGACAGGTGTTCAAGTAGGCAGATGTTGCTAGGGATACAGGCAGCCAGGAGAGATGCCCAGCAGTGGATTCCAGGGCTCAAGCTAGGACCCCACATCTCAGAGTAGCTGGGATGGTTCCAGTCAGGTAGTTCCAGACCGAGGCACATTAAGGATAATGGATCAGGGCTGAGTCAGAGCTGGGACCAGTGCTGGGTTAGAGTCTTTGCTTCCCCTTGACTGGTCCAGAGCTGGGATGTAGGGATGAGGTTTTACCTGAGTAGTCACATCCCAGCTTTACAACTTTACAACTGTTTTCCTTTCTGCCCACTCCCTTGTTTAGATTTCAAAAGCACTTATGAACATAGGGCAGATAAGTTTATTGGGTAGGCAGACAGCAGATGTAAACAGAGTACAGAATCCTAGAGGGGGATTTTTGACATCGTAAAGCCCTATGGCTTCATGTGACAGATGGTACAATTGAGGCCTAGGGTCTTGGTTATGTGTGAATTGAGTCCCTAAGACCACATATTTAGTTAAAGCAGGTCTCAGACATCAGCCAGCATAAGAATCGCCTGGGCAACTGAGAACCAGATTCCTAGTTCCTTTTATCTGGGATTCGGATTCAGCAGGACTGTAGTAGGGTTCAGGGTTCTGCAGTTCAAACAGGTTCTTAGGTGATGCTGATGAAGGTGGTGCTGTGGCTGAGCCTTGAGACTAATGGGAAGGCCTCCTTTTCTTCTCACAGTCTAACCATCTTTTATCAAGTCCCATTTTGTTCAGATCTTTCCTGGATGCACCAGAGCTGGCCACCATTACCAGCTCTTGCTCAGTTACCTTTCTGAGCTCTTGTAGTTCTAAACACACTGCCCTTGCCCTCTCCTGGCTTCTTGCATGTGAACATTTGGGCTAAGTCTCCTTCATGATACTGTCAGTATCATGCAATAAGGTGAGGCCTACTGAGTGTTTTCTAAGCGTGCTTGGTGCTCATCTAACTTAAAGCCTAGAGTCCTCCTGTAAGTGTCTAGCACATGATGTTAAGAACACTTGAATGACAACCAAAGGGAGCTGTGATGTGTGTAGGTGGAGAGTGGTCCACACTTAGGGAAGCGTAGAGCAAGCGGGAAGTAGGGGAATCCCAGTAGAGCTGGCCAGATTTTAAGTCTTCACTTTGAACCCCTCTTCTTACTCTTCTTAGCCATGCATGATGAAAGCTTTCATAAGTACTAATAATGGCATTTTTGAAATACACTGCGGCATGTCTATTCCAAGCTCAATTTGTTTTTAACTAGGTTTCCTATTTTGAGATCTACTTGGACAAAATAAGGGACTTACTTGATGGTAAGTAACCTCAGTGCTTGTCCTTTATTTGTTCTGTAACGAAAGTCCGGGGAGGTTGAAATGGTTTATCACACTTCTGCTTAAGGAATTAATGAAAATTTATAGAGATACTCTGTTGCCTTCAGGGTATATGTTTATTCTCAGCCAAGGCTTAAACTTGCATATTGCAAAGAGATTAGATTTGACTGTCTTTGTAACAAACTTCCATTTTTCCTCCAATATAGAGTCTTTAACTTTTATTTTCTTCTTTGCCTGCTGTCATTCTCATCTTTTTAGTATCCAAGACCAACTTGGCTGTTCATGAAGATAAAAACAGAGTCCCGTATGTAAAGGTATGAGGAAGATTTGATTGGTGATGCAATTAATTTCTCTCCAGTCTCTGTCATAATAATTATTACATAAGATGTGCAGAATATTATCTGTAAAGAGCATATAGGCATTTATTCAGGCTCCTTATATTTAATATTCATCTGGTTTTAAAAATTGACATTTACTTTCTTCAATTGTATCTTTCCTTTATGACATTATTATTTAATATTGTTCACATTTAAAGAGATTTTGATATTGAGTGCAACTGTTTTTACTTTGCAGTAACGCCTATTATAGCATTATCTGTGGAACATCAAAGTAGCTAATATTGGTGGCCATGATCATAAATAAATAAAGATAGAAGGCAAAGCAAAACTTCATCCATTTCTTCTTCTCTCATTGATTTTCTTCTTTGATTTTCTGTCTTCTTAAAGTGTTGCTGTTCAGTATGAATATGTACTCAAAAACCTAGGAAAATTTGACAGTTCTTTTTTTGGTTTACGTCTATATTTCCTAGGGCTTGCTCAGACTTCTCTTTAATGTAGAATTCAAGCCCTGGGCAAGGAGGAAAAGTTGTTGGATCGATATTTCAGCCTTTCTATTTATCTGCACCTCTAGAAGATAAACAGGAAAATGTTTCAGCCTTTCAAAATATTGTTGCTTTTCAACTCTTTCAGTGGTGAACCTGAACTGATTCTCTTCCAGGGGTGCACTGAGCGGTTTGTGTCGAGCCCTGAGGAAGTCATGGATGTAATAGATGAAGGCAAAGCAAACCGACACGTGGCTGTGACAAGTAAGCATGGTGGGGGTGTTTCCTCCCCTGCAGCTTGGGAGACAGATATCTGCCCACCAACCGAGGGGGGTGGGGAATTAGGTACAAATGAAAGAATGCATGGGAAGGTGATTAAAGAGCAGTGCTCGGACACAGACGCCAGGGTATGTGTGCTATGAGTATGTCTAGGCAGTCATGGGAAAGGGTGCCTTCTGCTGTCCACAGGACTCTGAGGTCTTGGAGATATTGGGTGAGACTTACTGGACCCTGATAACAGCCTAAGCCTGAACATTAGGAAAAATAAACAACCAGCCAACCAAAGGGAGGGAAAGAGTAAGCTCATCAGTTTATTTATTTTGATCATGTTATTGTTCAGGTTAAAAAAAAGTTCCAAACCAACAAATTCTATAATATGTTGCAGTCACACACATGGAAATAAACCATGTTGGATTTCTGCCTTCTGTAAAAAAGAAAAAGAAAGGGAAGAAGGAAGTCAGAAAGCAGAGCCAGGAGCTTTAGGGAAAGCCTTCCGATATGTTACTAGCAGACACATTCAGATCGGCTCATTGGCTCTGCAGTTCCTTCCTCAGTATGTTCATTGCATCTCAGGGAAGCAGTGCATATGGGATTTGGGCAGCAGAGGATCCGTGAAAAAAGACAGTTGTCTATCTTATTAAGAGGGATGTGGACAAATGACAGTGAGTTCATATGAACAGAAGCTGAGAGAACTAAGGGTTTATAGCTTGCATGAGGGAAAAAAATCTGGAGGAGGGTGTGTGGACAATGTAATATATCTTACCGTGTTGAAGGTGCTGACACTAAGAAAGAGGGTCAGCTTGTTCTGTTCCATCTCAATACTTAGAATACCCATGATTGTTGGAGCTCTAGGGAGGCAGATTTCGACCCCTGTGAGGAGAACTCTCCAACCCTTATAGCTGCCCCAAGTGCTGCCTGCTACCTAGAGAGGTAGTGAGTTCACTGTTATGTTGTAAAAGAGATTCAGGCATTGGTTTCCTGACTGGTCTAGGCTCTTTAAGTCTCTTCTACCCAAGACTCTCTGATTCTGTGGTCCAGAACTGTAATTCTCAACATTTTCTCTATCTGAGCAATGTATCAGATGATATTCATGTATATAGCAACTTTCATAGGTGAGCCTATTCCTGGATGAAATGTTGGTCAAGCTCCACTTCTTTTTCTCTTGCTTAAAACATGCACACATACCTGAAAGAATGTAAGACAGATATTCTTATAGTAGTAGCATCTCTCATTTACGTTATTCACTCTGTTTCTGAAGCTGTTTTTAATCACAAATTATTTATGGCATACCTGATAATCCATTTTGATGCCTTGGTTTGGAACTGCTAATCTAAAAAAAAATTGCTATTATTCTTATCATTCTGGTAAGGTTTTTCTTTATTATTGCAATAAAATATACTTAATATGAAATTTGCCATCTTAACCATTTTAAAGTGTGCATTTATGTGATGTTAAGTACCTTCACAATGTGTGCAATGTCACCACCTTCCATCTCTAGAACTTTATCTTCTCCAACCAAAACTCTGTACCCAATAAACACCAATTCTTTATTCTCCTCTTGCTCAACCTACTTTATCTCTATGAATTTGACTGCTCTAGGTACCTCATGTAAGTGGAATCATAAAGTGTTTGTCCTTTTGTGACTTATTTCACTTAGCATAATGTCTTCAAGTTTCATCCATGTGGTAGCAAGTGTCCTTCCTTTTTAAGGCTGAACAATATTCCATTGTATGTATATACAACATTTAAAAAATTCGTTTAACCATTAATGGACGCTTGGGTGGCTTCCACATTTTGGCAGTTGTGAATAATGCTGTTATGAACATAGGTGTGCAAACATCTATTTGAGTCCTTGATTTCAATTCTTTTGAGTATATATGCAGAAGTGGAATTTTCGGATCTCATGGTAATTCTACTTTCAATTTCTTGAGGAACCGCTACTATTTGCTATTATTACGATTTTCTATAGCAGCTGTACCATTTTCTATTCCTAACAGCAGTACATCAGAGTTTCCATTTCTCTATATCCTTGCCACTTGTTATTGTTATTATTTTTATAATAGCCATCCAAATGGTGTGAAGTGCTGTTTCATTGTGGTTTTGATTTGCATTTCCCTAATGATTAGTGATGTTCAGCATCTTTTCATGTGCTTATAGGCCATTTGTATATCTTCTTTGAGGAATGTCTATTCAAGGTCTGTATTTATTTTTTAATCAGGTTAATTTGTTGTTGTTGACTTGGAGTTCTCTATGTATTCTGGACATCAATCCCTTATTAGATATATGATTTATAAAATTTTCTTCTATTCCATGGATTGCTTTTTTACACTATTGATAGTGTCTTTTGATATAAAAGTTTTTAATTTTGATGAAGTGTCTATTTTTATTTTGTTGCTTGTGCTTTGGGTGTCATATCCAAGAAATTATTGCCAAGTCCAATGTCATGAAGCTTTTCTCCTGTGTTTTCTTCTAAGAGTTTTATAGTTTTAGTTTTTATATGTAGGTATTTGATCCTTTTGGAGTAAATTTTTGCATGTACTCTAAGGTAAGGGCCCAACATTAATATATTTTTTGCATGTAGCTATCCAGTTTTTCCAACACTATTTGTTGAAAAGACTGTTCTTTCCACATTAAATGGTCTTGACACTCTTGTTGAAAATTATTCAACCATATATGTGAGGATTTATTTCTGGGCCCTTTATTCTCTTCTGTTGATTTATATGTCTGTCTTTATGTCAATACCACACTGTTTTGATTCCTGTAGCTTTGTAGTAACTTTTATTTTTTATTTTTCCATAGGCTATTGGGGTACAGGTGGTATTTGGTTACATGAGTAAGTTCTTTAGTGCTAATTTGTGAGGTTTTGGTGCACCTATCACCCGAACTGTATGCACTGCACCCTATTTGTAGTCTCTTATCCCTCACCCTACTCCCACCCTTCCCCTCAAGTCCCCAAAGTCCATTATATTGTTGAAGTGTGAGACCTTCAACTCTGTTCTTATTTTTCAAGATTGTTTAGGCTATTTGGTATCCCTTGAGATTTCATATAAATTTTAGGATGGATTTTTCTGCTTCTATAAAATATGTCATTGAAATTTTGATAGAGATTGCCATGAATCTGTAGATTGCTTTGGGTAATACTGACAGCTTAATGATATTAAGTCTTTCAATCAATCCCTTTATTTGTGTCTTCTTTCATATCTTTCAGTCATGTTTTGTAGTTTCCAGTGTACAAGTCTTTCTCTTCTTTGGTTAAGTTTATTCCTAAGTAGTTTATTCTTTTTTTGCTATTATAAATAAGGTTGTTTTCTTAATTTTTTGGGTTGTTCATTGTTAGTATATAGAAATGCAACTGATTTTTTACATGTTGATTTTGTATCCTACAGCTTTGCTGAATTAATTATTAGTTCTAACAGTTTTTTAAAAATGAATCTTTAGGGCTTTTTACATATAATCTGGTAAGATGGTTTTGAGAAATGATTGCTGGTGAAGGCTGAATGGGATGGTTGCTGGGGTCTCTGTCTGCTTGGCAGACAAAGACGAGGATTTGCAAGGATTTTTATTTCCAGTACCCCATCTTAATGAAGCATATTTAATTTTTGAAACCTTCTTTGCTGTTAGCATAGGTTGTAGAAGTGTATGTCTTAATCCTTCCTTAGGAAAGTCTTAATCCTTGCTTAAGAAAGCTTATGATATTACTGATAAGGCAAGGCTTATGCACATGACTAAGATAGACTACATCATGTATTAATCATGATGAAGTCTGAGGAATTTAAAGTGAGGCAGGGGAGGAGGTAGTGAATTCTTCAAGGGGAAAGTCATGCTGGAGTAGGAATTTAGAGGATGGGGCTTCAGGTAGAGCTAGAAAATCTGATATCTTAAACTGTTGACTAAGATTTTTAGATTAACTTCTTTGCTCCTTGAAGACATTTAAAATCTTGTATTTCTAGAATGAGCATTGTTTTTCAGAAGAAACAGGGGTCTCAGATAATTTTTAGAATTGACTGGACTTACTTCAATGAAATGGATCTATTAGGCATGACTTGTTATGCTTTTTAAATGAGAGGATTGCTACCTAAACCTACATGTTCTTTGTAGAGCAGTAAACTATTTTCCTTTTCAGACATGAATGAACACAGCTCTAGAAGTCACAGTATCTTCCTGATAAATATTAAACAAGAGAATGTAGAGACTGAAAAAAAACTCAGTGGGAAACTTTATTTGGTTGATTTGGCTGGGAGCGAAAAGGTAATTTGTTCTTTATTTGTATTATCTATAATTTTCCCCTTTTATTTGCTTCATTGTGCAATGGTATAATTTTTATGCTTTTCTATTTTCCTGCTTTAAAGAGCTTTTAAAGTTTCTGAGGCTCTGCCAAGGTGTTATTACATTTAACCCTTTGTCCCTGCTTTCTTTTCTGGTCCTGAGGTCTCCTATTGGTGTCACAGGCAGGTGCTTTGCATGCCAACTCTGATTTATCCCTGATGGGCCCTTATGATGATATGAGGCAACAGTTGGTTTGACTTAGCCTGTGGCAGAGGCAGCTGCACACATGTGGGAGGGATATGAACTTCTGAGAAAAGAGAAAATCCCATGTTGTACCCGACTCTAATAGGCCAGGAACGAGCTTTGCCATTGGAATGTGGCAGTCCTGCCTCTGCAGGTTTGTTTTGCTGATAGAAGGTCTGGAACCTGGGGCGCTCCCTGCATTCCCTGGTTCTCCCAGCAGTAGGCATGGGCTGACGGTGTCCCATGTGGAAGGCCTTGGCTCTCTCATGAAGTGTGGCCTGTAATCAGCCTCAGCGGCAAGCCTTTACTGTTCTCTGGTTTTGTCCGGATTCTCTTTTGTCGTCTACACCCTGACCCATGCCCTCCCAGGCCCTGGCTGGGGCTGTACTCCAGAGCAATAGGCTTCCCAGAATCTCCAGTCTCACTTCCATAGCACCAGTGGAGGCTTCTGCTGCCACACCCTGTCTGGAGGCACTGACCTCCCTCGAGCAACATCATAGAGCAAGGCCATGTGCACAATGCCCTCTGGCCTCCATCATCACTGACATCATGCTGATTGTCCCCATGAAGGCCAGCCTTGAAGCTTGGTCAGTCTCCCTAACTGTATGATTGATCCCCACTTATTGCACTACATCACTGAGTTCCCGTATGCCAAGTTATGGCCACTTACATCCACGTGAGTAATGGTTACTTGGATTGTCCTCTAGTATGCATTTGTAAAACCTGAGCAGAAAGTCATCCGGGTATTTCTAGTTGGGAATCTAAAATTTTACTAGTATGGGGCCGGGTGCAGTGGCTCACGCCTGTAATCCCAGCACTTTGGGAGGCCGAGGTGGGCGGATCATGAGGTCAGGAGATCGAGACCATCCTGGCTAACATGGTGAAACCGTGTCTCAACTAAAAATTAAAAAAAAAAAAAAAAATTAGCCAGGCATGGTGGCGGGCACCTGTAGTCCCAGCTACTCGGGAGGCTGAGGCAGGAGAATGGCGTGAACCCGGGAGGCGGAGCTTGCAGTGAGCCGAGATCGTGCCACTGCACTCCAGCCTGGGTGACAGAGGGAGACTCTGTCTCAAAAAAAAAAAAAAAAATTTACTAGTACGGGCTTGTAACTTTAGTTAAACAGACGTACAACAGATGGAAATAATGGAGGATTATTGTTATTTAGAGCCTAAATACACCTGAAAACTGCTTAATACTGACAGACTGGAGTGGAGGCCTGCCTCTGCACAGTGTCAGTGGTTATTGCTAATGATATTTATGAGGTGTTTGAAATCATGTCCTTCACGTAGTTTCTTTTGCTCACACACACCTGTTTTCCTTTGCCCTAGATGTGTCCATATGACTGTGTCAGTGTGATCTTGTAGAAAAGAACTCTGGGCTTTAGTTCCCGTCTCCCCTGAATGGTGTTCTTCCCTTAGGCTGGCAGTTTGACATTTCTGGGGCTCAGTTTCCTGTCTGTCGAAGGAGGGTGATAGATGGTACCTGCCTTGTATATTTCATGGAGTTAAGATGCTCAAATAAGAAAGCATCTTAAAATAACAGTGCTTAAAATAACATAGACTGCTACTATTTGTGACCCATCAGCTACATGATTTCTCTATGTGTAAGCAGGGGTACCACACAAACAAGTCCAAGGGAGTTGAGAATCTATTCTATTTGGAAAGAAACCTCCCCCTGGACATGAATTCATTTCTGTCATCAGGAGTTTCTCCTTTATATGTGATTCGAATTTGCGTAGTTGAACATTGCTTCCCCACTTCCTTTCTTGAGAGAGCAGCTGCTCCCCCTGCATCGTTTGTCCAGTCAGCAGAGACATGAATCATGTTGAGTTCCCTTTTTTCTAGCATCTGTAAACTGCCCTCTACCTAGAATAAATGCTGTCAAGATGAAATTACCAGCAATAACGCAGCAAAGGAGAAACTATGCATGGTCCCTCTGGCTGCAGAGGAAAAAAGACAAATTTACGATGCAGTATACATTTGACTTTTCATTTCTCTCCCAAGTTTTTTGCTTTTTGGATATTTTTCATTTTTTCCTTGCTATGAGAATAAGTAGGGAAGGAACGGACTCTAGATAACCAACCCTACCGCCTCTAGTCATCTGCCTGAACTTGGAGCCCGTAACTTACATTTTTCCAATATGCCCATTCATTGTGGCTCAGGACAATATTTTCTCTTCATGCTTCCCTCTGGGCTCCCTTCGGCATGGGGACTGCGGCTCAGTCTCCCAGGGCCCGAGCTACCCATGGTGACAGCACTTCTGGAGCCTGGTTTCCCTGGATGGATGGCCCCTGGGGAAGCATCTGCAGCTCCACCATTTGAGGTATTTCAGCTATTCCACTAAAACCCAATTGAGAGGAAAATGATGGCAGGAGAGACCAAATCCCCAGCCTCATACACGAAGGATGGTTTTTTATCACTGTGGGTCTTCTCTACTTTTATTTTTCCTTGCTTTCCAGGAGGCTGTCCCCCTTTGCCCTCGTGTGAATTTGAAATTTCTACTTTGTGCTTCTGCCGTCCTGTGCTGCTCACTGCTTTCTTTTCTCTCTGGTAGGTCAGCAAAACTGGTGCCGAGGGAGCTGTTCTTGACGAAGCTAAAAATATCAATAAGTCTTTGTCTGCTCTTGGAAATGTGATCTCTGCTTTGGCAGAAGGGACAGTAAGTGATCCTGCCCCCATCTATTAAGTAATATTATGAGAAACCACCTTTTGGGGCCTCATAGTCCCTTTGCCACACACCCCAAAGGCTGGTTTGTTTTTCTGTTTGGAAGAGGACAGAGGGAATCCTGGCTATGGATGCCTGCTTGCTGGGAGTTCCCATCTACTAAAAAGTATGAATGGTGATGCTAATTTCCTATGACATAGGTCAAAGAATGGGCATTCTAAACTTTGGCAAGATCCAAAGACCCAGCCACAAATTCTTGTTTTACTCGGTTTCTAAGCTCAGTGTCTTCATCCCTGACTTGCTTGCCTCTGTGTTTTTCTCAGAATGGGCTGTCAAAACCAATACTTTTTCTTTTCCTAAATAGAAAACACATGTGCCATACCGGGACAGCAAGATGACTCGGATTCTTCAGGACTCTTTGGGTGGGAACTGCAGAACCACCATCGTCATTTGCTGTTCTCCTTCTGTCTTCAATGAGGCTGAGACCAAGTCCACACTGATGTTCGGACAGAGGTACGTGTGGTCTCTCAGGACCCATCCTCTGTGCTAGGTCTTGGGTCTTAAGAGTGAATGGCAAGGCTGGGTGCAATGGCTCACACCTGTAATCCCAGCACTTTGGGAGGCCAAGGCGGGTGGATTGCCTGAGGTCAGGAGTTTGAGACCAGCCTGGCCCACATGGTGAAACCCTGTCTCTACTAAAAATACAAAAATTAGCCGGCCGTGGTGGCATGCGCCTGTGGTCCCAGCTACTTGGGAGGCTGAGTCAGGAGAATTGCTTGAACTCAGGAGGTGGAGGTTGCAGTGAGCCAAGATCATACCACTGCACTCCAGCCTGGGCGACAGAGCGAGACTGTCTCAAAAAAAAAAAAAAAGAATAGTGAGTGGCAAGGGGCTATTGTCAGAGAATCACAAAGTAAGGGACAAACAGCCTTTTACTAAATTACATCTAGCAGGTGATATGTAAACTTGAGGCATCACTTATTGAAGCCAAAGCAATAATTATATTTTAAAATAATGGGCAAGAACATGCCAGTCAAATGTATGGTGTTTAAAACAAAACGGAACAACCAAACTCATTTCAGATGTGAATTGGAAATGCATTGGGGTGTTACTTTTGTTCTTCATGGCACTGGAGTCTACCTTTTAGGTTCATATTATTTCAAGTGTGTAAATCTCAAGATTGATAACTGCCTTTAGCTCCGGTATTTGCGATCCATTGCACAGTTGCTGATAAAACACCCAGAAAATTAGGTGAATGCAGAAGAGAGGTATAAAAGGAAAAGAAGGGGAAGGAATCTTTACCAGCACTGGAGGTAGGAGGTCTGGACTGTATGCTGAGAAGAGATGCAGATGACAGCTTCCTACTTTTAAAAATTCCCACATGAGACTTCCTAGATCCCTGGGAGGTGTCCATAGGTGGGCAGCAGGTACGACTCCATAATCGTAAAGCAAGAGTTACATGTGTGGTTTGGTTCATATCTTTTTTTCTTGTCACTTTCTTTTTTACCTACCCCCTCCCACTGTCCAAGGCCTGACCTCCTTCAGGCATGTTTCCTCAGTTCCAGTGTTTAGGTTCTATCCTTCAGCCCTCGTGCCTCAGTGTTCATTCCCAGAGTGCTTGCGGTTCTGTGGATTGGGCGATCTGAACATCTTCAGTGCTCAGCGAGCTCTGATGTTGGATGAGGGCTCAGAGGGCTGAGGTTGGATGTGGATTCTGCTGCCTTCGGTTTGTTTAATTCTGAACAATCATGTGATCTTTAGACAAGTCACCAGTGCTCTGTGGGCTTTAACTAGCTCATTTGTACATGGATGCACAGAGCACTTCCCTGCCTTCTCCCTGGGAGTGTGTGTTGTGTGGTTATGCCTAAGGAATAGTTTAAGATGAGAGAAAGGACAGATGGGGGTGGGCATTCTGTCTGGGAAATTGTTATGGCTTGTTTAAACTGCATTAAGCCCCAGTCATTTCCTGAGCCCTCAACAGAACATAGAATTACACAGCCGTGGCACCTGTGGGATGTCTAAATAAATAATAATTATATTGAAATGTTGTAGACCTAATATATCTTTTAAACTGGATTTGGGTCCTTTACTTCCTCCCAAATCGCTTCCTTGATTAGTTAAATGCTTAGGCCAAGGGGGTTGCAGTAGGATAACACCTACTTTCCTCAAGGGTCTCAGAAACCCACAAACCAGCATCTGCTTATGGAAAACAAGATCGCATCCTGCCCAGTGTCTTAAACTTGAGCTTTAACAATTTCCTCTGAAGACATGTTTGAGCAAACCAGCTCTAAGTGCATTTATAAAGGAAACATCTCTTCAAAAAAAATCCTTACCAGCAAAGCAAAAATATTCTGGCTCTTCTCAAGCCAGAGTCACCGTGGGGCATTGGCTATCTTTGCAAGGCCCAGTCACCTTGGGGCATTGCTGTTATCAGGAGGTATTTGCAGCTGTCTACAGGAAGCATTTTGAATATCAGTTAGTGTCTAATATATGTCAGGTGTGTCAAAATTATAGCACTTCTGACAGCAATTATCTCACCTTTGTACAGGGTATGAAATCAAGGCTTAGGTGCAAAGCCATTGGATACCATACCTGAGACCACACAGCCAGTAAGTGACTAAACATGTAGGATGTCCTAGGATGCAGTGTCTGAGCACAGCCCTTTGGGTCAGTAAGCCCAGTGTTGAAGCTAATTCTGCTATTGACCCATTCTCTTGTTTACCTCTCCCCTCTGAGCCCCAGTCTTCTCTCCCACAGAGAGATATATAATAATGCCTACTTTCAAGAATATTGGGAGGATTATATGAGTTGCTTCAGTTTTTACCTAGCACAAGGGCTGGCATGAGTCCAGGTAAAAAAGTCCGTGACCGATGGCAGGCTATCGGTGATTGCAAGTTCTGCTTTTCCTTCGTCTTAAATAATCTCACAGTATTGCGGCTTGAAAAGGTCATAGTAGTAGATGGGACTAGACTGAATATAATGCACTGTAAGGGACAGCACTGTCATATAAGGGAGAGGATTAAATAAAGTAGAATTAGAATTACATTTTGGGAATGAACAAATAAAAAATGCTGCAGGTAATTTGGGCTTCCAGGAAGTAAAAAGTAATATAAATTATGTTTTCAAATGAAATAGGTCGGTCTACATTCTTTTATCAGAGTCATCTAGATTCTGCTCTCTGTGACAGCAGGGACTGAGTTTGTCACAGACATTAGTTTCTCATCAACCACTGCACAACTAGTTCACAGTAGGTGGTCAATAAATAAATGCTTATCAAATGAATGAACAGATGAATCTAAAGCTTATTGTGTAAGGTTACTTGGAAAGTTAGGGCAGTTGCTGAACATTGATGCCATTACGTCCAGAAGTTTGGTTGGGTTTGGATCTGGTTTGCTTTCCAAACTATTATTGGAAATGTGTGAGGTTTCGTTCCTTTCCCTTTATCCCCAAGTTAGTTAATGGATTATTTAAGGATGCTGAGCTATTCTATGGGGCCAATACCTGCTGTATTGTTAAATATACTCATTGAACCCAATTATACAGCAGACACAAGACTGAACATCGGATTAGACATGGTATGTGATAGCTAATGAGATTAAGCACTTTGAACTCAGAAAAGACTGCCGGGCACATCCCAAATTCATTGTAATGAGTGTTCATTATATTCTTACTGCAGAGGTGGCCAAACCTTAGGGCAGCATGAGGTTCCTCCGTTATTCCTTTGTGGTTCTTTCAAGGACGTGAAGAGAGTACACGTTTGTTCTGCTTGACTGTACTGATGTTCTGAATAACACAGTGTAGTATGTGTTTCGAAGCAGTTCAATCTGCAGATCCCTGAAGGCACTCTACCAAGAGTCCTGTTAGCATTCTTCAGGATTATAGGTTAGATACTGGAATTTAAAGGGAAAAATTTACCATGTCTATTTCTATTTTTGTTTTTTAAATTATACTTTTAAGTTCTGGGATACATGGGCAGAACATGCAGGTTTGTTATATAGGTATACATGTGCTATGGTGGTTTGCTGCACCCATCAACCCGTCACCTACATTAGGTATTTCTCCTAATGCTATCCCTCCCCTAGCCCCCCACCCCCCGACAGGCCCCGATATGTGATCCATCCATGTGTTCTCATTGTTTAACTCCCACTTATGAGTGAGAACATGCGGTGTTTGGTTTTCTGTTCCTGTGTTAGTTTACTGAGAATGATGGTTTCCAGCATTCTGGTTCTTCCATTCAGTCGGGGTTGTTTCCTTTAGTTTCCTGAATGCCCAGCATCGTGCCATTAAAGAAGTAAGTGCTGTCTCCTGTGTTCTCAAAGAGCTTTTAATCTAGCTGAGGAGGCAGCACTTGAATTACGAGGCAGTAGAAAGTCAAAAAGCCAGACTCAAATTAGAGCACTTTTATTGATTCTTTTCTTCTGGCTTCCAGAATTCTATTTTGTAGTCTTTAATTACTCTTCTCAACTACTTTTACAGCGCTATTTGAAAAAGATATTTATGTTTTAGAAGTGTGAACTCAAATCACCCAATTGTGTTGGAAGCCTATTTAATGTACCTTGATTTGGGGTGGTAATAAAGGGAAAGAGGCCCTCTGAGGGGGCAGACCAATGTGGTTAGGAAGACCTGAATCGGCACATCTTTGGCACTGGGAGTTTTGATTGATCCAGCATGAATAATTTGAGGCTTTGTTTGTATGTTGAATGTGGAAGGAGAATTGATATCTTAGGGAAAGTAATAATCTTTTTTCTTTTCCTGATGTGCACTTAAAAAAGTCGTGTCATCATTTTAATTGTGTCATCTGCCAGTTTAGTGGTAGCTAGATTAGGCAGAGCCTGAATAGTGTGCATATGAAATTTATGTCACCAGAACATGAGAACACATTACCTACGAGAGTAGAATGAGCATTTTGGCCAAGGCAGACACTTGGCTACACTTTGACATGAAAGAAAAAAAGGCTTAAATCATTCCTGTTGGGGGGCCTGTTGCTGAAACACCAGTAGGGTTAATTTTTGCCCTTGGAGGGAAGAAATACTGTGGGTGACATACATTTAACTAGATGCCAAGTCCTTATCCATGTCATTTCTGAATGTTTCTCAGGAGACTAGAACTTTTTAAAGACACAAAATTTTCATTTCTCCCTCCTGCCCTCCCTCCTTCCCTCACAAGCAGGGAAATGGCCTCACCAGAAGCTGGGAAGGTGCTTTGGAGCAGTGGTCCTTTCAGAAGAAGGTTTGGGTGTTTTAGATGGGAACTAGGTCTCAGAGCAGATTGGAAGGTTAGTTTCTGATTAGTTTTATATGTCAGCTTGGCTAGGCCATAGTGCCCAGTTACTTAATCAAATACAAATCGAGGCGTTGCTGTGAAGGTACTTTGTAGAATATGCTTAGCACTTACAATCAGCTGACTTTAAGCAAGGCAGATTACTCTCAATAATAAGGGCGAGCATCATCCACTCAGTTAAAGGCCTTAAGAGCTAAAATGGAGGTTTCATGGAGAAGACAAAAATTGTGCTTCAGGATGGTAACATCAACTCCAGCCTCAGTTTGCAGCTGTCAGCCTGCCTTATGGCTTTCAAACTTGCCAGCCCCCATAGTCATGTGAGTCAGTTTCTTAAGTAAATAAAAGAGTGAGGTATATCATATATATGTATGTATGTATATATAGTAGGATTTTATATATACAATAGGATATATAATATATTATCTATATTTATCTATCATCTGTCTTTATCTTTCTCCTATTGGTTCTGTTTCTCTGGAGAGCTCTGATAGTGAAGAATGCTATACTCTCTATCCTCTCCTGCTCCCACAGTGGGAGAATCTCCGTTTCTGTCTCTCACACACCATTCACAGTGCAGAATCACACATGACAGATTTATTCTGTGTGCTGAAGGTGTGAGGTTGTCTAGAGCTCCTTATTCAAATGCCAGCACTATCCTGAACACCTGGTGAGAAAAGAAGGATGCTGAAATAAAAGGTATGAAGGTACCAAGAACAAATATCTTTGTGGTTATTCCAGGGAAGCCAAAGTAAACAGAAGAAACGCCAAAGGTAGGCACTCCTCGTGTCATTTAGAACTGACTGTGGCCAGGAAATATGAGTGTAGGAAACCACTGGGAAAGCAGGTGGGGATGAGACTCATCAGAATGCAGTGGTTCTAGGTCTTCTCCCCACTCAAGGAGGGCTTCGTTCAAGTGCCAACTTACGAGGGTGCCTTCAGTGTCATCACATGTGGGTGCTTAACCTCGGTGGTGGAGATGGGTAGCATCAGCAGTCTTGGAAGCTGGCCATGTGCTTCTGAAATGTAAACTGCAAATTCAGTGATGGAAGGATTGAGTGGTGCTGGGAAGAAAATAACAGAATGCTCGACAATGGGGAGGTAGTTTCCTCTTTCCATTCTTTAGTAGAATATATCTAAGAGAATCTTTACTGACTTAACTGTCTCTGTAGCAGTATCTAGATGGAAGATGTACTGTGGCCTCTGATCTTTGTCCACTAGGCTTGGTCTGCCTTTCCTAAGGGTGGTTAACATTCATTAGCTTTGAGGTCTTTAAAAAATTTGGTCCTGGTTCCCTCCCTGTGGGGAGAAGAGATTTTATACCTGGGGCATGCCTAGATCATATATCATTAAAGTAGTGCTTGACTTGAAGCAAGCCAAAACAAGGAAAAGATGCAAAACAGATTCCCTGATAATGGCATCCTCACAATTTGACTCAGTTTTAAAAGCAGGTCTTGCTGTTAGGGTATAAACTTAGGACTGAATTAAAGTTCTTTCCCAGAGTAGCCTTTGGTTAGGATTTTGCTCAGTTCCTGCTGCGGTTATAACTTGTGGAATAGACATTGATATCTGTATATACATTGAGGGCTCTGATTGAAAACCCTGAGAGTTTTTAGAAATGAAGAACCCACTTTTGTATTTCTTTGTGAATGATCAGGCCACTTTGGATTAATCAAATAGTATCACAGCCAGTTTCACCTTTAAAGAGGATGAGTGAGCAGTCAGTAAGTGGCTAGAATAAGGCTTCTATGGGTCATTGACTTGTTTCTCTATATCAAAGAGATAATGTCCTGGAACCATAAGGCTGGTTGGTATCACAATTGCTGTATATAGCTTCTGCTAGACAAAATCACAAAACCTGCCTTAAGAGCACTTCTTAATTTCTGCTGTCTTCTTGATTTTGTGTCTCCCTGTAAGCTACCTGAAGTTCTTTTGGAAACAAGGCTGAACAATAAATGCACACGTGTGGGCCTGTGCCCAAGTTCCGGATCATGTTCACTGGCAGCCTCACGCCCTAGATCCAAACCACAACAAGACAGCAGAACACTGTGTAACCGCATTGATGGCAACTAGCTAGATATTAACAAAGGAGGAAACTGATTTTTTTTTCTTTTTTTCCTCTGAAATCAGTTAAAGCTAATTAAGGGAAAGTGAATTTTGAATGTCCAAATAGAAAGAAGCTAGTGATCATTAGGCTCCTTCATTCTCTAAATTTGCCAAAGTTGATGGTAAAAAGAAAAAGAAATTGTAGATATTCTATATCCTTTTACTCTTAGTCTCTTGGGAGAATGAGAGACTGAGACCCTCTTTATTTCACTTTGCAAGATTGTTTTTAACATCCTAGATAGGAGAATGTTTGTTCTAGTAAAAAAAAAAAAAAAAAAAAAAAAACAATAAACCTCAGGGCACAAAAATTCAGTATCTCTCTTAGTAACCCTAGTTTATTCTGCATCTGGAAATTCTTGTATCTGACTTGATTTCTTTCTCCATCAGTTTGTTTTTCTTAACTCAATTTTTATTGAATATAATATAGTAAAATACATAAACTTAAGTGCATAACTAATTTTTTTTTATAAATATATATACACATGTGACCACCACCCAGGATCTTGGAAGCCTCTCTCTTTGACCCTCTCAGTCAACACCGAACTCTCAAGGGTAATTGTCACCCTAACTTCCATCAACATAGATTGTTATTGCCTGTCTTTGAATTATTTGAAAATGAAATCACCCAGTACTGTTTTGTATCTGGCTTCTTTCATACAGCGTTTTATCTGTGAACTTCATCTACATTGTTAGGTGTAGTAGTAGTTCATTTTTCACAGTTATATAGTATTCTATTGTATGAATATGGCTTATAGGTATCCATTCTATTGTTGATGGATATTTGGATTATTTTCATGTTGGGGTGATTATAAATAAAGTTACTATGACATTGGTTGTCATGCCTTTGGGTGAATATATGTCCTCATTTCTGTTAGGTGGGAGCAGGTCATAAGGTGTGAAATATTCTACTTTAGTAGATACTACTAAAGATTTTTCCAAAACGACAGTAATAATTCACACTCTCTCCAGTAGTAGTTGACTGTTATAGTCATTGCTCATTCTCAGCAACAGTTGGCATTATCAGTTTTAAATTTTTTAGCCATTCTATTGGGTGTGGGAAGGTATCTCATTGTAGTTTTAATTTGCATTCCCTGAAGGCTAATGATGTTAAACACCTTTTCAGGAGGTGTTTTATTGGCACTTCTTTTATAAAGTGCCTGTTCCAAGTCTTTGCCCAGTTTTTTCTTATTGATTTAAAGCAGTTATTTTGGGTAAGTCCTTTGTCAGGTATATGTATTTTATATATCTTCTCCCACCTTGTAACTTGCCTTTTAACTGTCTTAATGGTGGCTTCTAATGAAGACAAGTTTTTAATTTTAATGAAGTCAAATTTATTTTTTCTTTTATGTTCTATTTAAGAAATCTTTGGCCAGGCATGGTGGCTCATGCCTGCAATCCCAGCACTTTGGGAGGTTGAGGTAGGCGGATCACCAGAGGTCAGGATTTTGAGACCAGCCTGGCCAACATGGTGAAACCCTGTCTCTACTAAAAATACAAAAAAATTAGCTGGGCGTGGTGGCGGGCGCCTGTAGTCCCAGCTACTCGGGAGGCTGAGGCAGGAGAATCACTTGAACCCGGGAGGCAGAGGTTGCAGTGAGCCGAGATTGTGCCACTGCACTCCAGCCTGGGCAACAGAGTGAGACTCTGTCTCAAAAAAAAAAAAACTTTGCCTACCCCAAGGTCTTGAAGATACTGTCCTATATTTTCTGTGGAAGCTTTATTGTTTTACTTTTCACATTTATGTCTGGGATCTCTCTGGAACAGAATTTTTTACATGGTATTGGGGGTGAGGAATAAAGTTCCACTTCCCCTCAGTGCCATGTATTGAAAGGACTGCCCTTTCCACTCTTCTCTATGGACACTTTTGTCATAAGTCAGATGACTGTCATCTGAGTGCCTGTTTCTGGACAATTTATTCTGTTTTTATTCCAAGATTTCTGACAATTTGATCAGTTTTACTTTATAAGAAAGTGATGATGTTCAATCCTCTAACTTTGATCTTCAGAACTGTCCTTGCTATTCTTTTTTTTTTCATTTCTATTATAAATTTCAGAATCAGCTTGCCAATTTCTATACACATACACAAACCCCTTAGGGTTTTTTTGGGGGAAGGTGGGGATTACTTTAATTCTCTAGAGCAATTTTAGGAGAATTAACATCTTTCTCTCTCAGTGTAAGCTGATTTTTTCATATTCTACCTTTAGTGGATGTGAAGGCCCCGCTTGCCCCATTTGGGCTGAATGAAGTCTCGGGCTCCAGTGTGAGACACAGATTCCCACTGTTATTTGAGTTCCAAATGGAAGTTGGGTTGCGCATCTTTAGCTACTCCTCTGGATCTTTTCTGCACCATCTCTGTCCTGCTTTGTGACTTAGGAGGGTGACTGGTTTGGGCTCATGCAATGGGCTCCTTTTCCTCTGGCTTCCAGTTATGTTACACCCGTGGGGAAGGAACACAGGCAGGCGATCAGAAGGAGAGAAGAGCGTGAGGTCCGGGTATTTATTTCCTGGCTTCTTCCCTGCCAGATCATTTTGGGTTGGCTGTGTCCCTACCAATGGCTGTGACAATTCATACCTACCAGGCAATCTTTTCCTTCTAGCCTTCTCTCTCTGGCTCCCCTTCAGCTTAAGGGTAGTAATGGCTCCCCAGTCCCTAATGTGGGTACCACATTAACCCTTGTTATTTCCCAACACCTTTCCAAACCTTTGTTAAGCACTCTTCAAATCATGCAATTTGAGCAGGTGGTCTGTTTCCTTCCAGGACCCCGATTACTACAGAAGTGGGGATTTCCTAGGCAATTGTTAAAAGTATTTTGAGAATGAGGACCAGTTACACCAATGGTGATAACCTTGCTGAGTCTGCTCACAAAATATGCCTCTGGCTAAACCTGCCTGAGTATAGCATAGAGGCTTTAGCTTTCTCTTTCTGGTATCATGTGAAGTTATCAAGGGACTCTTTATGATTTAAAAAGTAAGATTAGTAGCCTTGAAGTGTGCCCTTAAGTGTCCATAAGCATTTTAGCCATGAGTTATTTTTCACTTTTTGCCTTACTAAGTTGATAATGGATGCTTGTAATGTTTGTGCTTGCATCTGAGAAGCATCCACAGTACTGCCTGAGGATGTCAGGAGGAGAGGTGAGAGTGTCAAACAGGACCAGACTTTAAAGTAGTAATAAAATTGCTGTTATTTGAAAAATTAGACTCAAAGCACTTCTAGGGATTGCAGCCTCAAGCTACAGTGAACAAGAGAGAGTTATCCTAATTCTTAAATGGAGTCTTACATTGAAGTTGTTAAACTCCTCTTTTGACAGTTGGGTTATTTAGTTGTCTGCTTTAGCAATGAATTTTTGGAATGACATCTGTAGTGCTGGTGAGGACTGCTGAATTTCTTGCACTGAAATAGAAATCAGGATGTCATTTGCTGACAACGGTAATTAACCCGAATCACAAATCAGATTGTGCTGGCAAATATGACGGTGTAAGAACTGTTGGAAGTTCAAAATGAAAAAGTCAATAGCAAATAAAACAGGATATCACATATTTTTTAATGAAGCTTTACCTTCTTGAAAGTAAGCCTAAGTGGAGTTTCCTTTTTAATTGGACAAGGCCACTTAGGTGTTCGTTTCTGTGCATGCTGAGCTGAGTCATGGCTTTTGTTTTTGGTATCACTTGGTGCAGCTACTGATTTGCTCTCCACAGTTGCCCCTTTGGGTTACTCTCCAGGTACATCCCTGTGGCATCTCAACCCCCCAGGCCATGTGCCCCAGAGATCGCATCATCTCTTATACTGGAAGTGGCAAAATGGTGGCCATTAGGCATGTTTGTTTGTCCCACACATTGTTTTTATAAATAGTTTAAAACTGGGAGACACAAATTAAAGAAAAAACAGTTTCTGATTTTTCTTGGAAAATAGGATGATCTGAATACTGTGGGGCCTCCTCACCGCATGGTGATGACGGGCTGTGATGGGGGGGGCGGGTGTGTGCTCAGCAGGGAGCCATGGTGTCCTCTGGCCAGCCTTACTCAGCTGTGGGACCCACCTGACCTATGAGGCATGTGTTGATGTGATAAATACATCAGGGGTGGTTTTGGGTACCACAGGTGAGGAAGAGAAATAATTGATTCTATTATTTCTGTCTGTGTATCATTGGTATAAGAAACTGCAGTCTCCAAGAGGACAGAGACCTCGTCTATCTGTCTTGGTGTACCCCAAATTCATAAATGTTAATTGAACTGAAAAGAACCTCAACTTAGGCAGGTAAATCTGGTGATGGTATGCAGGGGGCTTAAAGGAGGGTACTGAACATTTGAAAAAGGCTGTAACCATAAGGATGGCTGAGAACACAGACTAAGACAGTGGCAGAGGGAAGAGAGAAAGAGGAAACCCTGAGACAATTCGAATAAATGTTCATTAGATTTAGAGACCAGTGGGATGTGAAGGAGAAAAGGAAAGGATGAGCTTGAGGCCTCAAGGGTTAGTGGTGCCGTTAGTCCAATTAGGAGGATGGTTGGTGAAAGCCACAGGATCCCTTCTGCTTCCCTATTTCCAGTCTTTTGACATGAGGAATCTTGGGCTTAATCATATTGGTTTAGCTAATGGTAATAATTAGCTGAATTGTCCCCTTATGTTTTTAATCCCAGAGCTAAGACCATCAAGAATACAGTCTCTGTGAACCTAGAACTGACAGCAGAAGAATGGAAGAAGAAATATGAAAAAGAGAAAGAGAAAAACAAGACTTTGAAGAATGTTATCCAGCATCTGGAGATGGAGCTAAACAGGTGGAGGAATGGTAAGGAAAAGTAAGGAGGAAGAGTGAGGCATGAGTGTGTGCTTTTTTTATTTTTATTTTTTTTGAGACAGAGTCTCTCTCTGTCACTCAGGCTGGAGTGCAGTGGCGTGATCTTGGCTCACCGCAACCTCTGCCTCCAGGGTTCAAGCCATTCTCCTGGCTCAGCCTCCCGAGTAGCTGGGATTACAGGCGTGCACCACCACACCTGGCTAATTTTTGTAATTTTTTTTTTTTTTTTTAGTAGAGATGAGGTTTTACCATGTTGGCCAGGCTGGTCTTGAACTCCTGACCTCAAGTGATCCACCCACCTTGGCCTCCCAAAGTGCTGGGATTATAAACGTGAGCCACCGTGCCTGGCCGTGTGTGTGCTTTCTTTTTCTTGTGACTGTTGGCATCCTGGGAGACACTTGGGAAAGTTGGGGCAATGGTGCAGCTTGATTCCTCCTGGCAACAACCTGTATGAACAAGCAGATGTTTTCTTAGTCCCTAACACAGGCACCATCCCCATCCCATCACTTGGCTAGCATGCATTGTTAGTGTGGACCAGTGATTATCTGCAAGGCTGCCTTAATCTGCTTCCAATGAGATGCACTCTATCTAATATTGTAATAACTTGCTGGTACCCCTATTTGTAGGTTAGAGGAAAGTGCCTGAGACTTAGTGGCTCAGACTGCTTTTGACTTAAATGAAAAATGTCATTCTCTCCTATGTGAGTTTTATTACTGGTTTGGGGTTAAAAGTCTACCTCTGGCAAATACTTGCATTTTTTGGCTGAACTCATCTTCATGCCAGAAATATAGGGCTCTCAAAGGAGCCCTGTGCTAAAATGGAGTCTTAAAGGCTTGGTTCGTGACTCGTTTTCCTTCTTCCCCAAAACATTTTCTTTGGTTTGTTCTACTGGGAGAAAATATCTCAGAGAGCTGACATGCAGTGGGTGGGTGGGTTGTGGGTGAGGTGTTAAGAGGGGTTTCCAGATCTAAGTGCAGACAGATTATTTTAGTGATTTTAGCATTGTGACGTAGGTTAGAAGGTAGAAGGCTTTTTTTTTTTTTCTTTTTAACTAAAATAAGGCAGGTTGGTGTGTGTGTAGGGGAATGGCGGATAGTTGGAAGTTGTTCTTCAGGTCCTCTGCTGCTGTGTTCAGTATTTTAGGTGCTGCAGCTGTACCTCAGCTTTGGGTAAGGGTAGGAGCCCGGGGGCTGTTGTGCAGGATTGGGAGGTAATGCTGACTGTAACTGCAGCAGATTGTCTTGTGATTACACGTTTGCCACTGCTTTTTGCTAGTAAGGGTGGGGTGTCAATGAGCTATTGTTTAATAGAAAAACAATTACGTGGCAAACGAGAATTCAAGACAGGTTTCAAAAATGACCTAGTAGTCTAAATAACATGATTCTTTTATTTTTGAAAGATTTTCTAGCAGCACACGTGTTTGGAAAGCTACTAGAATAATTGAATAATTCAGCACCTGAGGCTGGTGGATGATTCTTTGCAATTTGGCAGGAATGGGAGAGTCGGGAGCAGTAGTTGGCAAGGTGGGGAGTAGCCATATGAAGTTTTATTTCGGGAATCCTCCAGGTCAGTTCTCTGTTGGGTGACCAGGACATTCAGTAAAGCCTTTTGGTAAAGGATTGGGGGTGCTGGCTTTAGAAACATTACAGGGTGGGCAATGAACCTTTTTTCCCCCATCATTTTGCATCTCTTGCCAAACTTTAACCTTGCAGTTCTCCATCCCTCATCAAATGCCATCCTCTGGGATCTGCCCATTGCCTTGTTTGCCTGACTCACCATCATGCTTAGCATCTTTTGGGCACTCAGTCCTGTTTTTGGCCTCTTTACTTGGACATCATTTTAACTGTCACTCTTCGAACACCTTGCGAATCTCCTTAGAAATGTACTGTTTTCTCCCAGCTCTTTGGGTGGCCGAGGTGGGCAGATCACCTGAGGTCGGGAGTTCGAGACCCGCCTGGCCAACATGGAGAAACCCTGTCTCTACTAAAAATACAAAATTAGCTAGGTGTGGTGGCGCATGCCTGTAATCCCAGCTACTCAGTAGGCTGAGGCAGGAGAATCGCTTGAACCCTGGAGGCGGAGGTTGCAGTGAGCCGAGAACCCACCATTGTACTCCAGCCTGGGCAAAAAGAGCAAAACTCCATCTCAAAAAAAAAAAAAAGAGAAAGAAATGTGCTGTTTTCTGTGCCCTCTTGGGTGAGATCCTACATGAGCCTTTAAGTTACATAATTTGGGGAAAATAATGTATGATGATATACTCTGGCACAGAGTAGACCTCCAATAAATGTATGGGAAGCAAACATATGCTTAATGCAGGTGCTGGAGATTAAAGGGTGGGCAGTCAGATGTGGTCTCTTCCCTCAGGACGGTCTGAGCGGGGAGGAAGGTAAATGCCAGTCCTCACCAATAAATGTATGATGGTAGTCCACGCTGCATACCAAGAAGTGAAAGCACAGGTGCCAAGAGTTATACAACAGGGGGCCCTGACCTTGACTGAGAAGCCAGTGAAGGGTTCCTTGAATATGCAATGTAGAGATTAGTATCTGTGAGAAGCGCAGTTAGCCAGGCAAAATAGGGGGCATGAGGTGAGGTGGGGGCTCCGAGAATGGAGGACATAGGCCAGCAGGGAGCACTGGCCTGAGATGGGCTCGAGGGATAGGCGGGGCTCTCCTGTCTTCAGGATTTTGGTCAAGGGTGTTAAGCTGCAAGTCATACCTTCGCATTTTTGAAGATCCATTGGCTGTATTGGAGAGTGGACTGCAGGTCGGAGAGGAGGGCTGGGAGCTGGGGTGGTCTTCCAGGGATGAGATGATGGTATTGAAGTGACAGGGTAGTAGGAAGGGAGAGAAATGGATGAACCTGAGAGATATTTAGGAGGAGAAATTAGCCGGGTGTGGTGAGGGGTTGGCTATGGGAGAGGGAGGTTTCAATGACAACTGTGTTTTCTGGCTTGCCGAGTTGGATGGAGGGTGAGACCATTCTCTAAGACTGGGGATGCTGGAGGAGAACCAGGGGTGAGGGAGGAGGGAGTTTAGGGTCCCCGTGGAACATCCAGGGGAACATTATTCAGATAAGAAGTTAGGTCTGAGGGTCTGGAGCTCAGAGGATCTGCTTGAGTTGGAGTCATCAGTCTTTTGGTAGTAATTGAAGGCATAGGTAGGTGTGAGGGCCCTTTGGACTACAGAGAAAGAAGAGAAGACAGAGAGAGTCTGAGAGGCCCCCAGCAACCCCATTGCCACGTCACCACTGGTTGTGATGGGAGAAGGGAATTGGAGGGATTCCGCAGAACTCTCCTTTCCTCCCCAGCTAACATTTGTATTTAAAGGTGATTTTTCTAGGGGCAAAGTTCTTAAAGGTAGAGAACTGACTTTAGTGATGTAAGTTTCAGGCGAGAAGGAGAGTAGTGAGGGGCAGTGAGGAGGTGGGGAGAGGTCCTTTGTCCCATGGAGGGGGCAGAGCTACCTCAAACAGTAACTCTGTGTCTCATGCTATGTGCCAGTGGACGTTACAGGGACAACAGACCAGGCCAGGCTTTTTGTTACATTCTGAGGCTGGGCATTTAATCCTCAAGTAGCTCTTGTGACCATGAATGACAGGTCTGAAAACGTCCCCAAGTGGATCAGTCTCTGGTAAAGCTGCGATCTGAACTGAGTGGGCCTGACTCTAAAGTTCATTCTCTTTCTACTGTCTGCACAGCCTGCTCATCAAGTTAGCAGAATGATTTGTGGGCAGGGCCAGTTAGATGAGTGTAATAAATATCACGCCAAAAAAAGGGGCACTGGAAGCCCTTCCATGGTCTCCCCACGTGTCAGTCCTAATTCTTCAGAGCAGAAGATAATGAGGGCATAGCTGGTGATAATGAGGGCATGGCTGGTGTGTGTAAACGTGAGAGCTGGGCTTTTGAGATGTGGACTGAAAAAGCAGAAGTGCCCTTCACTAAAACCAGAGTGGCAGGATATTGCCAACTTTCCTTTGAAACTTGACACGCACATTGGTTCTAAACTTACAGAAGGTGGCTACTTAGCTCCCCTCAACATTTCCTGGGTATTGATATTTCCACATGGCAGTCTCCACGAGTTAAAGAGGCCTTGTCAATTGTGTGCAGTCTCCTGGGAAAAAGATTTCTTTCTTTGCATGGTATTTATAATTTAAGAGTTTGGCTGCTATACTTCAGCTGCTGGAGAGCAAGGAAGGGGTATGTGTAGCAAAGTGTGTGTGTGTGTGTGCGCGCGCGCACACACACACATGCTTGTGCTTTTTCCTACTTGCTGTTACATAGAATGAAGTAACAATACAAAGGAGTAGGAAATCAACTACAGATCAGGTGCAGGCAGATAATGGAGATAACTGAAAAGAGGTAAGTTTGATCCAGCTGGCAGTGTTGGGACTGTGCCACAGGACAGGGCATGCCCTGCCTTATGTCATTCAAAATTGGTGAAATACTGCACTATTACATGCCTAGAGGTTGCTCTCGCCCTCCCCCACACCTCCACCTGTACCAATTTTCAACCCTTTGTAGCTTGATGCATGCTATAGATTGAATGTTTTGTGCCCATCCAAATTCATATGTTGAAATCTTAACCCCTAAGGTGGTGATAGTAGGAGGTGGGGCCTTTGGGAGGTGATTGGGTTCTGAGGATGGACTCTCATGAATGGCATTAGTGTCCTGTGAGTTCTGAGAGAGCTTCCTTCCCTCTGGTCTCCACTATGTAAGACTATAATGAGATGCCATCTGCAAACCCCGAAGAGGGCCCTTACCAAGTGCCAAGATCATGTTGGCACTCTGATCTTGGACTTCTAGCCTCCAGAACTGTAAGTAATAAATTCTTTATAAGCCACCCAGTCTATGGTACTTTCTTATAGCAGCTCCAGGTAAGACAGGGGCCACTTCAGAATGCAGGCCTAGCAGTTTTCTCCTCTGGGCACTGTTGAACCTTGATTCTCAGAAGGCGGCTTGTGGCTCATATCACATATACTACACTAAGCTTTAATTCCTTTCTGACATTGCCATGGAGGCAGGATAACTCCGGGCATGTGCATGTGGCTAAGGAGAGCCACCCACTGGCCTGGTTCCGTTCCCCAGGGTGCTAGTTAGGATCCTTGGATTGCAAACGACAGGAATTGACACTGCCTGGCTAAAGCAAAAAGAGAATGTGTTAGAAGGATACGAATGATTCGCAGACTCCAAAGCAGAGGCAACAGGCTCCGACAAGTGTAGGCTGGGGCTGCTTCAGGGATACAGGCAGCAGAGACAGGCAGGTCTCTTAAGTGGCCACACCTGGAATTAATGCTTTTTCCCTTCTGTATGTGATTATGTTGGAGAAGCAGAGGCCCAGGATAGAAGTGGGAATACTGTGCTTGCTGGTGTGCCTTGGCTGGGGAAGGGCAGGGCACTTTGATACATTGTCTGATGAAGACTGCATGCAGTTTAGGGGGCTAATTCCTTAAAAGGAAGTTGAGGTGCTATTTTCTAAGAATGGGTGTCGAGTGGCTGAAAAGCAACAAATGTTCACCACAATCTACTAGTGACATCTTGTGGGCCGATATCGATGGCTGGTCTTTCTTCGAATCTGGAGGCTCTGTTGGCTCTTTAGCCTCACGGAGATTTGTTCAGCCTGCTTGCTTAAGGAACAGATAGGATGGAGTGGGGCAGTTGCCAGAAAATGGAATTTTTTTTAAAGCTCTATTGCTTTGTTGCTCATATGTGCGGGAGAGACTCGAACAATCCTATATATGGAGATAGAGTTAAATAGTTGGATTCAGAGTGAATTACAGCTCCAGCTCATGCTAACCTCCTCCCAATCCATCAGGAAAACTCTTGACAGGAGGATGGGGAGGGCGGGGTGAAGTCTGGATGCATGGCTTCCTGTTGCTGCCAGGTCAGTCTTCACACATGCTGTCTTCTGATACTTTGAATTTTGCACTTGAAAAATAATTTTTTACAGTGATTTAAGTCAGAAAAAGGAGGACCTGAAAATCCAGGTGTCAGAACAAGGAAATGACCTGACAAACTGGTGTATCTGCAGATTTTCTTCTCTTGAATAATTGCCTATAAGATTAAAAAACAGTGGATATAGATTTACCTTATCTGCTGAAGTCATGCAAAGAAATGATTTCATCACAGGCTGAGAAAGTGTGGAAAAATCGGCAGTCTCTAACGCAGATTTGTTCATCCAGTTCAAAACCTGTGAGGCCAGCAGACATGGTTCAGTAACTAGCTAAATCTGTAGCCTCTAGTCTGATTTGGGGCTTTGTGGAACTTTGGGACCACCACAATTGGAACACAATTTGCTCTTTTAGCATTAAATCTTCGAAGATGCTGGCTCCCTTCTTAGATCCATGATTATAATGGACTCTCAGAAATTAGCATTTCATTGGAGCGATCTAATTTACTAGGCCCTCTGCTTGCTTTTGAGAACACAACCAAACTCTGTAATAGAAATACCGTCTGTCTACTAAGAGAATGTTGTGGCCTGTTCAGGTGGTCATGAATGTAAGGAGGATGCAGAGTCCCAGGTGACCAGTTTATTAGAAAATCGCTCTAGAAGGGATTAGAGGATGTTTTAAGCTGCTTACAGTGTTTTTAGGAATGAGGGTGAAAGATGCTATTTGCATGCAAAATAATCTCATAAAAGAATGATTTTTTTTTTTTAACATCACATTTATATAATGACATCTTGTAGCCAGCTGCTCTCACCCATCTGGCAACTTAAAGATTTCCTTTTAGTTTCTTTGATACAGAAATTACCTACCATTAGGTCTGCCACTGGGCCTATTTAATTGGAATTAAAAGAAAGCACCTCGTTTGCCAGATCTGCTGTGGTTCCTGGCGGAAGCTGTGAGTAACCAGCAAATCTCTGCTCTGGAGTTACTGAGAGAATGCAATTACCTTTCTGTGTTCTCCTGAGGCTTTAGGAACTCAACTTATGAAAAGGATAACTAGCTTGTTGCTATTTCATGTGTGAAGTTTTAATGAATTACTGGCAGTCTAATGGTTTTCTTTCTTTAAAAAAAAACCCAAAAACCTATTTTAGAAATTTTAATAGCCCTAATGAGAATTTTTGATTAGTGTGTCATTCTCATCTGTTGCCGTTGATGGATTTCTATTTTTTGTAGAAATGTTATTTACGCCCTCTGGGAGTTTTTATTTTATAATTAGAATGCTCTGTAAGCCTTATAGGTATGCTTCAGTGAATGCTCCTATGTAAACACAAATCTTTTTAGTCCTTAAAGGTAATTACATCTGACGATAGTAAATGCCAGGATGCTTATTTAAAGAAGGGGAAGGTTTCCAGTGTGTGTGTGTGTGTGTGTGTGTGTGTGTGTGTGTGTGTATGTGTGTGGGGAGGCCTTTCAGATGCTTTACAATATTATGAGCTCTTTTCCTATAGACAGCAGGTATAAGCCTCCGGGGCTAAACTAAGAGAAATCTGCTTTTAATGCAAAGAGGGAGACTCAAAATAGATGCTAATCTTCCTTTGGTGGTCTTTTTCTCCTTCTCCCACCATCAGAGTTCAGGGCGTTATTTCTCTAGGGTCTGTTTGCAGCTGTCTTCCTTGTTAGAATCAGTTATTCCATAATCACCATGTGGGGGCTTCTCCAGAGAATTGGTCCACTGCAGTGCAGGGAATATTCTCCATTAACGTGGTGAGATTGCCATGGAGACAGATAACCTAGTGTCAGGTCTTGCCTAGTGTTGGGAATTTACAATCCCCAGACGTGTTTGTGAGCTGGACAGTGTAGTTACCAGGACGCTTCTGGAAGTCATTTTCTCGGTCCTTTGAAGAGTAGTGGTGTTGGAAAACCTGCCCTTGGTTCCTCTCTGGGCAGGAGCTGGGCTGCTTTAGTTCCTGCGTGTTGCGGCTTTGTTCTTCTCCGTTGAAATGGCTGCTGTAAAAAATAATCCTTACTGCCTGACCTTTAGAATATAAACTGAAAAGAGCTGGTTGTTTAGATGTAGCTTTGTAGGAGACATGTTAATGCTTTGATTGAGAGAATTGTTCAAGAGAAACCACAAAGTCTGCTGTAGGTTTCAAATACTGTTTTAATAATAATAAAAATAAACCTGAAATGGACTTGCATGGCTATACCATGTTTTATTTTTGGAACTGAGCTCCAGCCATAAAATTATCGTAAAGATCTCAGAAACACAAATCACAGAATAAGTAAAAATAATAATTTATCTGCCAAGCCTACAAAGTTGCAAATTTGTCAGGGAGAGGAGGGGATAAGAGGTGGACTTTGAACAATATTGCCTTTTGTGCTTTTTACATATACTATCTTCATTTATCTTTAGAACAACCCTGTGATAAAGGCATTGTTATTTCTTCTCCCTTACAGAAAGGAAACCAAGAGGGTAAGCAGGAGATGGGCTTGTGATTAATGAGACCTGTTAAAAGGTACAATGTGGCTTTAGCATCCTGCCATAGCACTGGAGATGAGAGAGTCCCTTGACTACTTTCACAGTGCCTTACAGCAGCATTGGCTAGCTTGTTGAATCTCTGCCATCTGGGACAACCCTTCTACTTGGTGACGCTATCATTCCTTAATGGGAGAAGAGGGCAGCTTTAGGGGAAGTCAGGCCTGTGACTTTGGTTAGAACAGGTCACTTGCTGCTAAGGTTATAGAAGTCTATCCCCGGCCCCTGCCCACTCAGCTGAATCAAAACACACACTGGGCAGCTCCTTAGCTTACCCTAGCCTCATGATACCATTGCCTCTTTGGCCATTTGAAACCAAAGAACACAGGGAATATATCTCTTCCAGATGTTTTTGTATCTTACCTCTTTACTTGGAGTGAGTTGGCCTGTGGATAATATGACCATGTTCTGGTTGGTGTCTGGTCTGGTACAGCTAAGAATTTCATCTTTGTCATGCGTAAGCTGAAAGATTAAATTCATACTGTACTGGATTGCCCTGTTCCCAAATTTCAGAAGCTAGAGCTCAAAAATTAGAGATACAGTCACAATCCAAGAAGAGGAAGGATATTTACCAAAGTGTTAGTGGTGAATTTCTCTGGGGAAGGAACAGAATTAGAAGGGAGGGGTGAAGGAGGACTTTCAAGTTTTAGTTGTATACTCCACATTGCTTGAGTTGTTTATGTTAAGAATGTATCCTGAATTATTGTGTGATTAGAAAATCTGTCTGTCTGTCTGTCTGTCTGTCTATCTATCTATCTATCTATCTATCTATCTATCTATCTATCTATGTCTATCTATCTCTAATATGTTTAAGAAAAAAAAAGAACATGGTACAGCTTTTATAGCCCATGGATTTAGCAGACTGTAGAGAATATAGATCCTTTAATTGGATGAAATCCAGTCTGCACACTAAGGTTGTTGATGGATATTTTAAGCCAGGAATTGGAACTGAATGAAATATTGATTTGGTTCAGGTTCTGTTCAAAGGCTACTCTGATATTCTGGTTTTGTTTAAGGTCAATAATTTTAGAAAAAACGCTTAAGTATAGCAGTCTTGTTGGAAAAGGAAAAAGGGTTGGCTCAATTTTGTATTCAGCAAGGTAATAGTTTATTCTATGTTTTGCTTCAAGTTGCTGCTTCAAACGGAACTGTGATACAAAAGTGAAAGCATTGGGTGTTAATTTTACTTAACACGGAGGCCCCATGTAGTATTTTGTGGTTATGCAGTGAGATAATGGAGTCATAAGCAGCAGAACTAAACTATCACAGTGTTTTGTTTATATTGAGATAAATGTGTACAGTGTTCAGGTGGGTTCCTTGAAGCATGATATATATTGTTAATGAAGCCACAGATTGAAATCTCAGTTACTCTATTATTTATTTTTATTTATTTATTTATTTATTGAGACAAAGTCTTGCTCTTGGCACCCAGGCTGGAGTGCAATGGCGCGATCTCGGCTCATTGCAACCTTCGCCTCTCGGGTTCAAGCGACTCTTGTTCCTCAGCCTCCCAAATAGCTGGGATTACAGGTGTGCACCACCACACCCAGCCAATTTTTGTACAAATACTAAGTTTTGTATTTTTAGTAGAGATGGTATTTCACCATGTTAGCCAGGCTGGTCTCGAATTCCTGGCCTCAAGTTATCTGCTCGTCTTGGCCTGAGCCACTGTGCCCTGCCTTCTATCATGTATTTTTGAAAAACTCTCTGACTCAAGGCAGTTTTCCTGGGCAATTTTTACAAAATGGATTTTGTGGGCTGGGAACTGGGGTGAGGCTTGGAATACTGCAGACACTCTTACTACTGACTGTAGCAAGATGATTGTGGTGTTGATGGTAAACATTGTGATGGAAAAGTATGTTGGGTTTGGTTTTGCTTTCCAGGAAGATATTTGGGAGACTCAGTGGGGCCAGTAGTTTTCTTAGAATCCTTTTTATGCACTTTATGTCTTTGATGTTCTTGTTGGAGATAGCCATTGGCCAGCTTGCAAGCTGTACCATTTCTATCAATTTGATTGACAAATTTGGCAATTCTTCCTTTGAAGGCCCCAACAAATGCTACTCTGCAAACTGAGAAGTTGTAGGTAGGATCTCTGCAAGATAGTCTAGATTGGCTGCTTTTCTTTCCTAAGACTACCTGATATCACAGTAGGTTATTCTATTTGAACTTTCCAGCAGAGCCAATTAATTCTGGCTTCCTGGAGGAGACAGTGGTATTGAAATGTGAGCTTTTGCAGCTCTAGTCTTGGATCCAGGGCTACCCTGTCTTCTGACCTCAGATTTGGAGATTCTTGAATTCAGAGGATCTGAGCCTTAGAGTGTTCTATCAAACAATGCCAGTGTGTTTCTTTATTTGGCTGTTTCTATTAATGAAACAGTGACATAATTAATTCATAATTAGGATGCCTTAGAGGTCTGTTTCCTTTTTAATCAATCACTAGAGAGAATATGACTCTAGTAAAGCCCCAGGATATTCCTCAACTAAAGCAAAATGAATGTAAAGAATTTAGGCATCTCTGCAAGTTGGAGTAGCTTGGAACCAGTTTACTTCAGGGATGCATCTTGAGAGGGGAGGTTTTACATAGTTCTCTTTTTTCTTAGACTAGTTTTGGCCAATTAACTAAGACCTTTCTTGTCAAATAGAAGGAACACAAACTCTACCCACACTACAGCCCTTTATTGTGTCTTCTGTGTATTTTTCACCAGGACTGATTATTTTTGGTACTCTTCCTGGAGGGTTGCATACTCAATTTCTTTAATCCCCAACTCTGCTCGGCTATGTTTTGCAGGAGAAGCTGTGCCTGAGGATGAACAGATCAGTGCCAAGGACCAGAAGAACCTGGAGCCTTGTGATAACACCCCCATCATAGACAATATTGCTCCTGTTGTTGCTGGCATCTCTACAGAGGAGAAAGAGAAGTACGATGAGGAGATCTCCAGTCTCTACAGACAACTGGATGACAAGGTCTGTGGCCAGAGATTCATAGTTCTCATTCTGCTACAAAGATGAAAGATGGCAGGTCCCAGCTCCCTATGGGGCTGATGTAGGGCTACAGCCCGATCTTTGTTTCTGGTTTCCTAATACCTACCCTAGCACTTTGATGGTGCAGATTCAGGGAGTTTGATTCATGTGGAATAGAAATGTTAAAGGGAACTTGACTGAAAAAGCAGTGTGTTGGCCTAGATAGACAGGCGGGTGCTATTTAGAGTCTTGTCTTCTAGAAATTGGACTGGGCTGATTACTGCATGAAAGGTGGGGTGTGTGAGTGTCTATGATCTTTAAGTCTCCCTTTCTTCTCTGGGCCTATCCTTCACCTCTTGGAAACTCCAGCAGTAGCCTCAGCTAGGGGCAAGGGTTGTGACTCCCAGAATTCAAGCATGTACTTTAATCATATAACCATAAGGCCCTGGGATGAGAAATCGATAGCAGTGTGGTCTGATGGCTTCACCTAATTGGTGAAGCTCTTTTCACGGGTATATTCTTGAATGAAGTAGTTTGTACATGCTAATTGGGGATGTCCAATTTTATGACAAGCTTTTGGGACTCAAATAGTCATGTAAATGCACAAGTTGGCATAGAGGAAAAGAGGCCTTGGAGAACACTGGGAGAATCAATTAAAGGTTGGGTTAGGAATCCCAGAGGCATGAGAATTGAATTGATGTTTTATATGATCTTGGCATGTTGCCCTTGGAATATTCTAAATCCTTTCAGTTGATTTCATCAGGGTTGCTGATATTTTTAGCCTGATTTAATCTTTTCTATTGTGGTTCAGCTCAGAGTGCTTAGGGACACCTCTGGCTTGTATGAAGCAGCTTTGTTATGTTAACCTTGCCATTAATCTTACAGGCTTCTCTCTTTGAGGTAAAGCTCAGAGACTGGTATGACCTTTGCAAGCTGAATGTGACTGGTTGCCTTAAGGAAGCTAGTTCTGCTTGTTTGTGATTCCAAGAGCTTGCACTATAACCAAAGCTTTATTCTGGGGTCATCCTACTCTTCTGAAAACACATTTAATAAAATATTCGCACCCACGAGATGGGTTACTTGCCCTTTAGGCTCCACGCATACCGTTATCTTCCATTTCTATCTATGTATTTTATGCAAAACAAAGAGAAAAAGGAGATCAATAGTAAGTTAACAGTATATGCAATTTCTTGATTTCTCCAAGGAATTGCTATTGTTTAAACAGTAAAGAAGATTAGACCATATGCATTTTTTTTCCTCATTTTAGAACCAATGGGCTCATTTTTAGTAATCGCAGAGAATCCTGGGTGAGAGGGTGAGAAGCTGTTTCTGTGCTCAGTTCTCTATGAATAGACGCCTGCATGGCGGAATCGGGATCATTTACCTTGGCAGCACAGGGAACTTTCATTGATCCAAGAGAGAGACTTTAGAGTCTCAAATCAGACATACGAAATGTAGTGATTAGGACAGAGAGATGAAAATGCCATGTCCAAAGCATTCAGTTGGTAGCTGAAGAGCTGGCTTGAGAGTCTCCGTCTCCTGATGGTCAGCCTAGGCCATTTTGTTATGTCATTTTCCTACAGCATGTGCTTTGAAGATTCTGTAAGGCCCGCTGTTGGAGGCTAGTATTTGTGGTCCCTCACATGATGATGCTGAGAGACGTGGGAGAGGACTGAGCCTAGAAGCCTCAGCCTTAGGGGGCACCAGAGCTAATGGTTTGCCCTCAGTGACCCTTCCCAAAGACTGCCTGATTATGTCTTACCAACTGTCATTCTTAGGGGTCCTCCTCTGAAATGTTCTAGGAGGCACTTCCATGTTTCTGTTGATGTAGGTGGTTTGACGCTTGAAGAATACATGAGGTGGGATATGGCACCTTCTTAGTCTACTGAAAGGTAGAACAGGAGGTATTTAGGTTTGGGTGAGGCACTAGCCCAGGGTGGTTATGTGACTTACCCAAGTGTATATCACATATAGGTGGCAGAGCTAGGATGAAGTTACATATCTTCTGACTCCCACCCCAGTGCTCATCTCATTTTGCCCTCAGCCCTTTAAATGAGGACCTGGTCAACCTCAGTGAATCTATTTAGGGTGTGGAGGGAGAAAGACCACACGGTTTCCTCCCAGCTGTCCCTTCTGTTCCTCCGTGCTGCCCCGCCAGGGCTCCAAGCACAGGTACTCTCCCAAGGCTATGCTGTGTGATGGGAGAGCATGCACTGTGGACTCAGACCTGTAACAATGACACTGAGACCTGGGCAGACCTGTGACAATAATGCTGAGTCCTGGGCTGGCGCCTGGCCCTGCTGAAGGTGCTTTTTCTCATCTGTATCATGGGGCTTATATCTGTTAATTCAAAAGGCTGTGGTGAGGATTAAAAGTTTCTAGTACATTGCAGGTGCCCAGTAAATATTAGCTTCCTTCTTTCTCCTGGGCTGGGCTGGGCTCTGCTTACTTCCGTGTGTGGTGTGGAAGGGGTGGTGCCAAGGGGGCCACCAGCAGAGACACAATGTGAACAAGTTGGCGCTGGCACTCCTTGTCTCTTAGTCTCTGTCCCTCTACAGTACTGCTCTGCTCTTGGAGATCCTGACACGAACCAAGCTTAAGTAGAAATGAAAGTTGATTATTTTTATGCAGATTACCATTGCAATAAAAACATTTTTATACTTAAAGGTGAACAGTGACCTGTTGACAACTGAGGTTGACCAGTTTCTCATTTATAAGGGTGTGCATATTATTTTGTTTTATTTATTTATTTATTTATTTATTTATTTATTTATTTTTTGAGATGGAGTCTCGCTCTGTCACTCAGGCTGGAGTCCAGTGGTGCGACCTCAGTGCACTGCAACCTCTGCCTCCTGGGTTCAAGCAATTCTCCTGCCTCAGCCTCCTGAGTAGCTGGGACTACAGGCGCACACCACCACGCCTGGCTAATTTTTGTATTTTTAGTAGAGATGGGGCTTCACCATCTTGGCCAGGATGGTCTTGATTTCCTGACCTCGTGATCCACCTGCCTCGGCCTCCCAAAGTGCTGGGATTTCAGGCCTGAGCCACCACGCCTGGCCGCATGTTATTTTTTTTTTAATTTTTGAGATGGGGTCTTGTTCTGTTGCGCAGACTAGAGTGCAGTGGTGAAATCACAACTCACTGCAGCTTCAACCTTCCAGGCTCAAGCCATCCACCTGCCTCAGCCTCCTGAGTAGCTGGTACTACAGGCACATACCACCACACTCAGCTAATTTTTTTTTTTGTATGTTTTGTAGAGACGGAGATTTGCCATGTTGCTCAGGCTGGTCTCGGACTCCTGGGCTCAAGTGATCAAGCTGCCTTGGCCTCCCAAAGTGCTGGGATTATAGGCGTGAGCCACTGTAACTGGCCTTATGTTATTTCATGTATAAGAAAATTCAAGTATAAAATACTTTCTGAAAAGTGCTTTAAAATCTGTTATCCATGGACAAGATCTTTAGAACCGGCATCAGAGTGAGCGTGCTTATGCATGTTCTAAGAGATGCAGTTGAATGTGTAGATATAAGCACACCTTATTATTCTGGAGGTTTTGAAAGACTTTAAAAAAAATCACAGTAGAGCTCATTAATTCCTTAGATAAGTTGCCTTAATAAAGGGTAAATATAGTTTGGGAAATGTCTCTGATACAAGTGATCCACGTCTTCTGTAGTATCATCCTTGTTCTTCATCCTTCCCAGGTGGGGCCAGGGGCCCTTGGTTTTTCACTGTACCTTAAAAATCACTGCATCCCAGCTTGTCATCTGTTGGGAGGAAGCCTGCATCTTCAGGCTTTGAAATGAGCACAGCGTAAGGACAGAGTTCACTCCATTTCTCTCCTCTTGTGGTTTATATCACTTGTAGTGCTTGTCCATTTGTCCCAGGAGAAGAGATGGTGGCTCTCCGATGGTAAATTCTTTGAATCCTTTATGCTAAGTTGTCTAATATTTAAGTGCTCAGGAACATAAACACAAAATCGTTACTGGTAACTGACGTGCTAAGTTTATAAAGTAGAAGAGAAAATATATCTACAAAATAGTCTTCTAGTTGTAGAAGTGCCAGTTTTTGGAGGTTTCATTCTGGTATAATTTCCCTAATATGATTTGTGCAGGAAAATAGAACCATTAAAGAAACATTGGTGTAAAGGGTTCAGTAGAAACAGGATCTCTTTAAGTAGAAAAGCAAAGCCAAATGATGGTCTACATAAAGGACAAGGAGATTCAGATCCTGTATGGCTGATTTTAGAATTTTCTTTCTCCATGGAAAGCATTAGTTTGTGACATTAAATTAACATGATTCAAATGTATGCATAGATATCACCAAACAGGCTGGGGAATATCCCGTGGAACATTGAGGTTCTGTGACCCAGGCCCTTAAGTTTGGGTTAGATTTCACCCCTGGAAAAGGCAAAAGGCACAGTACAGGGTGTGTTTTTCTGGGCTGCTGATGAAAACACCTAGACAGGACCTGGCACGAAGAAGTGCCCAAGGATGCTCAATTGAATCTGACTCTGTTTGGTGTTTAGACCCTAGAAGCCAGGTTGTCATCTTCACAGGCTATGTTTCAAATTTTATTTGAAGTCGTGAAAATAATGCAGTGAAGACTGTGTTTTTTATGTAGTTAGGCATCATCTGCCTGCTGCTTTGCCTGCACTGGGGGTGGACTGAGTCTAAGGGGAGGTGGGGAGAGGTGGGCAGCGAATACCCTTGCTTTTGTGGCAGCAACACCTAGTGGCAGAAAAAGAGTGAGAAGAGCGAATTTGCCTTTCCCACTTCAGTGACAGCCCAGAAAGTAAGCATGAATGCTTCTGTCCCTCAGCTGCCCTGAGGTTTTTTTTTTTTTTTTTTTTTTTTTTTTAACTGTTAAGAAAATTAACTTCCAATCGAGAGGGAGGTCTTCCAATGCCAAATCTCCAGTTCATTTTTCTCTGGTCTGAGAGGTTTGAAGTGGAAACATTGGCTCTCCCTGCCGATCTGGTGGCAGCACTCCTGCTTACTGATGCATTTGACAAGATTTGGGATAATAACATATGACAGTGCAGCTAGGTAGAAATTCACTCCTTTATTTTTTGAATTAGGAATTTCACTGTTAGCATCTTTGAATTGGGAGGGATATCTCTAACGTCCCTTTCAGTTCCCAAACCGTAGATCTCTGATTTCTCAATGAGCAGGAATTGGGTTGAATGTGCAGGATATTATATTTCCAGAATAGTCAGCTGTTTCATCTGCTGAGAAAGGTGGGTGAGGAGGTATTTTAACTGAATGAGATCTCGGAATCTGTCTGTTTTCTGTGCAGTAACACCACACTATTCCTTCCTTCTTATCAGCAAGCTTATGGTAGCTGCCTGTCACTGGGAGACTGGGATATCAAAAATGACATAACTAACCAAAAAAACAAACATGATGTTTCGTTTCAGGATGATGAAATTAACCAGCAGAGCCAGCTGGCTGAAAAGCTGAAGCAACAGATGTTGGATCAGGATGAGGTAAAGAATGCAATATATTTTTTTTTCCACAAAGTTCTTCTATTACTCTTTGTTGTTGATGTTTGTTCCAGGAATTTAATTGGCATAGAAGCTTTTCATAATTACAGAATCATGTGGAAATTTCTTGGTAGATGTCCCTTCACTGCCTCTTACAAGCTGATTATCACTGAATTTAGAAAATAAATGTCTGACTTTCAAAAACCCCTGATGTTTTGAGATTGAGTAGCCAGTGGCTACAGTTCGTTCTGGAAGGGCAGAGACCTTTGGTTGGGTGATCAAGCAAGGATGATCCTTTTTTATTTTTATTTTTTTGAGACAGGGTCTCTCTGTTGTCCAGGCTGGAATGCAGTGGTGCAATCATGGCTCACTGCAACCTCCAGAGCTCAAATGATCTTCCCGCCTAAGACTCTCAAGTAGCTAAGACTACAAGAATGTGCCACCATACCTAGCTAATTTTTTAATATTTTGAGACAGAGTTTCTCTATGTTGGTCAGGGTGATCTTGAACTCCCGGCCTCTGGCTTGGCTCCTGCCTTGGCTCCCAAAGCACTGGGATTACAGGTGTGAGCCACTGCACCTGGCCTTGGGCAAGGATGATTCTGCCTCCTAATACCCAGCAATGCTGTGACCTGTTGTTTGAGTCCTACTTCAGTTTTGCAATCAGCTTGCTCAGATCTTTGATATACACCATGTTCTCCTGCTGTCCTGTAGGGATACACAAACAAAAACAAAACTAGAAGGTAGAGGAGGGGAAGGCAAAGAGAACGGGGCCCGAGTACTGCGTCAGCATGTTTGATACACTAAAAAGGAGGCAAATTGTTTTCAGTCTCTCCCCAAAGGCATTCAGTTCTTCAGCAAGTGTTTTTACTACATTGTGTGTTGCCAAGTATTTTACAAACAAGAACCTAAGCAAAGGATAGCCAGCCAACTTATCAAACATGCACAATTAATAATTCCCTTGCTGAGGACCGTTTAAGTGTTGTTTTCTTTTGTGCTTTAAGTTGCTTTCTGCTTCGTTGCTGAAATGCTATGGATTGGATCCCACTGTGCAATGACAGCAGGTGCCTGGGTTTCTGTCCTCAATCCCAGGCCTCTGTAGGCATAAAGGACTCTGTAACCATTTCCTTCCTCTTTGTTCCCTTTCATCTCTTTAGGACAATGATTACCTCCCCTGCCCAAACACTTCCCTTGGTAGGGAGATAATCTACACTTTTGTAATCAGGTGAACCATATTTCGTTGATCTCTCTCTCTTAGCTATAGTCGAGGCCTTCCATTTGCTTGAGTTTCCTGCCCTCTACCTCCCATTCTACTCCAGTTTCACCCACATTGGCACAGCTGCCTGGGATAAACTTTACTTCTTGTTACTGTTAAAACTCCTTAACATTTTTCTTTTTCTATACTATCAAGGCAGTATCTGTTCAATATAGGAAAATCAACTTAGGAACAAAGATAATGAGAGCGTCGGCAAGCCCAGACATTCGCTTTTAACTAAAGATACTGTTTGGGGTACATCCTTCTATATCTTCATGATGGATGTTAAAAAAAAGGTGACTGACCACTGTTGTATACTGTTTTAGTTGATTGTGAAGTCAACCAGTTTACAATGTGAAATCCTGATAACACTTAAAAATTATGTAAGTGTTATTCCTTGTCATTTCCTTGGAAACGACTCTCAGATCCTTTGCTTATTTATTTATTTATTTATTTATTTATTTATTTATTTATTTATTATTTAGACGAAGTCTTGCTCTGCTGCCCAGGCTGGAGTGCAGTGGCATCATCTCGGCTCACTACAACCTCTGCCTCCCAGGTTCAAGCTATTCTCCTGCCTCAGCTTCCCAAGTAGCTGGGATTATAGGTGTGCACCACCACACCCAGCTATTTTTTTTTTGTATTTTTAGTAGAGATGGGGTTTTGCCATATTGGCCAGGCTGTTTGTGAACTCTTGACCTCAGGTAATCCACCTGCCTCGGCCTCTCAAAGTGCTGAGATTACAGGCATGAGCCACTGCGCCTGGCCCCATCCTTTGCTTAAAATATGGAATAGCTATAAAATGCAGTGATTTTTTGATGTGTAATTCTTTCTTTGAGTTAAGGGTATACAGCTTTAAACTAACAACAACAACAACAAAACATACAAAACAAAACACATGCACACAAAACAGATTTTTGCAATAAGAACATATCTGTCTTTTTCTTTTATTTTTTTATCGTCTGGACCATACAGTGGGGTTTCCCATCATCCTGAACTTTTTCAACTTGTTTTCTTATATCTGGTTTTTAAATTACTTACTTTTGGATACAGCATAGAACATAAACATTTGAACATTAGATTCACAAGTTCCATGCCATCTCATTTCCCCAGCTTTTAGCTTCCACAAGAAGAGACTATGAGAAGATACAGGAGGAGCTGACACGTCTCCAGATTGAAAATGAGGCAGCCAAGGATGAGGTGAAAGAAGTTCTCCAGGCCCTGGAGGAGCTGGCTGTCAATTATGACCAGAAATCACAGGAAGTGGAGGATAAGACCCGGGCCAATGAGCAGCTGACAGACGAGCTGGCCCAGAAAACGGTTGGAGCATTTGTGTCTAGGGGGTGGGACTTCCTTGGCTGCCGTTCCTGTACTCATATTGATATTCATTGACAGACATGGTATAAGGAGGCAGTGGCTGAATAGTTATTCAGTGTTAGATGCATTCTCTGAGGTCCCTCCAACAATTGAAATACTTCGTGCAAGTGACTTTTGTTCACTCTTCCTGGAACTGCATATCATGACTGTTTTATATCCAGAGAATTAATAACATTAGTGGGGATGCTTTGTGGGAATAGTCAAAAGAGTGCAGACTTTGGAGCCAGAAAAGTCTTAGTTACAAGTCTGACTTCATAACTCTTAGACCTTAGCTGAGACAGTTAAGCTTTGTGAGTATTCATTCCCTTATCTGTAAAAATGGTGACGATCATATGCTGCTTGCATGGTGTGAGGATTAGTGACAGTTTATGTAAAGCACTTAGCACAGATCTGTGCATATGCTACGATATCAATACATACATCTCAAAGCATTGCTACTGGCAAGAGCAGGGTCCCATAGAAGGTATGGACTTCACTCTTCTTGCTTATACCCTCCTGAATGAATTCCATTCCCTCCCGTCAGCTTTTTGTCCTAGCTGTTACCTTCAGGAGCCTGGAACTAAGCTGCCCTTGTTTGTTTGTTTGCTGTTCTAAGCCAGTGCTTCAGCCTGCACATTCCCTTATTTCCAGATTCTCCAAATGAAAGATGCCATAGGTTCTGCAGTGAGCTAGCGGTAGCAGGAGCAGTGAATGTTTGGCATGGCGGGGTGGGATGTGTCCTTTTCTACCTGGAAAATGGGTGGTGGAGAAGCTGACTGGCTCTAACCTGCTATCCTTAGCACCTCTGCCCAATGGCCTGGTGTCCTGGGCTTGTGCCCAGCCTGCTTTGTGGAAAGCATCCAGTTTAAAAAGAAGTAGCAGATGGCGCAGGAGAGTGCTGGTCTGCTGACTGTGAGGCTGACAGGAAATGCTCCTCGCGGCATACATTCAGCTCCATGGAGGAAGACTTTTCTAGCAGCTTCCCAAGATGGGGACTACTGCCTCTGAGGATTTTAAAAACAAGATGACATAAGCAGTTGGCAATGCCAAACAAAATAAAACAAACTCATTCAGAAGTCACTTAGGAAAGGGGGCGACTTAGATTTTCTCTGCTTAGTGTTTTCTATGAGATTCTTTTAATTAGTCCTTCATGTTACTTGCTTCTTAAAACAATGAAACATTTTTCATAATACAGTTTTTAATTTGCCATGAAACCAAAGTATTACTAGATTGGTTTAGAAGACTATTATTAGACAGATTGTTTAAAAATGCTCTAGCTGCATATGGGAGAATTGTATAAATAGATAACTGTTTTACTGATGTTAAACGTTAGTTAAGAATACATACCTTTTGGCAAGATACATGAGGATGAAAAAGAGATGGGTTTATTAAAGTTTGACAAGAAAATAGAGCTTCTGCTATATAGTAAGAAACCAACTATTGAACGTAACCTAATTTTGAAAAAAGGTGAAGGGTGTTTAATTCAGCTTCACTCTGAAAATTGGAAGACTTTTTTTTTTGAAGTTGTTTTCTAAACTTATTAATGTTCTTCTGGGCCATCTATTCTAGACCCATCTGTCTTTATCAATTTAGGTGGGAATATGGAGGTGGCCCAGGGAGCAGGTTTGTTTAGGAGTGAAGGTGGGGACCCTTGCAGGTAAGTTTAGACCCTGAAATGAAACAGATAGGACTGACATAGAATATCTGGTAAGTAGGAAGATGCAATTACATGTTATAAATTTAAGGACTTCCTTTTTGGCTTAACTTATTTCCCTGACTTGGAAATTGTCATCTGATATGTAGACATATAATGTATCAGGCCATGTGATACAACTTGTTGATAAAGAGTTCCCCTTCTTATCCAAGAATGCAGTGCTATGCGAGAGTTTGCCTTAAAAGGATTCTTAGGTTGAAGTCATGTAAAAGAAATCCATTCTACATGATGGTGTTATTCTTTGTAATGTGGAGTGTATGAAATTGATGGGCAACCCTTTGAATTTGTTGTTGAAATTTGTTTTTCAGACTACATTGACAACCACACAGAGAGAGCTGAGCCAGCTACAAGAGCTTAGCAACCACCAGAAGAAAAGGGCAACTGAGATCCTGAATTTGCTGTTGAAAGATCTGGGGGAGATAGGTGGAATTATTGGCACCAATGATGTGAAAACTGTAAGCCAGCCCTTCTTTTATCCTCTCTACCTGCTCCTGTCAAGTTAGTAGGGTCTGTGCTTTACTCTTTTAAGCATTCAATGCTTAGCACTGTGCTTTGCATCTGCCATGTGCTGGTTAGTGTTTGAATGAATGAAAAAAGGGCTAATTGAATGACTGAGTGAATTGTTTGTTGGGGTGAGGAGGAGGAGAAAAAAAATTATCTTTCAAATCTAGGCAGTGTCTTCAAATGTTGGTTGGCTTTGTGTAAATTGGTTTATTTCTCAAATTGGTTTATTTCTCAACTTATTTCCTAATGTTGCAGAAGTTTGGAATTAAATAGCTTAAGCAACAGTTCTAGTCTCAGAATTGTGTTTTTCCTTTTCTGAAAGAACCCAGTGAAGTGAAAATTCTCCAAGTCAGTGTGAAAGTGATAGGATTCTAACAGTGGCTTAAGAAATAAAACCACATTTAATTATTCACAATATGAGAAGTCTAAAATCTTGCCACTCAGGGTGTGATCTGCCTCACCTGGGAGCTTATTGGAACTACAGCCTTTCAGGCCCCACCTCAGACCTATTGAATCAAAATCTGCACTTTAACAAGATTCTCCAGGTGATTCTTTATGCTTATTAAAGTTTGAGAAGCAAATTTTGTTTTGGTGCCATGGCTCAACAATGTCAAGTTCTCAGGCTTTTTCTCTGTTTCCTTTCTCCTGTCCTCAGCTTGTTTCCTTTTCATAATCCAGAGGATTATGCCTCATGGTAGCAAAATAGCTGCTGTAGTACCAATCATCACATCCTCACTCAACCACATCCAAGGCAGGATGGGCTGAAAAGGCCAACTTCTTTAATCCAGGAGGGAAACATATCCCAGAAGTCCCCAGGAGACATATCCTTACACTTCATTGGCCAGAACTGGATCACATGACCACTCCACATTTCTGGGAAAGCAAAGGGGACTGGGATTACTATAATTGGCATAGACCAATCATGATGAATCCCTTGGGGTTGTACATATTGGTGCTCTTGGTTATTTGTTTATTTATTTATTTATTTATTTTGAGACAAACTTTTGCTTTGTCACCCAGGCTGGAGTGCAGTGGCGCAATCTCAGCTCACTGCAACCTCTGCCTCCTGGGTTCAACCAATTCATGTGCCTCAGTCTGCCGAGTAGCTGGGATTACAGGCATGTGCCACCAGGCCCTGCTAATTTTTTTATTATTATTATTTTTTTAAGTGGAGATGGGGTTTCTCCATATTGGCCAGGCTGGTCTCGAATTCCTGGCCTCAAGTGATTCGCCTGCCTCTGCCTCCCAAAGTGCTGGGAATACAGGCGTGAGCCACCACACCTGGCCATTGGTGCTGTTGACAGCGAGAAAGTAAGAGATGTGGGGATAATAGGGGTGGTATAAAGTTGTCCAGAAACTAGGAATAGAAGGAAGAGATAGAGTTAAAAATGGTATCAGCCCAGAACAGGTAACAATTTGCTGGAATATAGAAAGGCTATTGTTGTTATTAACCAAAAAGACAGGGTAGAGACATTTTTAAAACAAAACAAAAAGCTTTATTGAGGTATAATTTACATAAAGCTGCACATATTTAAAGTATACAGTCTGAGAAATTTTGACGTATGTGTACAGTCATGAAACCATCAGCACCGTTAAGATAATGAATGTCCCCATCTCCCCCAAAAGTATGTGGGGGCAGTTTCTGGTCTCTCTATTTTGTTTCATGGATCAAATCTTCCTGCCAATACCACAATGTTTTGATCACCATAGCTTTATAATAATACAGCATCTTATACAAAGGAGTCATTGATGAATATATGTTGATTTTGTTGAGCTGGGGAATGGTATTACATTGCTTACCTTACATGTCACAATTCCCTGAAACCAAATTCTTTGAATTTAGCCATTTTATCTTTAAAAGGCTGAATTCTACATCAGTCTGCTTAGTGGGGACACTCAGGTCGTGAGCTGGGATTGTTAAATACTGGAAAATGCTCCCAAGATCAGGCTTCCTTTTGTAGACTATTTCTGGGAAATGTTGAAAGCCGTTTTTGGATGGTGTAACAGGTCCCAGCTTAGAGTACATGACCGCTCGTAAATGTAACCATTCTTTCATGGAACCTTTATTGTAACTGATTATTTCATAAATCCTTGTGAATGAATCTAATTCTAGCACAGACTTCTCAGATACTATAGAGTTAATCTTATTAAGCTTCAATTTGGTGATTTTATATTTGAAGATTTAATTTTTTGAACCATACATTGGTGTTGAGCAATAAAATTCGATGTGAGGTGATTAAATGGCCTCACAATATGAAGGTGGAGTTGATATATGGGAAGTTGATGCTTGCTGCTGATAACGATAAAGGAAGAAGGTATTTTTATGCTAAGTTCTAAAATAGAGCTGATGAAAATGCTAATGAAATCAGGAGTGTCTGGGTGCTTCAGTATTGAAAAAAGAGTCTTTACCTTTGGGAATCTGAACTATGATTGAGATTGAGATTGTTTTTAAATACTCAATTGGATATTTTTGAGATTATTTTTGGATTCCAGACATTGGATGTCCTAGTTAATTTCATTGATAGCCATCATTTCTATCATTCTGGTTTTTTTCATATAATTATGAGTTCATCATTAGGGTGATAAGAGCTAAGGGAGTAGTTGTATGACTTTGGATGAGTGACTGTACTTCTTTGGGCTTCATTTTTCTAATTTATAAAATGACAAGATAAGCTCAGACAGTATCAAAAATTGTCGGCTCAGAAATTACTTGACTTCTGCACATTTGTTTTAGATTTATCCTTATAGGTACAGGTACTTTTCTTATTGGTCATGACTATGAATTGATATAGTAATTCTTTTGATATAGGAAAATGAACAGATCAAGGGAATTTGTTTCAGTGGTTTTGTATTTTTATTCCTAAAATGCCATTTAATTTTCACAAGGTCCCTCCTGGTAGGGCTCTGGGATGGGGGAAAAATATGACTATTGGAGCCTTCCCCAGTCCACAGTTCTAGAATATGACAGCTCTGAAAAGCCAGAAAACAGAAAAACCCATATATCCCCAGCTCAATCATGTCTTGAAACATTTCCAGAGTCCAGTCATTTTGTTTCATCAACAAAACAAGATGAGTCCAGCATATAACAAGATGAGCCCAATGTTAACTTTATCGAAGTTTATGAGTGAGCCTTCTCTTCCTTTCATGTACTGGTGGCACTGAACTGTCAACAGAAGTATGATGAGGTCCATACATTTGGAAAGGAGAGCTTTATTTTTCATAATGGGTTGCAGCCTGCAGGGTGGCCACTCTTACAGGTTGGGAAGTGTAGCCTTTGGCCAGAAGCCAGAAAGAAGCACTTTGAGGATGGGAAGAATGACAGGGACTTATGTTTTTCACAGGGTGGCCAAATAAACTTATTCAACAGGTTACAGGAGGAGCTATGAAGATTCATGAAGGAGTGGCATGTGCATGTGTAGTAGGAAAACATGTATGCAACATGGGTCCCATGTTCACTTTTATTTGGAGACTTAACATTTAAATGTATTATAATTAGGCCCTGTACATCAAAGGGTGAAGCAGAGGATATGAAGGCTGTGTGCAGCCTTAGTAGCCTGGCCAGAACCAGAACCACTTCATGGTTGGTGGTCTCTCGTTGGGGAAGGAACTTTGGTTGGTGGTTGTGTTGAAATTGCAAAAGAGAGGGGCAGGGGCAGGCTGTGGTTATCAGCAGTGAAGCAGTGGAGTGAATATTTCAAAAGGGCTGGCTTCTGTTTAACCCTTGGGGAAGAAAGCCTAATGCTGATTGGCGAGGGAGGGTGTATGACCAGGCGTTTCCAACTTCCCAATCTGTCCTGGGCTGGAACTCGGTATTTAACATTTCTCTGGGGTCTCCTTGGCCACGAGGGGGTCTGTTCAGTCATTCGGGGGGTTAGGATTTTATTTGTATTTCTTGGGGCCTACCTTACCTTGCTACCTTCAAAGGAATTTAGCCAGAACCTGAATAGAAGTTGAGGTAGAGTAAATGAACTGAATTGGACTGGCTGCCTTATTTTCTTTTGGCCCACACTGACTTCTTTTTGTCCCATTCTAACTTTTATGACTTTAAATGTGAACATGCACCTTACTTACCTTGGGTGTGGCCTAGGAATGGCAGTAGTTCATCATCGTGCACAGCCACTCCATGCTTGAGAGATGGGGGTAGGGAGGTGGAGAGGTAGGGATGACTCCCTGTATAGGCAGGTAGAAGCAGCAGGCCACATCTTCCATAGATTTCATGACGGTGTGGTCTTTTCTCCTGGGTTGGTCATTGATACTGGATCCCATGGTCTAGTATGTACTACTGGGGGCATTATCAGACTCTGGGACAGTTATAAATAAAATTTCAGCAGCAAACTGATTTTTTTTTTTTTTAAATAACAGTGTCCTGAAATTACTGGAAACTTTTGAACATGAAACCACTAAATATATGAACTTTGTAGTGGTAAGAAACCTCACAGTTAAAACCCCTTTGTTAGGGGTATTGTTTTTATCCATCAGGCACAAACTCAAAATCTCCTTTTAGATCTCCAAGGACAGGAACTGGCTTCAGAAGTTATAGCTCTGGTTTGGGAGAAGAAATGTCTAGCTCTTATTTTGGAGGAAGCCCATCTTTATACATATCTATATTTTTACTCTTCCTCAATTTACATGGGATCTAGGCATAAAAGACAAAGTGTCCTACTTTGACAGACCTGGAAAAGAAGAGGAATTCATTCTCTTCCCAGGGTGCCAGAGCTTCTGGCTCAGCAGCGTTTTCCTACCAGGAGCTGGTGTAGGCTGTGAATTCCATGTGGAAGAGATGGGTTTTACTTTGTCTTTCTGCAGAGGCTGGACAAGATGTAAGATACACCTGGTCAGGCTCAGGAAGGTGTTTCTCATCCTTCTCCTACACTGGACTAAAGACAGTGGCAGAACACACTCAACTTAAAGATTGCATGCTTTTCTCACCCAGTGTCTCCATGCCATTAGAATAGAAAAGGAATATAGTGAGGAGTGGTTTTGGTAGGCAGATCTTTGGCAGTCGGAAGTAAAATGGGTTTAACAAGGACCTCCATGAAGGTAGAGTCAGAAATAGATACTTGTCAATTTTCTTGCTGTTGACATACATTCTGCAGTATTGTTGACACTGGAGTCACTTGACATGTACTATTGTTGAACTTTTTTAATTTTTAATTTTTATTTCAGTAGGTTTTTGGAGGACAGGTGGTGTTTGGTTACATGGATAAGTTCTTTAGTGGTGATTTCTGAGATTTTGGTGCACCCATCACCTAAGCAGTGTACACTGTACCCAGTGTGTGCTCTTTTATCCCTCACCCCACTTCCCACCCTTTCTTCCAAGTCCCCAAAGTCCATTGTATCATTCGTATGCCTTTGTGTCCTCATAGCTAGCTCCCACTTATGAGTGAGAATATACGATGTTTGGTTTTCCATTCTTGAGTTATTAATACTTCACTTAGAATAATAGTCTCCAATTCCACCCAGGTTGCTCCGAATGCCACTATTCCATTCCTTTTTATGGCTGGGTAGTATTCCATGATTTTACACACACACACACACACACACACACACACACCACATTTTCTTTATCTACTCATTGACTGATGGGCATTTGGGCTGGTTCCATATTTTTGCAATTGCAAATTGTGCTGCCGTAAACATGCACGTCTTTTTCATGTAATGACATCTTTTCTTTGGGTAGATACCCAGTAGTGGGATTGCTGGATTGAGTGGCATATCTACTTTTAGTTCTTTAAAGAATCTCCACACTGTTTTCCATAGTGGTTGTACTAGTTTACGTTCCCACCAGCAGTGTAAAAGCATTCCCTGTTCATCACTTCCATGCCAACATCTATTTTTTTTTATTTTTTTTATTATGGCCATTCTTGCAGAAGCAAGGTGGTTTCACATTGTGGTTTTGATTTGCATTTCACTGATAATTAATGATGTTGAGCCTTTTCTATATGTGTGTTGGCTATTTATATTGTTGTTGAATTCTTATGGTAAGGTTGATGCCAAACTACAGGCACTCAGCAGTTTCTAGTGTACTTCATATTTGCTACCAAATTTCAGGGCTGATACCTGGTTCCATTTTTTTAGCCCTCAAATGTTTACTGAACAGATAGTGATATGATGAGTGAATGACATCAATAACGACATAGGTGGGCACTCAGAGTGTACTGTGGAACATCAAAAAACCACGGTTGGAGTCATTGTCTTTCAACCAGTGGAAGCCTGTGTTTCTGCGCTGGATTCTGGACAGGGCTCTTTGTTTTCTCTTAAGGTGCTAGGCTGCACTCTGGTGGCTAAACAAAATATGCACACAGTTACTTGCTCATTTGGTCAATTGCTCTTAAAGACCATGTTTGCATTTCAGCGGATGGGTTTCTATCCCAAGTAGCTTGCTTCAACTTTTGTTTCAAGTAGAGCTTTGAAACTTAGAAACTAAATATAGATCATGCGGGAATGCTGGCTGTCAGAATCTTCTTTTCTAAGGTGGATTTAGACTGTTGTTCTCAGATGATCTTAAATAATGAGCTAGATTACTGTCTGTTTGGAAGGAACAGGTGTGAAAAGGCAAAGGAAAATAGACTGGTAGTAGTAATGAAAAGTTATGCTGAGAAACCTTCATCAAGAAGCCCTTTGGTAATTCATAGTACATTCTTATTTATTCGATTTTCTGTTTAATTGAGGACTACATAGAAACACCTTTTTATTTCAATCCTTGTTTATAGAAACATATTCAAGGCATTACACTACTTGTCTACCTGAATAAGCACACTATAGAGAACATTAATGAAGTTTTGATTTGAGTTTTTATAGGAATTCAGCATCACCTTTCGGAGCATTGGGTGTCGCTGCTGTTACAGAGATGTAAGGTGTAAGACATTGAATGGAATACCTTTTTGAAGTTATCTCCTTTTAAAAATCTTCAGTGTTTCTTCTTATGCTGTCATTTCTCTTTCTAAAAATTGATGGTAATGAAAAACCTAGTTAATTGAGGATTATATTTAGTAGGGGGTTTCAACTGAAAGTTTCACCTGAGGTGTAGGAGAACTTGGGGTTGAATGTTTAGTACTTTCCGCTTGTCCTTTAATTAGGATTCTGAACCAGAAATCCATGGACACCTTGGGGATCCAGGGGCAGGTTTCCAGGGAGTCCGTGAACCTATGGAAATTGTGGGCAACATTTGAGTGTGTCCCCTTCTTTGCTCAGTTGGCAGATGTGAATGGAGTCATTGAGGAGGAGTTTACCATGGCCCGCCTGTACATCAGCAAGATGAAGTCAGAGGTCAAGTCCCTGGTGAACCGCAGCAAACAGCTCGAGAGCGCCCAGATGGACTCCAACAGGAAGATGAATGCCAGCGAGCGGGAGCTGGCAGCCTGCCAGCTGCTCATCTCCCAGGTGGGCCCTTCCCTTCCCCATCATTGCACTCTTGTTGTCTTGAGATCTGCTCCCTCCATGCCCTTGCTGGTGCTGATGGTGCACCTTAGGCTTAGTTGAGGGACTGCTTTGTGTAAGCTTGGCCTCCCCAGGTGATGGCAGCCCAGGTCTATTCCTAGGGCTACATTTTGTTGTGTGAAATAGATGAATTCTGTTGAGTCCGTTCCCTTTTTCGAGGATATATCTATCTACCCATCCATAGATGGATGGCTAGCTAGCTAATGAATGTAAAAGATTGGGTGGAATCTCTAAAACTCCTGTAAGTAAGGCAATATTCCCTCATCTTTTAATCTCTACCATAGGTCCACTTTAATATGGAAAAACAGAAACTACTACTAATAGTAGTAGTAGCAGGTGGCATTTTATTGAGTGTTTACTATGTACCATACACTGTGCTAAGTACTTCACATGCATTTTCTCACTTAATCTGAAAAAAATCCTGGTAGGCAGGTTTTATTATTATTCCTCAGATAGGCAGCTGAGATTTAGACTAAATGTCTGTCCAAACACCTACAGCCCGTGAATGACAGAGCTAGGACTCAAAAAAATGTGTGTGAACCCAAAACCCATGTCTTCAAGGGCTTTTCAAGCCCGAGGGTACATTTCACTTGCCTATTGAGTAAGGCTGCTCTTCTTCCTATTGGAGTGGCATTTTCAGTTTAATAAGGTAGCTTCAGAAAACAGCAACCCAGTTTCTGGGCTACCACTGATATCTGAGCTTGGTATTTGGGTCTGACGTTTCCAGGAGGGGTCTAGTTGTATACTACTTGCTGCTTTATGCCAGGCATTAAAATAGGCTGTCATTTGGAGTAAACAGGAAACAGATACCAACATGGATTGGTGTGTCAAATAATACTGAGGCGGACAAAAGCACACTTTATTCTGGTATGCTTTTAACCATAATAATGTGTAATCATAGAAACATCTCCAACCTCTCTGTCTAAAATGGATCCACAAGGTTCCATTTTATAACCAGCATAATAAGCAGAAATGTATTGAAAAGATTATTCAGTGCTAATATGTGATAGTAAAATTGATATATTCATACATTGTTGATAAAAGTATAATTTGGTCAGTCCTTTTGGGAAGCACCGTGGAAATCAGAAACCATAAAAATGTAAGTATAATTTAGTCCAGTAATTTCACTGACAGTATTTTTCATTGTTAATGAAAATGAAAAAAATTTATTTCATATGGTATTCTCATTTCCTGATTAAAAATATTAAAAGCTTTTATGCAAGGTATTGAAGACAGTGTTATTTTGCATTATAATAAAATAAATTGCCCAAATATCCATTGATAGACTAATAAGATAAAGTTACATGGAATAATATTATGCAGCTCTTATAAAAAATGTAAAAACCTAGCCATTGGGAAAGTCTAATGGTATAAAGTTAAGTGAAAATGAAAATGCTGAGTTGGATTTATATTGTGCTTTGCATTCCTGCAGCTAAGACCAGGAATATCAGGGGGAAATAGTCCATAGATTGGTTTATGGTTTACACCACTTTTTCTGGATTTGCTTTAGAACTTTATTTTTTTATGATTATATAGTTGTTATTTATAAAAAATTAAAATAAAAATGATATGCATTAGGCAACAGTGTACCTCATCTGTGATTTCTAGGTCATCTATGATACCAAAAGCATGTGTTTTGGCCAGCCTGCCTCTAACATTTCGGGGCCAAGGCAAGGGTACTCATGGAGACCCCATGGCCTGCAGCCCACCCTCTTCTCTTTCAAGCTGGACATACCAGCTCCATGTCCAACTCCCTTTTGCACCCGGTGTGAACTGATGGAACTGTTAGATGCCGGCTGCCATTTGTTTAAATGGGTGAGGAAGAGGTAGTGCCAGCCCTGGCCTTCAGACCTGGAGTAGGAAGTTTCTAGGTCCCCAGTACTCTGAGGGTGGTCTATAGGGGACATAGGTTCAGATGGACATGTTCCTTTGGCCTGTGAACTCTTTGCTTAGTGGAGTAGGGTGTAGCCAGAGGAGGGCCCAGTGGGGTGCTCTGAATCGTCCAGGTCTCAGACTGACACTGACTTTGCTGTATGAGATCAGAGTCGAGAATATTATGATGTGTTGAGTTTAAAGAGTACCTGTTCTAAAGTTCTCTTTCTGCATCAGCAACAAACACAGCTTCCATTAGGTGGAGGTTTGCACTCTGCTACAATTCATGCATAGCAAAGATTCGACCATTATTTCCTGAGGTTCAAAAGTAACAGAAACCATGGCTGTTTATATTCTGATGTGATCTAAGGAATCTGACACAGTCTTTCCAGCTGAAATGCTATCTTCTTTGTTTACATTCATCCTCGTCACCAAAAACTGTGCTTATAAGATGACTGTTCCAACGGAGGAGTTGTGTTTTCTGGAGAGGTTATTTCATTAGATTAAAGCTCAGTCTCCAGGGTCTTCCTGCCTAAAGCTGAGCTCCCCAGATCTGGAGAGGGGAGTGTTCTGTATATATTTTCCATCTGCCTAGAAGTTACCACTGTCCCTGTTCAGCCAACAAGCTCTCATTCATCCATTCATTTCACGAATATTTATTAAGCACTTACCCTCATGGAGCTAGCAAGTAAAAAAGACAAGACAAATGATGTAGACATTAGGTGCTGTAAGAAAGTGTTGGGGCCTGAGTGATAAGGAGCTAGCCAAGGTAGTGTGTGTGTGTGGCATGTGGTGGGGTGGTGATGGTGGGGAGGGAAAGCTTCCAGGGAGAGGAAAATGCAAAGGCCCTGAGATGGGAATTGGTGTGTCTGAAGGACAGAAAAAGGGAAGACCTAATAATTGAATGGTGAAGATGGAATCCAGAGGTGCATGTTCAATGAATGAGGCCTTCAGCCCTGCACTTTTCCCAGCCCCTTTCTCTCATGCATGCTTTTCTCTGAGAAGGGAAACCAGCTCGGCCTTTGGCATCTCATGTTAACTGGATGGTGAGGAGGGGCCTGCCATGAGTGGTGTCTGTGGGGAATGAAGCCGAGAAGCACAGGGAGAAGCAGAGGTCTGTCTTGGTATGATTCTGAACACCAAGGCAAGGGTAAAATGGGCACCATTTGGTTGTGGCACTCAGAAAAGGGACTCAGGAACCCCTCCTCTCTCGCATTTTCCTACCAGACAATTCCAGGCCAGCCTGGATGACCACTTGCTAGTCATTCACTCTTCCTTTTTGCTTGTTTAAAGCACGAAGCCAAGATCAAGTCTCTGACAGACTACATGCAGAACATGGAACAGAAGAGGAGGCAGCTAGAAGAGTCCCAGGACTCGCTCAGCGAAGAGCTGGCAAAGCTCCGAGCCCAGGGTAAATATTTGACTAACGTGCAGGTGTCAAACACCTGGCCTGAGTCAGACAGCCTCTGGTTGGCTGGAATCATGATGTTTAGTTTCGTTCAGTTAAAGCATTTCTAGGTCTACTGCAAACAAAACCATAACTAGAAAAAAAGGAGCGATTTCTTTTCTTTCTTTCTTTCTTTTTTTTTTTTTAAGATGGAGTCTCGCTCTGTTGCCCAGGCTGAAGTGCGGTGGCATAATCTCAGTTCACTGCAACCTCCGCTTCCCGGTTCCAGCGATTCTCCTGCCTCAGCCTCCTGAGTAGCTGGGACTATAGATGCGTGTCACCACACCTGGCTAATTTTTGTATTTTTTAGTAGAGATGGGGTTTCACCATATTGGCCAGGCTGGTCTTGAACTCCTGACCTCGTGATCTGTCTACCTCAGCCTCCCAAAAGTACAAGAGTCAGCCACCGTGCCCAGCCTAAAAGGAGAGATTTCTGAGAGACCATCCCCACACTGAATCTGCTCATCTTCCCATTTCCTCACAGTCCACCCAGTTACCCAAATCAGAATCCCCTGCTCCCCACCTCCTGACTCTAGTTGGTCACCAGAGCCGGTCCATTTCACCTGCCAGAGGCCCCTCTGGTTCACTGTCCAGGTTAACTAAGGACTGTGGCTACATCCATCTACCCATGCCCACCCTCAGTCTGCTCTGGGCCAGCCACTGTGTGGCATCCTGAGGGATGATTCTAAAATTCACATTCTCTCTCTGTCCAAACGGACACTTCTAACCCTTCCATGGCATCCTGTTGCTCTTAATATAAAGTTTGAACTGCCGTGGCTTCCCTGGCACCCCCTTGAACAAGCTCTACCCTTTGCCAGCCAGCCTTGTGATCTCCTGAGCTTAGGGAAGTGCCTCGCACATAGGAAGCACTTCATAAATATTAATGAATATAAGCAGAAATTCAAGAGAAGGGTCTAGAAATGCAGAAAGTAGAACAGGATTAAGAATGTATGTGCCATGCAATGTGAAACTAGAACATATATATTATGGGTTGCAATGAAAATTGTTAGAATTTTCTCAGAAAGCCATTTGAAAATACATATTAATAACTGTAACATTTTTCATACCTTTTGATCATCACACCTCAGATATTCATTGCAGAATTTTAGATCAGCAAAAAAGAGGAAGCCATCTAAATGTCTAATAGTTAATACACTATGGCGTGTTATTTAATAGAACTTTTTCTTCACATGAAATACATGAAGGTGTGCAGCAATGTTTATGATGCAATGTTAGGTGAAAATCACAATATATCATTGTATTCTTACTATGGTTATAACTATTAAAAATGAATGGATGCAGCTGGGCACGGTGGCTCACGCCTGTAATCCCAGCACTTTGCGAGGCTGAGGCGGGCGGATCACGAGGTCAGGAGTTCGAGACCAGCCTGGCCAACATGGTGAAACCCTGTCTCTACTAAAAATACAAAAATTAGCAGGGTGTGGTGGCACACGCCTGTAATCCCAGCTACTCAGGAGGCTGAGGAAGGAGAATTGCTTGAATCCAGGAGGCGGAGGTTGTAATGAGCCGATATCGTGGCACTGCACTCCAGCCTGGGCGACAGAACAAGACTCCATCTTGAAAAAAAAGTGAATGGATGCTTGTGTTCCTAAAAATTCATATTTAAGATAAAAGTGGTTGTGATAGGGTAGTTGGGATTGGTGATGCTGTTATCAGTATTTATATCCTTTATTGTTGTTTTACAGTTTGCTCAGTAAATGCAATTTGTGTCAGACGCCAAGGCAAATTTAAAAAGAAAGAACATACCCACTCTCTGCTCTAACCTTGTAACATGTTCTTTGTGTGGTAACACATGGCATGTTAGGAGTAGGTGCACCATCAAAACTGCACATGGAAAATCATGTTTCTCTCTTGCATCCGGTGGTTCCTGCAGTGGGGCCACTGAGTTGAAATAAAATAGAGGCAAGAAAACCTGAAGTGGAACAGACTAGAGAGAAATAATGAATTGAATGTCACTGTCGTAAAGCACTCTGCCCCCTGGCACCCCAGCTCCCCAGCTGGGGCTGCCCATTGCACCTGGCTGGCATTTAGGGAGCACCATCGACCAAGCATATGCTGAGACAGGAGTGCCACACTGCAGCCCTGCCCCAAACATGGGGCCTTCTGGTTTAATCTCAAAAATGTTATGCTATCTTTCTGTTTCCCGTGTTCCCATCCTGGAAACAGAGTATGTTTTCCTGCCCCAGATTCTTAGAGAATAAACGCCTACCCATGGGAGGTAAATTAGGTCTTCCTAGAACTCCCATCATGGCATGGGTCCACAGGCCACCTAACAGTCACAGAGGGCTTTATCATCTGTAAGGCCCGTTCATGCACATGACCTTGGGCTGCTCACAGAGACCAGGTGGGAAACAAGCCCTCCCAGGTGTGCGGTGACATAAAGCCAGAGTGCAGTCCTAGGAGGGCCGCCCCCAGTGAGCATTGTCCCCCAGTAAGCATTGTCCCCTGCAGTTGTCGCGCTCCCCCGTGGAAGGAATGCTTCAGGAGGGGGCAGCCTTGGCTTTAGCCAGAAGTCCTTGCCTGTTCCTTTATGCCATGGTTGTAATTGCTGATATAAGCTGATGTTTCACTCTGTTGCCATTTTTCTTGCTTTTTGTTTTTTAATTTTTGCTTTTGGGTGTGAGTCCCACCAGTTAAGTCTTAAATCATCATTTAAAATTCAAAACAGAAAAAATGCACGAAGTCAGCTTCCAGGATAAGGAGAAGGAACATCTGACGCGGTTGCAGGATGCTGAAGAAATGAAGGTGTGTGTGGCTGCCCCTTCCATCAAGCCCAGTGTGCATTTGATGCATTTGGATTGGAAATGCTTGTTCTAGGAAAATCTGTCACCTTCAGATCCGTATATGGCAAGGGACAGGGGAGGGGCTGTTGTTGGGCATTCAGAGTCGATCTCAGAGTATAGCCTGGCTTAGAAATGAACAAGTCCAGAAACCCCAAGATGTCTGTAGAGAATGGTTAAGTTGCGTTAATACCTTTGTCTTCACCATTCCTGATGAAGAGGGAAAGGGTAGCACCCCCAATCACTGCATGGGCTCTTTTGTCGGAGTTAACTTCTAAGGATTTCTTCCTCCAACCTTTACGCAGAACACACCAAATTTGAGTTTCTATCTCAAACATAGAGATTTTTCTTTTGGTCACATTTTAAACTGTAAAGGAAAATTGATTGTGGAGTAAGACTTTTAGGTGAATAAAATGAGACAGGAGAAGATGTAGGATTTTGATTAGTTGTAGGCAAACTATGAGCCTCATTGAGTCAAGGTCCACAGTTAAAGACGTCCACGGCATGCCCTTGCTCCAGCCAGCAGAATAAAATCATGCGTCGTGGGAGTCCCTTTCCTGTTTTCAGAGTGCTGTTGCCAAAAGGTCTCCTTTGGACATCATCATAAATCTGTGCAGTGGGCAGGGCAGGGGCTTTTATCTCAGTTTTACATGTGAGGGAGTGCAGCTCACACAGGTTACAGGCTTATCTGGAGGTTACGTGGATAGGGAGAGGTTGGTGCCCTCTGACTGACCTGGCTGGAGAAGCTCAGGCTGGGCTGTAAAAGGTCAAGGGAACACTTTTTATTTAGTTGGTGGGCTAATTGGCTTCTAGGGCCAACTTGGTTTGATAACAGATCTTGGGTTTTGTTATCCCAATAAAGCAAGGCCGGGTCCTGGGGGCAAAACAGCCAGAAATGCCCCCAGTTTTGGGATCTGACATCTGAGGGACACAGGGAAGGAGGTAGGTCCAGATCCAGGGCTTGTCACAGAGTGGGCTGAGTGCCAACGAGTAGATGACATGTTTCTCTTGGCCTGGGATGCAGAAGGCGCTGGAGCAGCAGATGGAGAGCCACCGGGAAGCTCACCAGAAGCAGCTGTCCAGACTCCGAGACGAAATTGAGGAGAAGCAGAAAATCATTGATGAGATTCGGGAGTGAGTCGGCCCAGGGCACCAGGGGTGTGGGGGTGGTCATGCCTCGGTCCTCTTGGGGAAGCCTGGAAGGATGTGGCTCTTAGTCGAGGGCCCTGCTCACCTTGCCCTGTGGGCACTGCCCTGGTGACACAGCAGGCTGGGCGGGCTGCTTCCAAGGTCTGTTCTCCGATCTGGAGCTGAGCCTCCTGGAGCCCTGGCATGGCAGGTGGCAGGCGGGCCCAGCTGCCTCTCCTAGTCCCCGAGGGCCAGGGTCACATAGGTGATTCCGCTGGATGGACGCATGCCCCAGTAGATGGGGGGGAGCATCTGTAATGAAAGCACCAAAAAAAAAAAAAAAAAAGAAAAGAAAAGAAAAGAAAAAAAAAAAATTTGGTCCTGACTACAGGATTCTAGTAGGTTAATAAACACTCGAGAGAAGACAGCACCACCGCCTCCCCTTCTCCCCCTACACATACACGCTCACTGGGCAACCCAGCCACCTGGTTCCATGTGCTCACTTCTTAGGGCCCCACACTGTCATGTGTCTGTGCAGGTAGAGGTGCCAGTGACCTGTGGCACTGCCACCAGGATGGCATCATTGCAGTTTCTCTCAGGTGACACCCCCTCATGTTGTGCTCCTGCCTTGTCGCAGCCTCTGACATGCCCTCTGCTCCTTCAGAATAATGTTTTCAAATGCTCTGCATAAAAGACCTGGGATTACAAAGAAAACCAATTATATTGAAATGCTGACCTCCCCACCCCCACCCCACCCAGGGTCTACACTGTTCCCTCCCCTCCCGCTTTCTGTAGATGAAGAAACAGATTTCTATATGGGAAGCAAGGCGAAATGATTTACTTAAGGTCACATTGCTAAATAGGAATCAGATTGGAGTTAGACTTTAATTCTCCAGACTACTGATCCAAGTCCCTTTTCAATGTGTGTGAGCCGCTCGAAAGGTGCATTTGCATTTTAAAAGAGGAGAATGGTAACCCAAGCAAAAGTCTAAATGGTGTGACCCAGGCTCGGTGCCCAGTTCCTGAAGGAAGGCACTTAGCCTCCTCCCTCTTTTTCTCCTCTTCGGCCATCCCCTGCTGTTGCCATGTTGTGCTTTTCCCCTTCAGGGATATCTCACATTCGTTATTCTGATTAATCACCCTCACAGATTCGACTGGAAGGGAGGGGGAGGTTGGAGGGAAGGAAGAGGGAGAAAGAGGGTTGGTTGGTGAGTGAGTTAGGTGGAGGGGGAAGCTTCCCTGGCTTGTGCCTTTCAAATGGACTCTGGGTTTTCCTTCTGGTAGTGCATAGCTGTTCCTTTACAGGCGCTTAGGCGTGGCTCTAGGAAAGGTTTTATGAGTCCTGGGCTGATGTAAATGTTGACCAAACACCCTCAACCAGATGGCGAGTTTCTGTTTGCAGCAGAGCCCAGGCTGTCTTTTCTTCATAATTCTCTCTGTGCCCACTCCTCGAGGGCAGGAACTGTCCCTGTATCAGTGAGGCATTCGGACTTGGGAGATGTTTTTAGAACATCAGACCAGAAATGAGGGAAGGTGGAAATGGCCAAATCAGGTTCCCCAAGTGACTGCATGCCATCCGAGGGGCCGAGGAAGCAGAGTTCTTCTGACATGGGCTCTCTGTTTTAAAATATCAGCCCTTCTCCCATCTCATTATTTTTCCCCTGAAGCTCTTGCACAAGCAAACTATAAATACATCCTCAAAGCCTTATGTTTCATGACTCTTAGATGCACCCCAGAAATTAGTTTTCACTTGGGCACGGAGGAAGCTGTGAGGCTGTTCTGTGATCCCTCCAAATCCTGCAGAATTACTGCCTTTATTGTACAGAGCTAATAGGGTTGGAACAGAACCACGGTTTTAGCCTGATGACTCAGAATTTCAGACTGATGTGGAATATATTGCTTTTTCCTCTCAATTTCAGTTTGAATCAGAAACTGCAACTGGAACAGGAGAAGCTTAGTTCTGATTATAACAAGCTGAAAATAGAGGACCAAGAGAGAGAAATGAAGCTGGAAAAGCTCTTGTGAGTGCACTCTAAATATTTCCTCTATTTTCTCTCATCCCCATGATATTCTGGTTAGATTGGGCTAATTTAAAAACAGACAATGGCTATTTGTGTGCTTGTTGGTGGGTTTTGTTGATTTATCTGTGGATGCAAATAGTATCTGCTGAAATCTCTGAGTCCCCTGTGGTGGTCTATGGTTCCTTTTTGTTTTTCAGATTGCTCAACGATAAAAGGGAACAAGCCAGAGAAGACCTCAAAGGGCTGGAGGAGACAGTGGTATGTCAAGATATTTCCCGATTTATGTTTGTCTCCAAGACCGGATTCATTTGTGATTTGTCGGATTATTTCAAAATTTTATCCATGCACACCTTTCTGTGTAATGTTTTAGATAAGACATTCTATGGAAAAGTAGGATTTGTAGAATTTAGTCCTCAACTTTTCACAGAATCAGTCAACCAATCCATCTATCCTTAGAGCAGTAACCTGGAGCCCCTGAGTGAGGATTAAGCTGAATTGCAACTTAGCAATTTTACAGCCCTGCACTTTGTGACATACTTCCACTCAACATTCAACAGATATTTATTGAGCATCTCCTAACGGCTGGCATTCTTCAAGGTGCTTGAATATATCCATAAACAACAGAGATAAGATCCCTGTCCTCATGAAGCTTACCTTTAGCTGTGGGAGACGATAAACAGTAAGGAAACAAATCTTGCACTCTATCAGATTGCTATAGAATGTGCATAGGTTGGTGCCTGGGGGAGGCTCCATGAGGATGTGACCTTTGAGCAGGGACTCGAAGAAGGAGAAGAACTGAGCACAGAGATGTGTTGGGGAGAGCATTCCAGGCAGAGGCAACAGCTCATGCCAAGGCCCTGAGATAAGCCCGGGACTGTCCTGTTGGGGGCCAGCAGGGAGGTTTGTGTGGCTGCAGCTGAGGGAAGGACAGGGATATAAGGTGAGCACAGAGAGGTAAAGGCTTCAGTGATTCAGGCCAGGTAAAACCTTGAGACCTGCAGGGCTTTGGGTGGAGGAGTGATGGGCCCAACCTACCTTTGGAAGGGCTTGTTATTTGAAACCCTGGTTGGTTTTCTCTGTCGTGTGTCTGGGTTTGTTGGCATCATCTCCTCTGGTCGGCTTCCATTTCAGCTGCTCTGTGGGATAGCTGCCTGGCTCCGTGCCCCACAGCCTGCGCTTTAAGACAGACCATTCTAACATAGCCTCTCCATTTGGTGAAAACACGTTCAGGCATTTCACATGATTCAATGACAGAGAGAAACCGTTGGTTAGATACAGTCATCCATTTTGGCTCCGTTCATGGGTCATGTGGATCTGTGTGGGACTGATCCATCTTCAAGGACCTGGTGACCCCACATTGGTGGGAACTGGTTGCTTGGGTCTGGCCCTGAGATTGTGCTCTGGCCCATGGACTAGTCATATTTGTTGGACCTCAAAGCCAGGGAGAGGAAATGAGGGCACCAGCCATTGGAGACAGAAGATGCCTGTGTCCAAAGGGAGCTGGGCCTTTGGAGCATGGAGGAGGAGCCTGTGGAGGGGGCTGCTGCCGGGGAACCCGAAATGAAGCCATGAAATTGCTTCATCTACATCTGTTTTACCAGAGAAGTGATAATCCTAATTATAGATAATTATAGAAATTCAGAAAAATATTGAACATTAAAATTTCACTATATTTCTACCAGCCAGAGATCAGTGATATCAATGAAATATTTTGGGATGTTTTCTTCCTTTATATCCGTGAGCTCTCAGGCACTCTCACCCTACTGTCCCTAGCCATCCACGCTCTCTTTCAGTCTCACTCACACCTACAACTCAAGCATGTGAGCACATCATCACACACTCACACCGGGGCTCACAAGTCCCTTGCCCACACACGCAGTCAGCTGCTCACTCTCCTGTTCTCATGCCTCTGCGCAGCCGCACTCACTCCTGCATGCTCCTCCATACACAAGTACTTACAACACACACTCTTGCTCACACACAGAACATGCACACTTGCATTCACACACACAACTTGCATGCACACTAATGATCGTCCACACTTTCTCACTCGCACATTCACACAATCACTCTCGTGCAGTTCTCACCCTCACTCCCCTTGCTTGCCTTCACTCACACCCACACGCATGTTCACACTCCCTTGTACACTTACACAGATGCTGTCTCAGGACACTCCCCCTCACACGCACGCAGGCGCATTCACACCCGTCACTCATACACTCATTCACTGTCACAACCACCTCCGTTCACAGGCACACTCATTTCCATGCTCACGGACTCACATGCTTTCTCCTCTCATACACTCAGGAGTGTGATATTTAAAGAATGTTTCATCAGCTCTTTTGCCTTTTTTGAAGTTCGAGTGGTCTTTTGCGTCTTTTGAATGACGTATTTTCCTCACTAGCTCCTCCCGTCTCCCTGCTCGTCCGTTCTCTCTCCCACGCTGGGCGCGGTTCCATGCGCACCCTCCCAGGCTGCTCCCCGCTCTCACCCTCGCCCAGCCCATGCACGCGGACAGACACACTGGCTTCGTGGCACCCACATTCTCTCCCTCACTCTCACCACCCACACGCATCAAATGCACACTTTAAAAATCCAAGAGTGGAGCCCTGCAGTGTATGCCGTTTTAGACTCGGATGTTTTCACTCAGCCTTGGAATCCTCCCCGAGCCGTAAATGTTCTTCAGAAATAGACGCACTGTCCTTGGCTGACTGTTCTGCCGCCCTCCTCAGCGCAGGGCCCGTTCTGCCTCCTGGAGTGTTTGGGTGAGGTGGGCGGAGCATGGAGCCTGCTGGCCAGGGGGTGAATGCCCGGGAAGCCCGCTGCAGGAGACAGTGGTGGAAAAGGCCAACTGGCCGTCGGGGCATCCCTGGCCCCGGGCAGCTGACTGGCTGGAACAGGACACTGTCTGGGCTTTGGGGCGGGAGCCCTCCTCTGGGTGCGTTGATGAGACTTGTATTCCCTCCTTGCTGGTCCCACCCTTGCTGTCCACTGTGACAGGAAGCTGAGCCTTGAGCTTTGGCATGGAGAGTCACAACCTGTGATGTGAAGAGGGACATGTGTGGGGAGGCAGAGGGATGATAATGAATGTGATGGAGGAGAAAGCATTGCCACAGGAGGCTGAATGATAGTTGCCTAAGCACAGTGTGCATAAATAAAAGGGACAAGTGATTTTAAATGATTTATACTACCCTTCCCAAACTGTTTATTGTTGAATCTCCCTAAAAACAAACAAAATGAGAGAAAGTTGCCAAACTCAGGACTCTATATTTAGTATTTACACCCCAGGAGATGCCTGGGCCTTGGACAAAGAACTGTTCTCATTCCCCTTTGGTGTGGTGGTGTTTTTATGAAAAATGTAAACTGTGATTACGGTTCAATCAGTAATGAAACCACTGACAAGAAACAGAGAGAGTGCATGCAGGGTGGGCGCAGGTGTTAAGGAGCAGGGTATCTGGGCTGAGCTCCCTCCGGCAGGGCCTGGGACAGTGTGTCTGTAACAGAGTGAGTGCTGCACCCCTGCCCCTGGGCTGGAAGGCAGCACAGCCTCAAACAGGTCCTGTGTGCACATTATTCATAATCACAGATCCATTTGGTTTCCTGCAGAAAGTAATTTACCTCATCCGAGGACACAATTGACTTCAGGTGCTTCTTATTTCAACACAGAATTGGACCCAGTAATAAGACCTTAAATTAACAGAGAACCTTTATTGCAAGAAACTTAGTGTTTCCGTAGCTTTATAGTCTGTTTCTTCCTTTTAGATGTGAGCGTGTGTGAGTTGCATCCCTTGAAATTCTGTGTTAAAGTAGGTCAATTTAGACAAAGTTTGCATGCAGAATTTAGCTCTCTCCTCTTCCTCTATAGGAAAATATTTTGCAAGGAACTGATCATATTTCCTATGGTAAATACATGGAGACTTGAGCAGACAGAAATGTTTGATCTTCTGATCTTGTTAACAAAGATCACCAGATTTGGCTCAGGCTCTTGTCTCAGTAATCTAATTCCTAAGGTTTCATTTGTAGAAAATAATCCAAAATGAAGGGAAAAAATGCCCCCAAGATGACAGTGAAAGTTTTAACAACAACAATAAAAGGAAGCAATACAATCCTAATGAAAAAATGGCTTTTATGTTATGAAATATGCATCAATAAATTCATACTAGTCATCTTTATTGGGCACTTAATATGTGCCAGAAAATGTTCTAAGAACATTATAAGGTTCATCTCATTTGATCTTGACAGCAA